>NC_000002.12:89753992-90078251 GCF_000001405.40 Homo sapiens
CTGCTGCTTGCTTTATTGGTCTGCTTGGGGTATCTAATTCTTCCTGATTTAAGCTAGGAGGGTGTATTTTTCCAGGAATTTGTCCAACTCTCCTAGGTTTTCTACTTTATGTGCCAAAAAGTGTTCATAGTACCCTTGAATAATCTTTAATATTTCAGTGGTGTCAGTTGTAATATCCCCTGTTTCATTTCTTAGTGAAGTTATTTGGATTTTCTCTCTTCTTTTCTTGGTTAATCTTGCTAACGGTCTATCAGTTTTATTTATCTTTTCAAATAACCAACTTTTTGTTTTATTTATGTTTTGTATTTGTTGTTGTTGTTGTTGTTGTGTCAATTTCATTTAGTTCTGCTCTGATCTTGGTTATTTCCTTTGTTTGCTGGGATTGGGTTTGGCTTGTTCCTGCTTCTCTAGTTCCCTGAGATGTGAACTTAGATTGTCTGTTTGTGCTCTTTCAGACTTTTTGACATAGGTGTTTAGGGCTACAAACTTTCCTCTTCGCACTGCCTTTGCTGTATCCCAGAGGTCTGGATAGGTTGTGTCATCCAGTTCGAAGAAATTTTTTACATTTCCATCTTGATTTCATTTTTCACCCAATGCTCATTCAGGAGCAGGTTATTTAATTTCCATGTATTTGCATGGTTTTGAAGATTCCTTTTGGAGTTGATTTTCAATTTTATTCCACTGTGATCTGAGAGAGTGCGTGATACAATTTCAATTTTCTTAAATTTATTGAGACTCGTTTTATGGCCTATCATATGGTCTATCTTGGAGAAAATTCCATATGCTGTGGAATAGAATGTGTATTCTGTGGTTGTTGGATGAAATGTTCTGTATATATCTGTTAAGTCTATTTGTTCCAAAGTATAGTTTAAATCCAGTGTTTCTTTGTTGACTTTCTGTCTTGATAACCTGTCTAGTGCTGTCAGTGGAGTATTTAAGTCCCCCACTCTTATTGTGTTGCTGTCTATCTCATTTCTTATGTCTACTAGTAATTGTTTTATAAATTTGGGAGCTCCAGTATTAGGTTCATGTATGTTTAGGATTGTCATATTTTTCTGTTGAATGAGGTCTTTACATTTATATACTCTCTGTCTTTGTCTCTTTTAGCTACTGTAGCTTTAAAGTTTGTTTTTTCTCATATGAGAATTGCTACCGCTACTCGCTTTTGGTGTCCATTTGCATGAAATGTCTTTTTCTACCACTTTCCTTAAGTTTATGTAAGTTGTTATGTGTTAGGTGAGTCTCCTGAAGGCAGCAGATAGTTAGTTGGTGAGTTCTTATCCATTCTGTGGTTCTGTATCTTGTAAGTGGAGCATTTAAGCCATTTACAACCAACATTACTACTAAAAAGTGAGGTACCATTGTTTTCATCATGCTCTTTGTTGCCTCTGTACATTGTTTTTTTTCTGTTTTTGCTTTTTAACTTGTATTTTTGTTTTATAGGTCTTGTGTGATTTATGCTTTAATGAAGTTCTGTTTTGATGTGTTTCCAGGATTTGTTTCATGATTTAGAGCTCCTTTTAGCAGCTTTTACAGTGCTGGTTTGGTAATGGCAAATTCTGTCAGCATTTCTTTGTCTGAAAATGACTGTATCTTTCCTTCATATATGATGTTTAGTTTTGTTGGATACAAAATTCTTGGCTGATAATTGTTTTGTTTGAGGAGGCTGAAGAAAGGACCCCAATCCCATCTAGCTTGTAAGGTCTCTGCTGCAAAATCTGCTGTTAGTTTGATAGGTCTTCCTTTATAGTGCTTCCTACCTAGTGCTTCTGTCTCACAGCTCTTAAGATTCTTTCCTTTGTCTTAACTTTGGATAACCTAATCACAATGTGCCTAGGCTAAGATCTTTTTGTGATGAATTTCCCAGGTGTTATTTGTGCTTCTTGTATTTGGATGTCTAGGTCTCTCACAAGGCCATGGAAATTTTCATTGATTATTCCCCCAAATATGTTTTCATGGCTTTTAGAATTCACTTCTTCCTCAGGTACACCAATTAGTCTTAGGTTTCATCGTTTAACAGAATGCCAGACTCCTTGGAGGCTTTGCTCATATTTTCTTATTCTTTTTTCTTTGTCTTTATTGGATTGGGTTAAATCAAAGACCTTGTCTTCGAATTCTGAATTTCTTTCTTCTACTTGTTCAATTCTATTGCTGAGACTTTCCAGAGCATTTCACATTTCTAAAAGTGTGTCCAAAGTTTCCTGATTTTTTTTAATTTAAGCTATCTATTTCCTTGAATGTTTCTCCCTTCACTTATTGTATCATTTTTTGGATTTTCTTGCATTGGGCTTCCCCATTCTCTGGCCCCTCCCTGATTAGTTTAATAACTAACCTGAATTCTTTTTCAGATAAATCAGTGATTTCTTCTTTGTTTGGATCCATTGGTGATGAACTGATGTGATTCTTTGGGGGGTGTTGAAGAGTCTTGTTTTGTCAGATTACCAGGGTTGGTTTTCTGATTCCTTCTCATTTTGGTAGGCTCTGTCAGAGGAAAGGTCTAGGGCTGAAGACTGTTGTTCAGACTCTTGTCACATGGAGTGTTCCCTTGACGTAGTACTCTCCCCCTTTTCCTATGGGCATGGCTTCCTGTGAGCCGAAGTGCATTGATTGTTGTCTCTCTTCTGGGTCTAGCCACCCAGCAGGTCTACCTGGCTTTGGGCTGGTACTAGGGGTTGTCTGCATAGAGCCCTGTGATGTGAACCATCTATGGATCTCTCAGCCATGGATACCAGCACCTGTTCCAGTGGATGTGGTGAAGGGTGCAGTACACTCTGTGAGGGTCCTTAGCTTTAGTGGTTTAATGCTCTATATTTGTGTGGTTGGCCTACTGCCAGGAGGTGGTGCTTTCCAGAAAGCATCAGCTGTAATAGTGTGGAGGCACTGGCAGTGGGCGGGGCCCTAGGACTCCCAAGATCATATGTCCTTTGTCTTCCACTACCAACTTAAACATTTGTGACAATTTCAATGTCAGAAATTTATGTGTAATCGAATTTATTCTGGTAGCCTAAATTCTGGTAGCTTATTTTCTTATATGCTTCAATCTTTATAATTTAGTTCTCACATGAGGGAGATCTAATATTGGAAATATTTTCAATCTGTATGTTTATGTATTTATTCTAGTTGTCCTGGCACAAGGTTATCAATGTTGCTGCGTGACCAGCCATTGGCTTTTCACATTTACAACTCCTCTGAATTTTTTCTTGCCTCATTTCTGGTGCTGGGAAATTCTGATATTTTCTCCTCATCTCCATTGTACATTTTAAGGATTCTTGAAACTTTTGATGCACAAACATCCACACTTTCTGCATAAGTAAAATATTTTACTTAGATATTTTCTAGCAGACACTGAGTTCTCATGAGAAATCCTCAGTCTCTTTATTTGGAACACCCCCTCCCCAATATTCCATATGGAGTAGTTTTGTGTAGAATGTGATTATTTCATTAATATGTCAAAGTATGGATACATTTTGAACACATTTCTGAAGTTGTAATACCTTTCTTGATGAATAGTACGTGTGCATGACAAGAATTGTATTTTTAGTAGATACGGGGTTTCACCCTGTTAGCCAGGATGGTCTCGATCTCCTGACCTCATGATCTGCCTGCCTCTGCCTCCCAAAGTGCTGGGATTACAGGCATGAGCCACCGCGCCTGGCCAATCACATCATTCTTGTATTCACCTAGTGGTCGCTGTGTACCTCCCACGTCAGGCACTGTACTACCAGACACTGAGGATCCGGTGGGGAGCCAGAGGGACTTTAAGGACTGAGTCAGTAAGACATGGGCTGGTGGGATAGGGAAGGATGAGGGAGATAGAGGGTCAGATGATCCCCATGGTTCTGCCTGGGGCACCTGAAGGAAAGTCAGAAAGGAAGCCATGTTGAAGAGGGATGGCAATGAGTTTTGTGTTTGGTTTTCAGTACAGAGATGCCAGGCTGCGGGGAGGACATGTAGGAGGTGTGCATCACAGGTAAAGGCAATTGCTCTATGGGCCTGTGGTTTGATGGGAAGAGACGCTAAATCATGGTTCATGATTCTTTCTCAAAATTGTAATGCAAAAAGCCCTCATTGAATCTGCATTTTATAACAAGTACAGTGCAAGTTTCGGGGGTATCAGGAAGAAGAAACATGCTCCTTTGTCTCCTGAAGCTCACAGGCTAGTGGACATGGCAGACATGTAGGAGAAGGGAGAAGAGGTCAGTCCACAGAGTACAGCTTTGGGTTTACCTCTGATGCTGGCCCTGACCCAGATCAACCAAACCTAATGGAAACAGAGAGCTGAGAAAGCGGGAGAGTTGAGCTCACTGATGCTCGGATTTTACAGATAAATCTGGAGGCGGTTTATCCCAGTGCTGACATCCAGGCACTGCGGGTGCCACAGAGAAACATGGAAGGGCCTTCTGGAGACCACCACACCCGGCATCCTTCCCCCTTTTAGAACTGGAGCGAGACAACCATGTGTGCTATCACTACTTCTTTCTTTACAGTGTCGGTCCAACACCATAATGGTCTGACAGTCCTGCAGCCTGGAAGCCCAGGATCACGGTGCCAGCAGGGTTGGTTTCTTCCAAGGCCTCTCTTCTGGGTGGTGGCTTCACGTGGCCTTTCCTCTGTGGACACGTGCCCTTGGTGCTTCCCACCACTTTTTCCAAGTTCACGCTGATCCCTTGAATCAGTTATCACTCCCCCACTTGTTTTCCAGCTTCTGTGATGTTTCTGACAGGAGCTCCTCTCACTCTCTGCTGTGAACTCTTCCCTTTTACATCTGCAATCCCTTTGCATTCCTTTCAGCGGTGTTTGGAGGAGAAGCAAGGGCTGAAGTTGTTCCCACTCATGTCTTTCGCCCCCCAGGTGCCCCTGATGTTTCAGCACCACGTGATGCCTGCAGGGAGATCCCTCTGTACTTCATAATATTATTTCTATTTTTTACACTTTTTTTTTTTTGAGATGGAGTTTCACTCTTCTCGCCCAGGCTGGAGTGCAGTGGTATGATCTCGGCTCAATGCGACCTCCACCTTCCAGTTTCAAGCAATTCTCCTGCCTCAGCCTCCCAGGTAGCTGGGATTACAGGTGCTCACCACCACGCCCAGCTAATTTTTGTATTTTTAGTAGAGATAGGGTTTCGTCATGTTGGCCAGGATGGTCTCTAACTCCTGACCTCAGGTGATCCGCTCACCTTGGCCTCCCGAGATGCTGGGATTACAGGCATGAGCCACCGCGCCTGGCCACACTTTTTTTTTTTTTAAATTTCCTTGTAGTACTGCTTGGGCTACATGGCTTAAGTTTTGTACATAGTTTTCATTGTTTGGTTCTAAATGCTTTTAGATTTTCATTCTAATTCTTCTTGGACCAGTGCATTATTTTTTTATTTTTTTAGTTTAAAAAATAATTTAATTTAGTTTTATAGAGATGGGGGGTTCTCACTATGTTGCCCAGGCTGGTCTTGAACTCCTGGACTCAAGGGATCCTCCTGCCTTGGCCTCCCGAAGCTCTGGGATTATAGGTGTGAGCCACCGTGCCTGGCCAGTAGTGTCTCTTTAAATTTCCAAACATAGGGGAGCCCTTAATTTTAGTTTGGTTGCCAATTTATGCCTTTATTCTGTTGCATCAAGAACATGGCTGGTGTGATGCAAGTTCTTTTGCTATTTTTTGAGTCTTGTTTTGCAGCCTAGGACATGGTGACTGTTAGTAAATGTCCAAGGTGAACTTGAAAACAATGTGTGGTCTGTAGTTTTTGGGTGTCCACTAAATCAAGTTTGTTCAACTTTTCCATATTCTTTTTTTTTATTTTTATTTTTTGACAGAGTCTCACTCTGTTGCCCAGGCTGGAGTGCAGGGGCATGATCTCAGCTCACTGAAACCTCAAGTTCAAGTGATTCTCCTGCCTTAGCCACCCAAGTAGCTGGGATTACAGGCATGAGCCACCACATCTGGCTCATTTTTGTATTTTTTATTTTAGTTTCAGCATGTTGGCCAAGTTGGTCTGAAACTCCCGACCTCAAGTAATCTGCCTGCCTTCGCCTCCCAAAGTGTTGGGATTACAAGAATGAAACACTATGCCTGGCCCAATTTTTCTATATTCTTCCTAATTGAGTCTGCTTAAACCAGCAGTTCCAGTGAGAAGTGGTATAATTTCCTGCATGGAGAATGTGCTCATTTATTACTTTTTCCTTTTCTTGACACTTTTTTGTTTTGTAGTCATTTGAGGCTCTATCATTATGCAGGTGCACAGAAGATCAGAATGGCTAATGCTTCTTTTTTTTTTTTCCTGTCGCCCAGGCTGGAGTGCAATGGCGTGATCTTGGCTCACTGCAACCTTCGCCTCCCAGCTTCAAGCAGTTCTGCCTCAGCCTCTCTAGTAGCTGGGACTACAGGCATGAGCCACCATGCCTGGCTAATTTTGTACTGCAGTGGAGATGGGGTTTCACCATGTTGTTCAGGCTGGTCTCAAATTCCTGACCTTAGGTGATCTGCCTGCCTTGGCCTCCCAAAATACTGGGATTATAGGCATGAGCCACCATGCCTGACCGCTAATACTTCTTTTAAAATAATTAAATTATTTATGTATTTATTCTTTTTCCCCCACCCCTCCCCTACCAGTGAACGCTTTGGAATGAATACTCATCAGTATGCTGCAACCACTTTTAATCCTAATAATGTTTTTGCCTTGGAGCCTACTTTGTGCACTATGAGCTTCTCTCCAATAGCTTCCTTTTGGATGGTCTTTGCCAGATGTGTCTCCTTCTATCTGTAGTAATTAGAGCCATTCCAGCTATGTGTCAAAAATAAACAAAAGGGGTTTATGATCAAGCATGGGCGACTTACACAATCATCAAAAGAAATGGAGGAACAATTCCCAGCCCTCGGAATCGGCCACCTCCTGGGATTAGGAATAAATCCTAATCTCAAAATACAGGTAAACAGTCTACCTCCTGTCCCCTAAATGAGATGCCAAGCATGCCCCTCCCCTCAGCCAGTATGTCTCCATCCAAACTTCAATGACCACTGGCCTCCCTGCTGACCCATGTCCCACTGAGGAGCCCCAAGCTCTAAACCAACTGCCTACGCACCATCCCCTCGGGCTGCACCTGCTCCCCAGGCCTTCCCCTCCTTTGGAGCTGCCTCTGTCCACCAAGGGTGCTGTCGCTCACCTAACCTTCCAACCAGAACTCAGTGGTACCTTGCTGCCCCCTCCACTCCCTGAAGAAGCTGCCCCCATGCCTGTCAAGTTCTTCCAACTGCTCGAACCTTCTGGACCTCCAGGCCTCAGCATGTCTTGTCTGGGTGACTGCAATGGCTATGCTTGCTTTTCTGTCTCTCTCCATCAATCAGTCAACCAATCAATCGATCAATCATCTATCAATCAGCTATCCACCTATTAATCTATGATCAATAATCTATTAATCTATATCATTTACTTCTATAATCATTGATCTAGCCCATGTATGTTCCTATCTACCCTTTATCATGTCTATCAATCTATCTATCATTTATGCCTCTATCATGTCTATCTTTCAATAATTTATCTATCACCAGGCACAGTAGCATGTGCCTGTAGTCCTAGTAATTCAGGAGGCTGAGGCAGGAGGACTGCTTGATG
This sequence comes from Homo sapiens, assembly GCF_000001405.40. Lineage (NCBI taxonomy): Eukaryota > Metazoa > Chordata > Mammalia > Primates > Hominidae > Homo > Homo sapiens. The sequence continues at coordinate 89,761,593 of NC_000002.12, forward strand.
CTAGCAGATCAAGTCCAGACTGGGCAAGATAGTGAGATCTCATCTCTAAAACAAATTTTTAAATCATCTATCATCTCTCTCTATTCATCTATGTATCCATGTATCTATCATGTATTTTATCTATCACTTAGCACCTCTGAATCATCCATCATCTATCGATCAATTATCTATATCATGTCTATATATCTATATATCTATGTATCAATTTATCCATCAATCATCTATCTGTCTGTTTTTGAGGCGATATTCACAAAATATACAATCAATCGCTTTAAAGTGCACAATTCAGTGGCATTTAGTATGCGCTATAGTTCCAGAATATTTTCTTCAAAATAAAAAGAAACCCGAGACTGGGTGTGGTGGCTCATGCCTGTAATCCAGCACTGTGGGAGGCTGAGGCAGGACGATCTCTTGAGCTCAGCAGTTTGAGACCAACCTGGGCAACATAGTGAGATCTTGTCTACAAAAAAAAAAAATCACAAAATTAGCAGGGTATGGTGGCACACGCCTGTGGTTCCAGCTACTCAGGAGGCTGGGGCAGGATTGCTTGAGCCCAGGAGATCAAGGCTGCTGTGAGTTATGACTGCACCACTGCACTCCAGCCTGTGTGACAGGGTGAGACCCTGTCTGTCTCATTAAAAAATAAAAAATAAATACAAAATTTTTTAAAAAGGACTGCCCCTGCCCCATTTTCCTTCCCCTGCCCCAGCCCCTGACACCCACTCATCTGCTTTCTGTCCCAATGAGCCTATTCTGGACATTTGTGTCTGGCTTGTTTCACCCAGCACAAACTCTTTGAGGTCTAGCCGTCGTGTTACGGTGGAATGGCACCGTGCTTTATGGCCAGGCTGTTTGTCCATGTGTCTGTTGTTGAACACTCAGGCTGTCCCACATTTTGGAGGCTATGTCCATCCATGCATAAAGGTATGGCCGCACAGCTGTTCTCAGTTCTCATGCCTCTGAGGCCAGATGGGCTGCTGCACCCTATTCCCAACAGCCACTCTCACATGCAGCCACGTGGCCTGCAGTACTCGACACTACTTTCCTGTTGATGAAAGCTCCTCGGTGGCCTCTGGGCTAAGTCCTGTCTCTGTAGTGTGGCCTCCAAGGCCCGCGGGCCGCAGCCCTCCTTTCCCCTGCCCTCCCTTCCCCTGTATGCAGCACGAACACCCTGCACTGTGCTCCCAGTTGCCCCCAGGCCCCTGCACAAGTGGCCTCCTCTCCCTAGAAGGGCCAGCAGCACCCTGTGTGGCAGCTTAGACATCCCTTCTCTTGCTTTCATGCTCCTCCCACAGGGACCAGCATGATCCCCTCCCCTAGTCCTATTTGGGCTCAGCCAGTATTTCTGTGCAATGTTGTTGCAGGTTCTGCCCCGCCACCATCACAGGAATCCTAAGAGTGTTGGCGTGAAGTTCTGTGGAGGGCGTATTGGACCATGTCTTCTGGTGACTCTCCCCCACGGAGGGGCTTGGGGGTTCAGGCTCACTCCTTTCCCAAACTCACTCTTTCCCCCACAGGCAACCCACTCTCTCTCCTCCATCTCTCCCCAAGACCTGCAGCAGACACCACCAGACTCTGGGGCAGGGAGGAAGGACTGCATTTGCCAATGGAGGCTTTTACTGGGGGGGCTCAGGATGGCGCCTGGCCTGAGGGCTGAGGACCCGGGAAAGGCACACGGTGGCGGTGGGGTCTCTCTCGGGCAGGTGTTGGCTCCGCAGACAGCTCCCCCTGGTGACCACTCTTTGGCACTGAGCTGGGAACATGGTGTCCGCACTCACGGCTAGCAAGCAGAGGCCCGCCCGTGTGGCCAGGTGGCGGCTGTCAGTGTAGGCTGGCTGGGTGACGGCCACAAGGGCTGGGTTTGGCACCGGTGGGAGCCGGGGCCCAAGGGGACTCAGAGGCTGGGCCGCCCCCGCTGCTGGCAGGGTAGTCACATTGGCCACGGAGATGGCTACGAATAGGTAATCCAATAAATTAGGCTGCAGAAAGACGAGGTGAGGGGCCGAGGGGGCGGGGCCTACATTCTTGCTCCGCAGGCAGTGCTGTGCGTCCCTCTCCCGTGGGATCTTTGGGGTTCTTGTGGGGGAGAGGATGCAGGTGAGGCGCTCTGTGTGACTGTGGGTACCACCGGGCGGCTTTTATGGCATCGCATGGGATGGGAGCCTTGGCTGGCCACCCTCAGGGAATGGACCGTGGGGTCTTTGAGAGACTGACAAGGAGGGAGGCCACCTGCAGCGCCAGGGGCTGTGGCCTGAGGGGCTCCTGGGGCTCGGCTGCACTGCTGTGTGGCCAGCACTGGGCCCCTTGTACCCCAGCTCCCTCCACGGAGCAAAGTAGAGGACTCACTGCCCTGGACAGGGCCCAGTCACTGTGGAACAGACCCCCCAGGGAGTGGGAGGGATAGGGCGAGGGTCATGCAGGGCACCACCCTCCACATCTACTTTCCCGAGGTCGGGAAGGGCCTTCTAGGAGGAGGTGCCAGGCATGCAGGGGTGGGGTGGGTGTGCGGGTGGGTGCTGCTGTCTCCTTCATGTGATTCAAGCTTGGGGGCGGGGCAGGAGCTGGAGAGGGTGGCGTCAGGTGGAGGTACCCTGGAGGCCACCAGGGCCTTGCAGGCTAGGTGCCAGCACATGCGCTGGGGCCACGGCACCACCCAGGATTTGGCAGAGCTCCTGGAGGTGCCGCTGTATTTTGGGTATGCCCACCAGCTGCTGCTCCAGCTGCTGCTTCTCCTCTGTTAGGCTCAGGTGGGCAGCTGAGTCCAGCTTCTCGAACTTCCAGTCGCCCTCCCCATCGAACTGTAGCAAGTGTGTGTGGTACTCCCTGGCCAGGAGAGGGACAGGATCAGGGGCTCGGCACAAGGGCTGCTGATGACAGCCGCCTGCTGCTGCCGCCTGGCCCAACAGGCCACCTCCTCCCCTCAGGCAGCCACTCCCACTGACCCCAGGCAGGGAGACAGGGCACCTACCACAGGGAGGGCTGGTGGGTGATGGAGAGCAGGGCAATGCCTGCGTCCTTGGCCGCCTGGAAGATCTTGACTTCCACATCGATGCTCATGACACTGGTGCATTCATCCAGGAGGGCGTACTTGGGTCTGGGGGTCCGGACCGAGAGGAGAGGCTGTGCACCCTCCAGGGCCCAACACCCCAGTCCGGCTAAGGCTCCACTGAGCCCAGGCCTCCCCACAGCTGCTACTTCTCCTTCCAGGGGACCCCAGGGAGCCTGCTGGCCTGGAGTGCTCACCTGTGGTAGAACATGCGGGCCATGCCGATTCTCTGCTTCTCGTCACCCGGCAGGACGTCCTTCCAGTCACACATAGCCTCCCAACCTAGGCAGGGGCAATGGTCTTGGCTCAGTTCCACCAGTACCCAGACCTGGGGGCCAGCCTGGGACCTGGGGGAGCTGTGGAAATGAGCTAGCTATGATGACAGGGCCCCTGTGCCTCTGCGTACTTGTCTGTCTGACAGCCGTTAATCACGGAGGAGTGGGGACTGGAATCGTGCCTTCCCCCAGAAGAGATATGGTGGAGTCCAAGCCCCAACACTTCAGTGTGACCTTATTTGGAGACAGGGCCTTAGCAGAGGTGATCACACTAAGATGAGGTCATCAGAGCGGACCCTAATTCAATATGACTGTGTCCTCATTAAAAGGGGGTGTGCGGGCAGAGGACATGCACAGAGGAACACGAGGTGAATATATACAGGGAGAAGTGGACGATCTGTGTGCTGAGGACAAAGGCCTGGAACACATCCTTCTGTCATGGCACCTGGAAGGAACCCACCCTGCTGGTACCAGGATCTCGGACTGCTGGATCCAGGAGATGATCCACCCCTGCAGTTTATGGCAGCCCTAGGACACCCATAGAGTTCCTTGGCACAGAGCTCCAGAGTGGCCTGAGTTCTCTCCCCAGACCAGGGGCTTGTCACCCACAGGGGTTGGGCCTCCTGTTACTGCCCCATGCCAGCACTTTGGCAAGGCTAGAGTGGGCTGCTTGAAGGAGCAGGTGAGCCCGCTTCTCCATTAGGCCGGGGCCCTGTGGCAGAAGTGGCCCCTCCTGTCTTCTCGCCCATGCTGCCTTCCCCAGCGGCCCAGGGCTAGAAGTGGCCACAGGATATATGGCCACCCAGAGTAGAGATTACACTTCCCATGTGGCCTTGTGGTGAGGTGTGAGCATGAGACTAAGTTGTGGCCAATGAGATATAACTAAGTATTCAATATGGCGGCTTCTGGGAACTTCCTTAAAAGATAGAAGGCACAAACCTTTTGCCCCTTCCCTTCTACTTCCTCCATCCTACAGCCTGAGACATGATGTGAGGGTGGCAGCAGCCCTCCTGGATCATGAGGTGACTTTGGGAATGGAGGCCACACACAGCAGAGTGACATGGTAGAAAATCCTAGAGCCTTGGGGCCTTCACAGAGCAGGGCCAGCCCTGGCAACTGTGGCCTGGCTCTCTTGGGACCTAACAGCTCAGTAGGATAAACTCACAGATGATCTTAGCCACTACTGCGGGGAGGCCGGTTCTGTTCCTTGCAGCTCAACTCCATCCTAACGGCTCATGCTGGCCGGCCACAGACCCTGGGCATTCAGGCTGCCACAGAGGCGGGAGGGGCCATGTGCTCCCAGGCCGAGGGCAGCCGGAGCAAGAGGCAGGGCCGGGCCAGGGGCTGCTCCACCACCATTGCCACCTGTGTTCCCGCTTCCTCCACAGGCAGGTGACAACACCCTGGTCATTTCCTGCAGGAGCCACTTCTTCTCATGTTGCCACCGAGGGAGGGCTTGGTGCCAGTGCCCTTGAACCATGAAGGGGAGTCCCAGCAAGGCGAGGTCCTTGCCCAGGGCCAACTCGCACCCAGCAGTGGGGGCTGGAAGCAGAACACAGAGTCTCAGAATTCAAAGACATAACTGAATGCTCCCTCTACTGTTTCCCTGTAGCTGCACCCCGCTCTCCTCCTCCGCTCTCCCGGCCCGACAGACACTGTGGACAAGCAGTATTCCTTGATAAGCCCAGGACAAAAAAACAGCTCAGTCTGGCCTCTTTTTCAGTGAATTCATCTCTGAATCCACCAGACTCTGCTGGCCCCACCCCCCTCCAAGCATCTGCACAGACCTCCTGACAGTAGCCATCACTGAACACATGTGCCTGCCCCTCCCAGGCTGCCCCTGCCCACCACCCCATGGTCCTTCCAAGAGCGTCTGATCCCACTCAGGGAAAGCCTAAGCTCCCGCTTGGTCCGGAGGGCCCTCTGTGAGCCAGGTTCTCACACCACCAAGCCTGCGGGCCGCACTCTGCCCTGCTGCCCCTGGCTCCTGGATGGGGTAACAACTCAGCATTCTGCAGGGCTCAGCTCAGACCCCTTTTCTCTGGGAGAGGGTATCCTGGGTCCCCCAATGAGGTGCGCATCCCTGCTAGGTGCCCCCTTCCCTAGAGCACCCATGCCACCTGGGGCCATCTGTGTGGTGTTGGTCCTCCCTGGTAGGCGGGCCTCAGAGGTAGCACCCTCTGCCCTGCACCTGTGGCACCTGGCACTTTAGACTCCTGGATGTTGAGATAATCTTCACTCCCTGGAGGCGAAGGGAGAGGCCAGGGTGGGACAAAGGGCGGCTGCCAGCCCCAGGCCTCCTACCTCCCTCCCGCTGCAGGATGTGGTGCAGGTGCTCGATGTCCAGGATGGCTTCCAGGTCCTGCTCCGAGTAGCCCTTCCTTCACATGTCCTCCACTGAATCCGGGTAGATCACCTGGTCATGCAGGGAACCCATAGACAGGTAGGGCCTGTGGGAAAGCTGGGTGTCCACAGAGGGAAGGGCTGGCCCTGCCTCCCCCAAGATAATCTGCACCTCCCAAGCAGTGTAGATTCTGTCTGCTGTAGACAAAATAATGGCACCCCAAAAATGTTCGTGTCCTAATTCCCAGAGTCTAACATACAAATAGGTTAGGTGGCATGGCAGTAGGAAATTAGATTTTGAGTGAAATTAAGGTTGCAAAGGCGGCGGGGGACAAAAAGCCGCAGCAGCAAAAATCCGCGGCGGCGGGGGCAAAAAGCAGCGGCGGACAAAAAGCCGTGGCAGCGGGTGGGGGGGGGGCAAAAAGCTGTGGCGGGTAAAAAGTCGCGGTGGCAGGGGGCAAAAAGCCGCAGCGGCAGGGGGCAAAAAGCCGTGGTGGCGGCGGGGGCGCAAAAAGCCGTGGCGGCGGGGGGACAAAAACCCAGGGTGGGCAAAAAGCCGTGGCAGCAAAATTCGCAGCGGCGGGGGGTCAAAAAGCCGCGGCGGACAAAAACCCGCTGCGCCGGGGGTGCACAAAGCCGCGGCGGGCAAAAAGCCTAGGCTGGGTGGAGGGAAAAAGCCTCGGCGGCGGGGGGTGCAAAAAGCCGCGGCGGCGGAGGCAAAATGCCGCGGCGGCGGGGGGCGAAAAGCCGCAGTGGGTAAAAAGCCGCGGCGGCGGGGGAGGGGAACAAAAAGCCACGGAGGCCGGGGGGCAAAAAGCCAGGGCGGGCAAAAAGCCAGGGCGGCGGAGGGCAAAATAGTGGAGATGGGGTAGAATGCCAGCATAGCCTGGCATTGCTGGAGTGTGATGTGATAGGAAATGTGCAGCCAAAGACAAAAAAAGATGTAAGTAGGCTTGACTCATTGCAGCTAAGAACCCAGATGTTATCTTGAGGGATTAACTAATAAGCAGTTCAAATCAGAATGGCACATTCTGATTTGTTTTTTGTATGTTCACATTTGGCAGGCATAGATACTGTTTGAAAAGAGAAAAGTCAGTAGATACAGGTAACAAACTTAAATATGTGCCAAGTCTAGAAACAAGAGACGAGGGGGATAAGGACCTTTCGAAATAAAATGCAAGATTTGAAAACTGATTGGCTGGGGGATGAGGAAAAGGCAGGTCTTTAAGGTCAATCCCTGTTTTGCTTTAAGTTCTTAGGGGGTGGTTTTATCACATATTGTAGAATACGTCATTTCAGTTTTGAACATCTTGAGTTAAATTGTCCTAACATATCTTATGAATTTGATTTTCTTCCCTGGGAAGCTAATATTTCAAAAACTTAAAGAGTATAGATTTCCAACTGGTATCGAATTTATAAAACTACCTCTAGGCTGCTGATTTCAGGAGGAGGCTCATGAATATTCTCTTTGCAGAGAATATATCAGGAGTTAACAACAGCTTCAATATTTGTGGATGACCAGTTAACTAAGCCACCTCTTAGTGTATTTAGATGGGAAATCTTAGCTGAGATATTCAATAATGAACCAACAGTGACTAAAAAATTCAATATTTAAGTATATTTCATTGTAATTAATTTGAATTGAAGTAGCCATATATAGCTAGTATTTACTACATTGAACAATGCAAATAAGAGGAAAAAATAACCATCTCTAATACCACATGCCAAAATCCTCATCAATTTATCCTAGCTAAAGGAGTTGATCAGAAGCAGCAGTTGAAAGCACCAACTAAAACAGCTGGGGTTAGTTCACTGTCATTCTCTCAGAACCATCTCTTCTCTGAACAAAACAAGTACAAGAGTTCATTGTGAATCTGCATTCTCCTTGCCTATTTTAAGGTTTTGATGTTGACACTAATTTGTGAAATCCCTCCTGTGGTGTGATATTTCGTTTTCCTTGCTTTCTGTTAGGACAAGAATGCTTCAGCTCTTAATTTAAAATTATGTTTCTCCCTCCTAGGTTGAGTGAACTTAGAATGCATTCTCCGACATATCCAAGTTTTTGTTCATATGAATTTCAGGAAAAAAGCATACTTAATTAGCTAAGACTTCTTATTCTAGGCTTGACCCTGTGTTCAACATCTTTTGAACTTCTAGCTGCATGGGCTGCTCTCTGACACTGGTTAGTGACCTGGAAGCTGTATTAACATTAGGGGAGGTGGTGTATGATCATTAGAGGTATCCTTGCAAGGAAAGACTTGTCTTATCTCAATACGTCTTTTTTTTGCACACAAGAAAGTCAGTGTTTGAGTCTTCTAAAATCTTCCTATTTCCAAGTTGCAGAGTACCATTGATTCCTAAACAAAGACCTAATTTTTGACTCAGAGACGTGGCAAGGTAGTGAATCACCATTATAATTTAACAATCTTCAAGATAAAATTATCTCTGATATTTAGATTTTGCCCAATTATTAAGATATTTGGGTGTTTCGTTAAGAATGGAAGACTCTAGTCTCTTGAGCAGAGACTATAAAGGCCTCAGATGATCATTTTTAATTTTATGCTCTTTTCTTTAACACCTTCAACACAATTGGAAGCAGCCGATATTCCCCAGAGTTGTTGTGTTTTTTAAACCAAATGCATGGTTCAGTGGTAGAAAACTGGGCTGATCAAAGCTGTTTTCAGTAAACATTTCAGGTGATCTATTTCATATTAAATAATCTCTAGATCCTGTCTTCGAAACTAACTAGATCAGATAACCTACCCTGGATTTTCTCCTTTCAGGGTCTGTGAGCTGCAGTCACTTTTGTGACTAATTTAAGCATAGTGGTATTTCATATGAGAATTTAAGTTACACACATTTGAAAATTATAATGGAGTCTCTTGGCTGAGCTTTAAAAAAATAGCATTTAGGCTAAAAAGGGAACTGCTACCTCTCCTAAAATCAAAAAGATGTTACAGTAATTATCCATTCTCTAGAATTATCAGGAAGCACCTTTGTGATGATTTACTTTTGCTCTTGGGAGTGTGAGCCCGTGTAGTCATGGAACCATCAATTAGAATGGTGGCTTTCTGATCCCAAAGTCATTTGTTCTGAAAACAATATTTTTCATAAATTTCAAAGTGAGAAGTTTTGATCTTGCCATTCCCAAGTAACTCTCTTAATAAGAGGCATCATCATGCTTCAGTGACAGTTGTCACCTTCCAGTGCTGAGAGTCATCTTTGAGTTCTCCATTTCACTCCCTACACTCCAATTTAGCTGCAGTTCTCTTGGCCAGTCCTATGAAATACTCCATGGCCTAACGACTTCTCACCACTACTACCACTCATCCTGACAGCATTCTCACCTAAGTCACTACCTTTTTTCTCTGGATTAGAGTAGCCTCCCAATTTATTTGCTCACATAACCTATTGATTCTACACGGTGCACCAGATACACCCCTTTGAAATGCAAACCCAATCATGTTATTGTTTGGTGAAATTATCTCATATATTCCTATCGCATTTAAAATTACTTCAGAATAATCCCATGATTATCAAAACCCTACATGCTCTTCCACAACATGATTTACTTCCAAGATATCTCTTCAACTTTTTTTTCACTGTACTGAATTGGTGACTAATAGTCATATTTTTGTTTTTGCTCAAAAAGTCTTGACTTGTAAATTTTTCAGTTTCTCCTTTATCCACAGGTAACTCTTTCCTCATAAGGTGAATTGCTTGCTTCCTTGAGTTCTGCTCTCAAAGATACCCTTCATTTTCTACCTAATATTAATAACTTTAATCATTCATTATTTCATTACTATGCTCTATAGTGTATACAATTTCTGTTCTTTGTCATGTTATTAACTAAATTATTTATTTGTTCCAGTAACGTATTCCATAAATATTGTACACATAAAAATTATGTTATTTTTATTGCTGTATGCTCAGCTGCCCAATAACAGTCTGAGGATTAACATATTTGTTAAATGCACAAATACATTCTGTCACAAATATCAGTTTAATAATTTTATATTAAACTCCCTATATACTTACTATATGAATTAGATAATTCAGAATAAACATTCCATTGGAAAAAACTAAAAAATTTGTTATAAAACATCCTTAAAAGCATCAGAAAGTTAATACAGCAATGAAGAATTAAAGGACCAAATTAAGAATGGTATGGAAGCCTGTTTGTGAGGCTTATGTTTGGGTTATCTCTTTACTTAGAGTGACTATAAATCTCAAGAGAGAACTAAAGGGAGAAATAAGCATATCAACTCACATGGTAAGGGTATTTAAACATCTCTTAGTAATTGAGATAATTGAAAGAAAAGAAAAAAGAGAAAGGGAGAAAGAAAAACAGAGTGAAAGGGATAATGAAGGAGAGACAGAAGAAGAGAAAGGAAGAAGAAGAAAAGTAAAAAGGAGGAGGAGGGAGAGGGAGGAAGGAAGAAAGGTGAAAAGAAAGAATGCTAAAATTTTCAACAACATAATTTATCCTTCTAGAATGCGAATGTTGGCCTATTTAATGATGTCCCACAGGTTCCTTAGTCTCTGCTCATTTTTTATCTGTTTCTCAGAATCAATATTTTCCATTTTCTTATCTTCAAGCCCATGACTTCTTCTGTGTGTGCAAATATACTCTTAAATCCCTCTGGTGATTTTTAAATTTTTATCATTGTAGTTTTCCACTCCAGAATTTCTGCTATCTCTGTTGATATTCCTACTTTTTAATATTTTTTCTGATTCCTTGATTTCTTTGTTTATGTTTTCCTTTTGACATTTGAGTATAATTAAGAGAGTTGTTTTAAAGTCTTTGTCTAGTAAGTTTGATGTCTGGGTTCCCTTAGAGATATTCTCTGTCCGTTTATTTTGTTCCTTTGAATGAGCCATACTTTCCCGTTCTTTGTAAGCCTTGTAACTTGTAACTTTTTTTGAAAGCTGGACATTCTAATAATTATAATTACTATGTGGTTACTCTGTAAATCAGACCCCCCCTACAAACACAGTAATGTTTTGTGGTTTAAAATTTTCTTTACTTATTATATTGTTAAGGATTTTTTTTTTTAGTGAAATTTTCCAAAGTGATTTACAAAACTGTTTGCTTTATAAGGTGTGGTCACCAAAGTCTTTTTGTTTCCTTAACAAATGTTAAGCTAATGTTTTGACAGTGATTTTCTTGTATGTCAGGAACTAATTTTATGATTCCATTCGATTCCATTCAATGATTCCATTCAATTCCATTCGATAATTATTCCATTTGATTCCATTCGATGATTCCATTTTATTCCATGTAATGATGATTCCATTCGATTCCTTTCCATGATTCAATTCGATTCCATTCGACGATGATTCCATTCGATTCCATTCGATGATTCCATTCGATTCCATTTGATGATTCCATTCGATTCCATGTTATAATTACTCCATTCGATTCCTTTCGATGATTCTGTTCGATTCCATTTGATGATGATTCCATTCGATTCCATTCAATGATGACTGCATTCCTTTCCATTCGAGAATTCTTTTTGATATGATTCAATGACAATTCCATTCGATGATTCCATTTGATTCCATTCTATGATGATGCCATTTGATTACATTTGATTTATTCCATTTGATTCCATTCGATGATTCCTTTCAATACCATTTGATGTTGATTCCATTCGATTCCATGTGATGATGACTCCGTACAATTCCATGCGATGATGTTTCCATTCGATTGCATTCGATGATTCCATTTGATTTCATTTGATGATGATTCCATTCGATTGCATAGGATGTCTCCATTCATATCCATTTGATGATGATTCCAGTCGATTCCATTCGATGATGATAGCATTCGATTCCATTCGATGATGAGTACATTCGATTCCATTGGAAGATGACAGCATTCGATTCCATTCGATGATTCCATTTGTTTCCATTCAGTGATTTCATTCGATTCCATTTGATGATTCCAGTTGATTCCATTTGATGATTCCATTCACTTCCATTCAATGATGAATATATGTGATTCCATTCGATCATTCCATTTGTTTCCATGCAATGATGATTCCATTCGATTCTATTCAATGATTCCATTTGAATCAATTCGATGATGATTCCATTCGATTCCATTCGATGACTCCATTTGATTCCATTTGAGGATTTCATTCCATTGCATTTGATGTTTATTCCATTCGATTCTTTTAGATGATTCCATTCAATTCCATTCGATGATGATTCCATTCGATGATGATTGCATTTGATTCCATTCAATGATTTTTTTCTATTTCATTTGATGATGATTCCAGTCAATGATTCCATTTGACTACATTTGATGATGATTCCATTCAGTTCCATTTGATTTATTCCATTCGATTCCATTCAATGATTCCTTTCAATACCATTTGATGATGATTCCATTCAATTCCATATGATGATGATTCCATTCGATTCCATTCGATTATTCCATTCGATTCCATGCGATGATGATTCTACTCAATTCCATTCGATGATTCCATTCGATTATGATTGCATTAATTCCATTTGATGATTCTCTTCGAATCCATTCGATGACGATTCCATTCGATTCCATTAGATGATGATTCCATTGGATTCCATTGGATGATTCATGTTGATTGCATTCGATGATGATTCATTCAATTCCGTTCAATGAATCCATTCGATTAACTTGAGGATTCCATTCAATTCCTTTCGATGAGTATTCCAATCGATTTCACTCAATGATTCCATTTGATTCCATTCAATGATGATTCCATTCTATTCCATTCAATAATACCTTTTGATTCCATTCCATGGTGATTCCATTCGATTCCATTCAATGATTCCATTCGATTCCATTGGAAGTTGATTTCATTCAATTCCATTCGATGATGATTCCACTTGATTCCTTTTGATAACTCCATTCAATTCCATTCAATGATGATTCCATTTGATTCCATATGATGATTTCATTTGATTGCATTCTATGATTCCATTTGATTCCATTCGATGATTGTATTCAATTCCATGGGATGATTCCATTCTATGATGACACCATTTGATTCCATTTGATGATACCATTCTATTCCATTTGATAATTGCGTTCGATGATTATTGCATTTGATTCCATATGATGATTCCATTTACTTCCATGTGATGAAGTTTCCATTCGATTCCATTGCATGAATCCATTCGATTCCATTCGATGATGACCCCATTCGATTCCTTTCGATGATTCCATTCGACTCCATTTGAGGATTTCATTTGATTCCATTGGATGTTTATTCCATTTGATTGCATTCAATGATGATTGCATTAATTCCATTTGATGATTCCATTCCATTCCATTTGATGATTCCATTTGATTCCATTCGATGATTCATATTGATCCATTTGATAATGATTCCATTCGATTCCATTTGATGAATCCATTCGATTAAATTCGAGGATACCATTTGATTCCATTCGATGATTTTTTTGATTCCATTCGATGATGATTCCATTCGATTCCATTCGATGATGATTCCATTCGATTCCATTGGATGATTCCATTTGATTCCATGCGATGATGCTTCCATTCCATTCCATTCCATTCCATGATTCGTTTCGATTCCATTCGATGATGATTCCTTTAGATTCCATTCAATGATTCCAATCAATTCCATTCCAGAATTTCATTCGATTCCATTCGATGATTATTCCATTCGATTCCTTTCAATGATCCATTCGCTTCCACTCGATGATGACTCCATTCGATTCCATTTGATGATGATTGCATTCCATTCCATTCGATGATTCTTTTTGATTTCATTCAATGGTGATTCCATTCCATGATTCCATTTGATTCCATTCGATGATGATTCCATTCGATTCCATGTGATGATGATTCCATTCGATTCCTTTCCATGATTCCTTTCGATTCCATTCTAGGATTTCATTCGATTCCATTTGATGATTATTCCATTCGATTCCTTTCAAAGTTTCCGTTCGATTCCTCTCGATGATGATTCCATTTGATTCCATTCTATGATGATTGCATTTCATTCCATTCGATGACTCTTTTTGATTTCATTCAATGATGATTCCATTCAATTCCATTCGAATATGAGTCCATTTGATTCCATTCGAATATGATTCCATTCGATTCAGTTTGATTTATTCCTTTTGATTCCATTCTATGTTTCCTTTTGATACCATTCAATGATGATTCCATTCGATTCCATGTGATGAATGATTCCATAAGATTCCATGCAATGATGATTCCATTAGTGTCCATTAGATGATTCCATTCGATTGCATGTGATGATGACTGAATTAGATTCCATTGGATGACTCCATTTGATTCCATTTGATGATTCCATTTGATGATTCCATTCGATTCCATTCAGTGATTCCATTCGATTCCATTTGATGATTCCATTCGATTCCATTAGATGATTCCATTCGATGAAGACACCATTTGATTCCATTCGATGATTCCATATGATTCCATTCAATGATTCCATTTGATGATTATTAAATTCGATTCCAGTGGTTGATTCCGTTCTAATCCATTCGATGATGATTCCATTCAATTCCATTCGTTGATTCCATTCGGTTCCATTAGATGATGATTCCATTTGATTCCTTTTGATGATTCCATTTGATTCTAATCGATGATTCCATTCGATTCCATTCGATGATGATTCCATTCAATTCCATTTGATGATTCCACTCCATTCCATTCGATGATGGTTCCATTTCATTCCACTCAATGATCCTGTTTGATTCCATTCTATAATTCCGTTCGATTCCATTCGAGGATTCCATTCGATTCCATTGGATGATTATTCCATTTGATTCCCTTCGATGATTCCATTCGATTCCATTCGATGTTGATTCCATTAGATTCCATTGGATGACTCAATTTGATTCCATTCGATGATGATTCCATTCGATGATTTCATTCCATTCCATTCACTGATTCCATTTGATTCCATTCAATGATTCCATTCGATTCCATTGGTTGGTTCCATTAGATTCCATTCGAGGATTCCATTTTATTCCATTCAATGACTATTCCATTCGATTCCTTTCGAGGATTCCATTCAATTTCATTTGATGATGATTCCTTTTGATTAAATTCGATTATGATAGCAATTGTCTTCATTCGTTGATTCTTTTCAATTTCATTCGTTGATGATTCCACTTGATGATTCAATTCGATTCCATTCGTTGATGATTCCATTTGATTCCATTTGATTTATTCCATTCAATTCCATTTGACATTTCCTTTCGATACCATTCCATGATGATTCCATTCGATTCCATGTGATGATGATTCCATTTGATTCCATGTGATAATGATTCCATTCGATACCATTCAATGATTGCATTCGATTCCATTTTATGATGATTCCATTTGATTCCATCGGATTACTGCATTTGATTTCATTGGATGATGATTCCTTTCGATTCCATTTGATGATTCCATTCAATTCCATTTTCTGATTCCGTTCGTTTTCATGGGATGATTCCAGTCGATGATGACACCATTTGATTCCATTTGAGGATTCCACTCGATTCCATTCAATGTTTCCAATCAATGATTTTTCCATTCGATTCCATTGGATGATTCCATTTGATTCCATTCAATGATGATTCCATTCAATTTCTTTCGATGATTTCATTCAATTCCATTCGATGATTCCTTTTGATTCCATTCAATGATGATTTCAGTTGATTCCATTCGCTGATGATTCCATTCAATTCCATTCTTTGAGTCCATTTGATTCCATTCGATGATGATTCCATTTTATTCCATTCGATGATTGCTTTCCATTCCATTCGAGGTTTTCATTTGATTCCATTTGATGATTATTCCATTAGATTCCTTTTGATGATTCCATTCGATTCCATTCAATGATGATTCCATTCAATTCCATTCGATGATTCCATTCGATTCCATTCAACTACGGTTCCATTCGATTCCATTCGATGATGATTCCATTCGATTCAATGTGATGATTCCATTCGATTCCATTCTATTATTCCATTTCATTAAATGCGATGTTGAATCTACTCAATTCCATTCGATGATTCCAATCGATTGCATTCGATGATGATTGCATTAATTCCATTTGATGATTCTTTTTGATTCCATTTGATGATGATTCCATTCAATTCCATTCGATGACTCCATTCGATTCCATTCGATGATGATTCCATTGGGTTCCATTCGATGATTCATGTCTATTGCATTCGACGATGATTCATTCGATTCCATTCGATGATTCCATTCGATTAAATTGGAGGATTCCATTTAATTCCATTCGATGAGGATTCCATTCGATTCCATTCAATGATTCCATTCGATTCCATTCAATAATTCCTTTTGATTCCATTCCATGATTATTCCATTTGACTCCATTTGATGATTCCATTCGATTCCATTGGAAGTTGATTTCAGTCAAATCCATTCGTTGATGATTCCTTTGGATTCCAATCGATGATTATTCCATTTGATTCCATTCGATGATGATTACATTCGATTACATTAGATGATAATTTTTTATTTCATTCGATAATGATTCCATTCGATGTTCCCATTCAATTCCTTGTGATGATGATTCCATTCGATTCCATTTGATTTATTCCTTTCGATTCCATTCAATGTTTCCTTTTGATACCATTTGATGATTATTCCATCTGATTCCATGTGATGATGATTCCATTCGATTCCATGCGATGATGATTCCATTCAATTCCATGTGATGATGATTCCATTCGATTCCATTCCATGATTGCATTCGATTGTATTCAATGTTGATTCCATTCAATTCCATCGGATGACTCCATTCGATTCCATTTGATGATGATTCCATTCGATTCCATTCAATGATTCCATTCGATTCCATTTGATGAATCCATTCAATTAAGTTGGATGATTCCATTAGATGTGACACTATTCGATTCCATTTGGTGATTCCATTCGATTGTATTCCATGATTCCATTCCAAGATTATTCCATTCGATTGCTTTGGGTGATTCCATTCAATTCCATTCGAAGATGATTACTTTCGATTCCATTTGATTATTCCATTCAATTGCATTCGATTATGATTCCATTCGATTTCATTCGATGATTCCATTCCATTACATTCAATGATGATTCCATTCGATGATGAATCCATTCGATGATGATTCCTTTCAATTCCATTCGATGATGATTCCTTTCAATTCCATTGCATGATTCCACTCAATTCCATTCGATGATGATTCCATTTGATTCCATTTGATGATTCCATTCGATTCCATTTGATGATGATTCCATCTGATTCCACTGGATGACTCCATTCAATTCCATTCAAAGATGATTCCATTTGATTCCATTCGATGATACCATTTGATTGCATTCTATGATTCCATTCAGTTCCGTTTGATGATTCCATTAAGTTTCATGGAATAATTCCATTTGAAGATGACACCATTTGATTCCATTCAATGATTCCATTCTATTCCATTCGATGATTGCATTTGATCATTATTCCATTCGATTCCATACAATGATTCCATTGGCTTACATGTGATGATATTTCCATTCAATTCCATTGCATGAATCCACTTGATTCCATTCGATGATGATTCCATTTGATTCCTTTCAATGATACCATTCCATTCCATTCTAGGATTTCATTCGATTCCATTGGATGTTTATTCCATTCAATTCGTTCCAATGATTCCATTTGATTCCATTCAATGATGATTCCATTCGATTCCATTCGATGATTTTTTTATTTCATTTGATGATGAATCCATTCGATTCCATTCAATGATGATTCCATTCGGTTCCATTCGATTTATTACATTCGATTCCATTTGATTATTCGTTTCAAAACCATTCGATGATGATTCCATTTGATTCCATGTGATGATGATTCCTTTTGATTCCATTCGATTATTCCATTCGATTCCATGCGATGACGATTCTACTCAATTCCATTCGATTATCCTATCTGATTGCATTTGATGATGATTGCATTAATTCCATTTGATGATTCCATTCCATTCCATTCGGTAATGATTCCATTTGATTCCATTTGATGATTCATATTGATTCCACTTGATGATGATTCCATTCTATACCATTTGCTGAATCCATTCAATTAAATTCGAGGATTCCATTCGATTCCTTTTGATGATTATTCCATTCAATTCCATACTATTATGATTCCATTTGATTCCATTCAATGATGATTCCATTTGATTCCATTCGATGATGATACTATTCGAGTCCATTCGATTCCATCCCATGATGATTCCATTCGAGTCTATTCAATGTTTCCATTCGATTCCATTCAATAATGATTCCATTCAATAATGATTCCGTTAGAGTCGATTCGATTATTCCAATCGAGCCCATTCGATGATTGCATTCGGTTCCATTTGATGATGTTTCCTTTGGATTCCATTCATTGATGATTGCATTCGATTCCCTTCTATGATGATTCCATTTGATTCCATTCGCTGATGATTCCATTCAATTCCATTTGATGATGATTCCATTCGATTCCTTTGGATGATAATTCCGTTTGATTTCATTCGATGACTCTATTCAAAGCTATTAGATGATAATTCCATTCTATTCCATTTCATGATCCCATTCGATTCCATTTGAGGATGACTCCAATCGATTCCATTCGATGATGATTCCATTCGATTACATTCAGTGATTATTTCATTTGTGTCCATTCAATTATTCCATTCAATTCCTTTCGATTATGTTTCCATTCGTGTCCATTAGATGATTCCATTCAATTCCATTCGATGATGATTCTTTTCAATGCCATTCGATGTTTCCATTCGTGTCCATGTGATGATTCCTTTCGATTCCATTTGTTGATGATTCCTTTCAATGCCACTCGATGATTCCATTCGATTTCAATCAATGATGATTCAATAGGTTTCCATTCAATTATTCCATTCGATTCCCTTTGATGATGATTCCATTCGATTCCATTTGCTGCTTCCATTTGATTCCATTCGATGACGATTTCATTCGAGTCCATTCGATGATTCCATTCGAGTCCATTCAATGATGATTCCATTCTATTCCATCGATGATTCTATTCTATTACATTCAATGATTGCATTTGCAACCATTCGATGATTCCATTCGAGTCCATTCCGTGATTCCATTCGATTCCATTCAATGATTCACTTCAATTCATTTTGATGATGATGATTCCATTTGATTCCATTAGATGATTCCAACAGATTCTTTCCCATGATGATTCCATTCAATTCTATTCGAAGATAATTCCATTTGATTCCCTTTGATGACGATTCCAATCGATTCCATTCGATGACAATTCCGTTCGAGTCCATTCAATGATTCCATTCAATTCCAATCAATGATTCCATTCGATTCCATTCGATGAGGAGTCCATTCGATTCAATTCCATGATGATTCCATTCGTTTCAATTTGATATTTCCCTTTGAGTTTATTCGATGATTCCATTAGATTCCATTCAACGTGGATTCCATTCTTGTCCATTTCATGATTCCATTTGATTCCACTTGAGGATTCCATTCGAGTCCATTCAATGATTCCATTCGATTGCATTCCATGATGATCCCATTCGATGCCATTCGTTGATGATTCCATTCGAATCCATTCGATGCCATTCGATGATTATTCCATTCAAATCCATTCGGTGTTGACTCCAGTAGTTTCCATTTGATGATGATTCCAATCGATTCCATTGGATAATTATTCCATTATATTCCATTATATTCCATTCGATGACTCCATTCGATTCCATTCGTTGATGATTCCATTCAATTCCATCCTATGATGATTCCATTGAATTCCTTTTGATGATGTTTCCATTCGATTCCATTCAATGATGATTCCATTTGATTCCATTCGATGATGATTCCATTCTATTCCATTCCATGATTCCATTCGATTCCATTCGATGATGATTCCATTCATTCAATTCAATGACGATTCCATTCGATTCCATTCGATGATGATTCTATTCGAGTCCATTCAATGATTCCATCCAATCCCATTCAAAGATGATTCCATTCGGATCCATTCTATGATGATTTCATTTGGTTCCATTCAATGATTCCATTTGACTCCATTCGATGATGATTCTATTCAATGCTATTATATGTTTACATTAGATTCTATTCGATGATGATTCCTTTCGACTCTGTTCGATCATTCCATTCAAGTCCATTTGATGTTTCTATTTGATTCCATTTGAAGATTATTCCATTCGAGTGTATTTGATGATTCCTTTCGAGGCCATTCAATGATTCGGTTAGGTTCCATGTGATGGTGATTCCATTGGATTCCATTTGATGATGATTCCATTCGATTCCATTCAATGATGATTCCATCCAATTTCATTCGATGATTCCGTTTGATTCCATTTAATGATGATACCATTCGATGATGATTCCATTCGATTCAATTTGAGGATGATTCCTTTCGATTCCATTCGTTGCTGATTCCATTCTATTCCGTTTGATGATGATTCCATTCGATTCCATTCAACGATGATTCCTTTTGATTCCATTCAATGATTATTCTATTCAAATCCATTTGATGTTTCCATTCGATTCCATACGATGATGATTCCATTCAATTCCAATCGACAATTCCATTACAGTCCATTCGATGATTCCATTCGAGTCCATTTGATGATTCCATTAGGTTCCATTTGAAGATGATTCCATTGGATTCCATTCTTTGATGATTCCATTGGATTCCATTCAATGATGATTCCATTTGATTCCATTTCATGATGATTCCATTCGATTTCATTTGATGATTCTATTCGTTTCCATTTGATGTTGATTCCATTCTATTCCAATTGATGATTCCATTCAATTCCATTCTATGATGATTCCAAGCATTTCCATTTGATGATGATTCCATTCGATTCCATTCAATGATGATTCCCTGTGTTTCCATTCTATTATTCCATTCAATTCCATTCTATGATAATTCCATTTGTGTCCATTAGATGACTCCATTCGATTCCATTCAATGATGATTCCTTTCAAGTCCTTTCAGTGATTCCATTAGGTTCCATTCAATGATGATTCCATACAATTCCATTCGATGATTCCATTTGATTCCACTCAATGATGATTCCATTCCCTTTCATTAGATGATTCCATTTGATTCCATTCAATGATGATTCCATTGGAGTCCATTTGATGATTCTGTTCGATTCCATTCAATGATTCTACTCGATTCCTTTTGATGATTGCATTTGATTCCATTCGATGATTCCGTTGTATTCCATTCGATGATTCACTTCGATTCCTTCTGATGATGATTCCATTTGATTCCATTCAATGAGTCCATTCGATTCTATTTGATGATAATTCCATTTGATTCCATTCAATGATAAATCCATTCAATTCCTTTTGATGATTATTCCATTCGATTCCATTTGATGATGATTCCATTTGATTCCATTCGATGATGATTCCATTCTATTCAATTTGATGATGGTTCTATTAGATTCCATTTGATGTTTCCATTCGATTCCATTTGATGATGATTCCATTCTTTCCATTCCCTGATTCGTTTTGATCCCATTGGATGTTGATTCCTTTCGAATACATTCGATGATTCCATGTGATTTAATTCGATGATGACTCTCTTCGATTCAATTTGATCATTCCGTTCAATTCCATTCGATGATGATTGCCTTCGATTCCATTCGAGGATTCCATTCGATTCCATGTGATCATGATACCATTAGATTCCATTCAATGATGATTCCATTCGTTTCCATTCGATGATGATTCTGTTCGATTCCATTGATGACGATTACATTTGAGTCTGTTCGATGATTCCATTCGAGTCCATTTGATGATTCCATTCCAGCCCATTCGATGATGATTCAATTTGATTCTATTCGATGATGATTCTGTTTGAGTCCATTTGATGATTCCATTTGATTCCATTCCATAAGGATTCCATTCTTGTCCATTTGATGATTCTATTCGATTCCATTTGATTAAGATTCAATTCCAGTCCATTTGATGATTCCATTCGATTCATTTCAATGATGATACCATTTGATTCCATTCGTTGATTCCATCCGATTCCATTTGATGATGATTCCATTCGTGTCCATTTGATGATTCTATTCGAATCCACTCGATGATTGCTTTTGATTCCATTCGATGATGATTCCATTCTATTCCATTCGATGACGATTCCATTCATGTCCATTCTATGATTTAATTTAATTCCATTCAATGATGATTCCATTGGTTTCCATTCAATGATTCTATTCGATTCCATTTGATGATGCTTCCATTCTAGTCCATTCGCTGATTCCATTCGATTCCAATTGATGATTCCCTTCGAGTCCATTCATTGATTCCAATCGAGTGCATTCGATGATTCTATTCTGATCCATTCAATGATGATTCCATCTGAGTCCATTCGATGATGATTCCATTCAATTCCAATAGATGATTCCATTCGATTCCACTCGATGATTCACTTCAATTCCTTTTGATGATGATTCCATTCAATTCCATTCAATGATTCCATTGGATTCCATTCAGTGATGATTCCATTCGATTCCTTTTGATGGTGATTCCATTAGATTCCATTTGATGATAATTACATATGATCCCAGTGATGACAATTGCATTCTAGTACATTCAATGATTCCATTCGAGTCTATTTGATGATTTCATTCGAGTCCATTCAATGATGATTCTATTTGTTTCCATTCGAGGATGATTCCATTCGAGTCCATTCATTGATTCCATTCAATTCCATTCGATGAGGATTGCATTCATGTCCATTCGATGTTTCCATTCGATTCCATTCGATGATGATTCCATTCGATTCCATTCCATGATAATTCCATTCGATGCCATTCGATGATCATTCTATAAGAATCCATTCGAAGATGACCACTTTACATTCGATTTGATGATGATTCCATTCGTTTCCATTCAATGATGATTCCATTGGATTCCATTCGATGATTCCATTCGATTCCCTTTACTCATGATTCTATTCTATTCCACTTGATGATGATTCTCTTCAATTCCATTCGATGATGATCCCATTCGATTCCATTCGATGATGATTCCATTGGATTCCATTTGATGATGATTCCATTCGATTTCATTTGATGATGCTATTCGATTCCATTCGATAATTATTCCATTCTATTCCTTTTGATGATTCCATTAGATTCCATTCGATTATGATTCTATTCGATTCCATTCGATGTTGTTTCCATTTGATTCCATTCCATGATGATTCAATTTGATGATGATTCGATTCGACTCCGTTAGATGATTCTATTTGATTCCAGTCGATGATGATTCCATTTGATGCCATTCGATGATTCCATTCGGTTTCATTCGATGAAGATTCCATTCGATTCCTTTTGATGATTCCATTCATTTCAATTCGATGATGATCCATTTGAGTATATTCCATGATTCCATTCGATTCCATTCGATGATGATTCCATTCGAGTCCATTCATTGATTCCATTCGATTTCATTCGATGATGATTCCTTTTGATTCCATTCAATGACGATTCCATTAGAGTCCATTCGATGTTTCCACTCAAATCCATTCGATGATGATGCCATTCGAGTCCATTCAATGATTCCATTCGATTCCATTCGATGATTCCATTCGGTTCCATGTGATGATGATTCCATTGGATTCCCTTCATTTATGATTCCGTTCATTTCCATTCGATGATTCCATTTGGTTCTATTCGATAATGATTCCATTCGATTCCATTCGATGATAATTCCATTTCATTCCTTTCTATGATGATTGCATTCGATTCCATTCAATGATGATTCCATTCGATTCCATTTGATGATGATTCCATTCGATTCTATTCGACGATGATTCCAACCGAGTCCATTCGATGATTCCATTCGATTCCATTTGATGATGCTTCCATTCTATTCCATTCATTGTTTCCATTCGATTCCATTGGATGATGATTCCTTTCCAATGCTTTCGATGATTCCATGTGATTTAATTTGACGATGACTCTATTCAATTCAATTCAATGATTCCATATGATTACACTCAATTATGATTGCATTTGATTCCATTCTATGATTCCATTCTATTCCATGCAATGATAATTCCAATCGAGTCCATTTGATGATTCCATTAGATTCTATTCGATGATTCCATACGAATCCTTTTGATGATGATTCCTTTCGAGTCCATTCGATTATTCCATTCGAGTCCATTCAATGATGATTTTACTCTATTCCATTCCATGATTCCATTCGATTTCATTCGATGATGATTCCATTTGATGCTATTCGATGATTCCATTCAATTTCTTTCGATGATTATTCCATTCAATTCCTTTCGATGATTGCATGTGATTCAATTTGATGATGATTCCATTCGAGTCCATTCGATGATGATTCCATTCGATTCCATTTGATGATGATTCCATTCGATTCCATTTGATGATGATTCCATTCAATTCCATTCGATGATGATTCCATTTCATTTCATTTGATGATTCTATTCGATTCCATTTGATGATGATTCAATTCTCTTCCACTGGATGATTCCACTTGATTCCATTTGATGATGATTCCATTCAATTCCATTCGATGATTATTCCATTCGGGTCTATTCGATGATCACATTCGAGTCCATTTAATGATTCCATTGGGTTAAATTCGATCACGATTACATTGGATTCCATTCTATGCTTCCATCGATTCCACTCATTGATGATTCCATTCGATTCCATTCAATGATTATTCCATTCGATTTCATTCGATGATTCTTTTCGATTCCATTCGATGTTGATTCCATTCTATTCCATTGGATGATGATTCCATTCGAGTCCATTCAATGATGATTCCATTCAATTTCATTCAATGATTCTATTGTATTCCATTCGATGATGATTCCATCTGATTCCATTCGATGAATCCATTCGATTCCATTCTAAGATGATTCCATTCGTTTCCATCCAATGATAATTCCATTCGATTCCATTCAATGATTCCATTTGATTCCATTTGATGATGATTCCAATCAATTCCATTTGATGATTCCATTCGAATACATTTGATGATGAGTTCATCCGTTTCAATTCCGTGATGATTCCAGTCCATTCAATTCGAGGGTGTTTCCATTTGATTCCATTCGATGTTGATTCCATTCGATTCCATTGGATGATGATTCCGTTCGAGTCCATTCGATGATGATTCCATTCGAGTCCATTTGATGATGATCACATTGGATTTCATTCAATAATTTTATTTGATTCCATTCGATGATGATTCCATCTGATTCCATTCGATGATTTCATTCGATTCCATTCGATGATGATTCCATTCATTTCCATCCGATGATGATTCCATTCAATTCCATTTGATGATTCCATTTGAGTAAATTCAATATTTCCATTTGATACCATTCGATGATGATTCCATTTGAGTCCATTCCATGATTCCATTCGAGTCCATTCAATGATTCCATTCGATTCCATTCGATGAAGATTCCATTAGAGTCCATTCGATGATTCCATTTGATTCCATTTGATGATGATTCCATTTGATGATGATTCCATTCGAGTCCATTTGATGATTCCATTCCATTCAATTCGATGGTGTTTCCATTTGATTCCATTCGATGTTGATTCCATTCGATTCCATTGGATGATGATTCCGTTCGAGTCCATTCGATGATGATTCCATTCGAGTCCATTTGATGATGATCACATTGCATTTCATTCGATAATTGTATTCGATTCCATTCGATGATGATTCCATCTGATTCCATTGGATGATTTCATTCAATTCCATTCGATGATGATTCCATTCATTTCCATCCGATGATGATTCCATTCAATTCCATTTGATGATTCCATTTGAGTAAATTCAATATTTCCATTTGATACCATTCGATGATGATTCCATTTGAGTCCATTCCATGATTCCATTCGAGTCCATTCAATGATTCCATTCGATTCCATTCGATGAAGATTCCATTCGAGTCCATTCAATGATTCCATTTGATTCCATTTGATGATGATTCCATTCGAGTCCATTTGATGATTCCATTTCATTCCATTTGATGATGATTCCATTCGAGTCCATTCGTTGTTTCCATTTGATTCCATTCGATGATGATTCCATTCGAGTCCATTGATTATTCCATTCCTTTCCATTCAATGATTTCGTTCGAGTCCATTAGATGATTCTATTCAATTCCATTCGATAATTCCGTTCGATTCCATTTGATGTTGATTCCATTTGAGCCCATTTGATGATTACTCCATTCGATTCTATTCAATGATTCCATTTGATTCCATTTGATGATGATACCATTCGAGACCATTTGATGATTCCATTGAATTCACTTGATAATGATTCCGTTCAATTCCATTCGATGATTCCATTAGATTCCATTTGATGATGATTCCATTCGATTCCATTCGATGATGATTTCATGTGATTCCATTCGATGATGACTCCTTTTGGTCCATTCGATGAAGATTCCATTTTGTTGCATTCAATGATGTTTCCTTTGGATTCCATTCGATGATGTTTCCATTCAATTCCATTCAATGATTCCATTCGTTTCTATTCAATGATAATTCCAATCGAGTTCATTGATTATTCCATTACATTCCATTCGATGATTCCATTTGAGTCCATTCAATGATTCTATTCGATTCCATTCAATAATTCCATTCGATTCCATTTGATGATGATTCCATTCGAGTCCATTTGATGATTATTCCATTCGATTCTATTCGGTGATTCCATCCGATTCCATTTGATAATTATTCCATTCAAGACCATTCAATGATACCATTCAATTCATTCTGTCATGATTTCATTGAATTCCATTCGATGATTCCATTCGAGTCTATTTGATGATTCCATTAGAGTCCATTCAACAAAGATTCTATTTGATTCCATTTGATGATGATTGCATTCGAGTCTATTTGGTGATTCCATTAGAGTCCATTCAACAAAGATTCTATTTGATTCCATTTGATGATGATTGCATTCGGGTCCATTTGATGATTCCATTCACTTCCATTCGATGGGGATTCCATTCATTTCCATTCGATTATTGCATTAGATTCTATTCAATGAGGATTCCATTACTGTCCATTAGATGATTCCATTTGATTCCATTCGATGATGATTCCATTCAATTCCTTTCGTTAATTCCATTACATTCCATTGGATGATGATTCCATTCATGTCCATTTGATGATTCTTTTCAAATCCATTCGATTTTTTTTTATTCCATTCGATGATGATTCCATTTGATGATGATTCCATTCGATGCCATTCTATGGTTCCATTTGATTCTATTCGATGATGATTCCATTTGATTCCATTGGATAATTCTATTTGATTCTGTTTGAGATGATTGCATTCGATTCCATTCGATGATTTAATTAGATTCCATTTGATGATCATTCCATTCGATTCCATTTGATGACTCCATTCTATTCCATTGAATGATTATTCCATTGAATGCCATTTGATGATTCCATTCAATTCCATTCGATGATGATTCCATTCGAGTCCATTCAATGATTCCATTCAATTCTATTCGATGATGATTCCATTCGAGTCCATTCGATGATTCCATTCAATTCCATTCGATGATGATTCCATTCAAGTCCATTCGATTATTCCTTTAGATTCCATTCATTGATTATTCTATTCTATGTCATTCGATGATTCCATTCGATTCCATTCAATGATGATTCCATTTGAGTCCATTCAATGTTTCCATTCGATTCTATTCAATGATGATTCCATTCATGTCCATTCGATGATTCCATTTGATTCTATTCGATGATGATTCCATTCAAGTCCATTCAATGATTCCATTCTGTTCCATTTGATGTTGTTTCCATTTGAATACATTTGATGATTCCATTCGAGTCCATTCGATGATTCCATTCAACCCCATTCGATGATTCCATTCCATTCCATTTGATGATGATTCCATTGGATTCCATTTGTTGATGATTTCATTCAATTCCATTCGATGATGATTCCATTTGATTCCATTCGTTGATGATTCCATTATATTCCATTTGATTATGATTCCATTCGATTCCATTCAATGATGATTCCATTGGTTTTCATTCGATGATTCTATTCAATTCCATTCGATGATGATTACTTTCTATTCCATTTGATGATTCCATTCGATTCCATCTGATGATGATTCAAATCAATTCCGTTTGATGATGATTCCTTTCAATTCCATTCAATGAAAATTCCACTCGTGTCCATTTGATTACTCCATTCATTTCCATTAGATGATTATTCCATTCACATCCATTAGATGCCTGCATTCGATTCGATTTCATGATGATTCATTTGATGCCATTTGATGATTCCATTTGATTCCATTCGATGATGATTCCAAACGATTCCATTCGATGATTCCATTCAATTCCATTCGATTATGATTGCATTTGATTCCATTCGCTGATTGCATTTGATTCCATTCGATGATAATTTCATTCGAGTCCATTCGACATTTCCATTCCATTCCATTCGAAGATGATTCCATTCGATTCCATTTGATGATTCTATTCGATTCTATTCGATCATTCCATTCGAGTCCATTCGATGATTCCATTTGATTCCATTCAATGAAGATTCCATTCAAGTCCATTCGACGATGATTCCATTCAATTCCATTCGATGATTTCGTTCTATTCCATTCAATGATTCACTTCGATTCCTTTAGATGATGATTCCTTTTAATTCCATTCGATGATGATTCCATTCTATTCAATTCGATGATGATTCCTTTCGATTCCATTCGATAATTCCATTCGATTCCATTAGATGATGATTCCATTCAATTCCATTTATTGATTCCATTCAATTCCTTTGGATGATGATTCTTTTCAAATACATTCAATGATTCCATGGGATTTCATTCGATGGTGACTCTATTCAATTCCATTTGATGATTCCATTCATTTCCATTTGATGATTCCCTTCGATTCCATGCGATGATGATTCCATTCGAGTCTGTTCGATGATTCCATTCAATTCCATTCCATGACGATTCAATTCGTGTCCATTCTATGACACAATTCGATTCCTTTCAATGATGATTCCATTCCAGTTCATGAGATGATTCCATTCGATGATCATTTCTTTTGATTCCTTTCGATTTTTCCATTTGATTTCATTCGATGATGTTTTTATTCGAGTCCATTCGATGATTCCATTCGATTCCATTCGATGATTATTCTTTTCAAGGCCTTTCAAAGATTCCATTCGATTCCATTCGATTATGATTCCATTCGATTCCATTCGATGATTCCATTTGATTCCATTCAATGATTCCATTCGATTCCATTCGATGATTCCCTTCGATTCCATTCAATGATCATTCCATTCGATTCCATTAGATGATTTCATTCGATTCCAATCAATGATGATTCCATTTGAGGCCATTCAATGATTCCATTCGATTCCATTTGATGATGATTCCATCCAATGCCATTCGATGATTCTATTCAATTTCATCCGATGATGATTCCATTCGAGTCTATTCGATGATTCCTTTTGAATCCATTCTATGATGATTCCATTTGATGTTTCCATTCAATTCCATTCTATGATGTTTCCTTTTGAGTCCATTTGATGATTCCATTTGATTACATTCGGTGATTCCTTTCTATTCCGTTTGATGATGAGTCCATTCGATTCAATTCCATGAGTATTCCATTCGATTCAATTTGATGATATTTCCATTCGAGTCCATTCAATGATTTCATTCCATTCCATTAGACAATGGTTCCGTTCGATGCCATTCAATGATTCCATTCGATTCCATTTGATGTTGATTCCACTGGATTCCATTCAATGATTCCATTTGATTCCGTTTGATGATGATTCCATTGGATTCCATTCGATGATTCCATTCCATTCCATTCGATGATGATTCCAATCGAGTCCATTTGATGATACCATTTGATTCCATTCAATCATTCCATTCGAGTCCATTCAAAGATTCCATTAGTTTCCATTAGATGATGATTCCATTCGAGTCCATTCCATGAATCCATTCGTTTCCATTTGATGATGTTTCCATTAGAGTCCACTCAATGATTCCATTCGATTCCACTCGATGATGATTCCATTTGATTCCATTTGATGATTCCATTCGATGCCATTCGATGATGATTTCATTAGTGTCCATTTGATGATTATTCCATTTGAGGTCATTCGATGAGTCCTTTCGATTCTATTCGATGATGATTCCATTCGTTTCCATTCGATGGTGACTCCATTCGATTCCATTTGATGATGACTCCTTCTGATTGCATTGTATGATTCCATTCGATTTCATTGAATGATGATTCCATTCAAGCCCATTCGATGATTTCATTCGATTCCATTCTATTATTCATTTCGATTCCATTCTATGATGATTCCATTCAATTCCATTCGATAATTAGATTCAATTACCTTCGATGATTCTATTCGATTACACTCGATGATTCCTTTCCAGCCCATTTGTCGATTCCATATGAGTCCATTCGATGATTCCATTCGATTTCATCTGATGATGATTCCATTAGAGTCAATTCAATGATGATTCCATTCCTTTCCATTTGACGATTCCATTCGATGATTCATTTTGACTCCATTTGATGATGACTCCATTCGATTCCATTCGATGATTCACTTTGATTCCATTTGATGATGATTCCATTCGATTCCAATTGATGATTCCATTCAATTACATTCGATGAGGATTCCATTCGATTCCATTTGATGATGATTCCATTAGATTCCATTTGATGATTCCATTCGATTCCACTAATTGATGATTCCATTCGATTCCATTTGATAATTATTCTATTCAGTTCCATTCGATGATGATTCTATTCGATTCCATTCAATGATTCCATTCGATTCCATTTGATGATTCACTTCGATTCCTTTTGATGATGATTCCATTCAATTCCATACAACGATTCCATTTGATTCCATTCGATAATTCCATTCGATCCCATTCGATGATTTCTTTTCAAGCCATTCAATGATGATTCCATTCGAGTCCATTCAGTGATTCCATTCGATTCCATTCAATGATTCCCTTCAATTCCTTTCGATGATGAGTCCATTCATTTCAATTCCATGATGATTCCATTCGACTCAATTCGATATTTCCCTTTGAGACCATTTGATGACTCCATTCGATTATATTCGATGATGATTCCATTAGTGTCCATTTTATATTTCCATTTGATTCCATTCGGTGATTCCATTCTAGTCCATTCGATGATTCCATTTGAGTGCATTCGGTGATTCCATTCTATTCCATTCGATGATGATTCCATTCAAGTTTATTCAAAGATGATTCCGTTTGATTCCATTCGATGATTCCATTCGATTACATTCTATGATTCACTTTGAATCCTTTTGATGATGATTCCATTTGATTCCATTTGATGATTCCATTCGATTCAATTCGATGATGATTCCTTTTGATTCCTTATGATGATGATTCCTTTCGATTCCATTTGATGATAAATCCATTCGATTCCATTGATGATGATTGCATTCAAATCCGTTCAATGATTCCATTGAATTCCATTTGATGATGATTCCATTCGATTCCATTCAATGATGATTCCATTCGATTCCATTTGATGATGATTCCATTTGATTCCATTCTATGATGACTCCATTAGGTTTCATGTGATGATGATTCCATTTGGTTCCATCTGATGATTCCATTAGATTCCATTAGGTGATTCCATTCAATTGCATTCATTGATGTTTCCGTTCAATTCCATTGAATGATTATTCCATTCGATGATGATTCCTTTCAATTCCCTTCAATGATGTTTCCTTTCAATTTCATTCAATGATTCTATTCGATTCAGTTCGATGATGATTCCATTCTATTCCATTCTATGATTCCATTTGATTCCATTCAATGATGATTCACTTCTATTCCTTTCGATGATTCCATTCAATTCCATTCGACGATTCCATTCGAGTCCATTAGATGATTCCGTTCAATTCCATTCGATGATGATTCCGTTCGAGTGCATTCGATGATGACTTCATTCGATTCCATGTGATGTTTCCTACCGATTCTATTCGGTGATGATTCCATTCGATTTCATTCAATGATAATTCCATTCTATTCCATTTGATGACGCTTCCGTTTGATTCCTTTTGATGGTTATTCGATTCGATTGAATTCAATGATGATTCCATCAGATTCCATTGGATTATTCCATTCCATTCCATTTTATGATGATTCCATTCCATTCCATTCATTGATTCCACGTGATTGCATTGCATGATGATTCCTTTCGAATCCATTCAATGATTAAATGTGATTTCATTTGATAAATACTCTTCGATTCAATTCAATGATTCTGTTCAATTCCATTCGATGATTATTGCATTCGATTCCATGTGATGTTTATTCCATTCGAGTCGATTCAATGTTTCCATTTGATTCCATTCGATGATGATTCCATTTGATTCCATTCGATGATTCCATTCGATTCCATTCGAAGATGATTCCATTTGATTCCATTTATGATGACTGCATTTGAGTCCATACAGTGATACTATTCGAGTCCATTTGTTGATTCCATGAGAGTCCATTCTATGATGTTTCCATTCGATTCTATTCAATGATGATTCCATTCTATTTCATTTAATGATTCTATTCGATTTCATTCGATGATGATTCCATCCTATTCCATTCGATGATTCCTTTTGATTCCATTTGATGATGATTCCATTCATTCCACCCGATGACGATTCCGTTTGATTCCATTCGATGATGATTCCATTCAATTTCATTCAATGATTCCATTCAATTCCATTCGATGATGATTCCATTCGAGTCCATTCAGTGATTCCATTCAATTCCATTCAATGATGATTCCATTAGATGTCATTCAATGATTCCATTCCTTTTCATTCGATGATGATTCTATTTGATTCCATTCCATGACTCCATTTGATTTCATTCGATCATGATGCCATTCGAGGACATTTAATGATTCTATTCGATTCCATAGGATAATTCCATTTGAGTGCAAACAATGATTCCATTCGAGTCCATTCGATGATTCCATTGGATTCCATTCCATGATTATTAAATTCGTGTCTATTCGATGATGATTCCACTCAATTCTATTTGATGATTCCTTTCGATTCCATTCAATGATGTTTCTATTTGAGTCCATTCGATGATTCCATTCAAATACATTCGAGGAGGATTCCATTCCAGTCCATTAGATGATTCCATTAGATAATAATTCCATTTGTTTCCTTTTGATGATTCCATTCAATTCCATTCAATGATGATTCCATTGGACCCCATTTAATGATGATTCCATTCGAGTCCATTCGTTGATTCAGTTCAAATCCATTCGGTGTTGATTCCATTCGATTTCATCGTTAGATTTCATTCGATTCCATTTGAAGTTTCCATTCGATTCCATTCATTGATGAGTCCGTTCGATTTCATTTGATGATTTAATTTTATTCCATTCGATGATGATTCTATTCTTGTCCACTCGATGATTGCATTCGAGTCCATTCGATGATTCCATTCGATTGCAATCCAGGAGGATTCCATTCGTGTCCATTCAATGAATGCATTCAATTCCATTCTATTAGATTCCATTTCCAGTCCATTCGATGACTTCATTCGATTCATTTCGATGATGATGCCATTTGATTCCATTCGTTGGTTCCATCCAATTCCATGCAATGATGATTTCATTCATGTCCATTCAATGGTTCTATTCAAATCAATTTGATGATTGCTTTAGATTCCATTCAAAGATGATTCCATTGGATTCCATTTGATGATGATTCCATTCGATACCATTTGATGATTTAATTCGATTCCATTCGATGATGATTCCATTCCCTTCCATTCGATGATGCTATTCGATTCCATTCTATGATGATTCCATTTGACTCCATTCGATGATTCCATTCGATTCCATTTGATGAGGATGCCATTCGTTTCCATTTGATGATTCCATTCAATTTCATTAGGTGATGATTCCATTCCATTCCATTCGATGATTCCATTCGAGAATGATTCCATTCGATTCCATTTGAAGATTACTTTCGATATCATTTGAAGTTGTTTCTTTTCGAGTGCACTTGATGATTCCATTCGATTCCATTCAATGATGATTCCATTCGAGTCCATTCGAAGATTCCATTTGATTCCATTTGATGATGATTCCATTTGAGTCCATTCAATGATTCCATTCGATTCCTTTCGATGATCATTCCATTTGATTCCACTCGATGATTCCACTCGATTCCAATCTATGATTATTCCATTCGATTCCATTCGATGATGATTCCATTTGATTCCATTCGGTGATGATTCCATTAAATTCCATTCGATGATGACACCAATAGATTCCATTTGATGATGATTCCATTCGGTTCCATTGCTTGATGATTCCATTAAATTCCATTCGATGATTCCATTCGATTCCATTCATTGGTGATTCCATTCGATTCCATTCAATGATGATTCCATTCGATTCCATTCGATGATGATTCCATTCAATTCCATTTGATGATGATTCCGTTCGCTTCCATTCGATGATGATTCCATTTGATTTCATTAGATGATTACATTCGGTTCATTTTGATGATGTTTCCATTTTCTTCGATTCAATGATTCCTTTCAATTCCATTCGATGATGACTCTATGCATTCCATTGGATGATGATTCCGTTCGATTCCATTCGATGATTCCATTCGAGTCCATTCAATGACTCAATTCAATTCCGTTTGTTGATGATTCCATTCGAGTCCATTTGATGTTTCCATTCAATTCCATTTGATGATGATTCCATTCAATACCAACCGATGATTCCATTCAATTTCATTCGATGATGGTTACATTTGATTCCATTCGATGATTCTATTCAATTCCATCTGTTGATGATTCCATTCAAGTTTATTCGATGATTCCATTTGATTCCATTCGATGATATTCCATTCTAATCCACTCAACGATTCCATTAGATGATTCCATTCAAGTCCATTCAATGATTCCATTCGAGTACATTCAATGATTCCATTCTATTCCATTCCATGATGATTCCATCTGAGTCCATTTGATGATAATTGCATTCGATTCTATTCAATGATTCTGTTCGATTCCATTTGATGATGTTTCTATTAGAGTCCATAGGATGATTCCATTCGATTCCATTCAATTATAATTACATTCGTGTTCATTCGAAGATGCTATTCGATTCCATTCTGTGATGATTCCATTCGTGTCTATTCAATGATTCTCTTTGATTCCACTTGATGACTCCGTTCGATTCCGTTCGATAATTCCATTCTGTTACATTCGATGATTATTCCATTCGATTCCATTCGAAGATGATTCCATTCGATTCCATTCAATGATGTTTCCATTCTATTCCATTCGATGAGGACTCCGTTAGTTTCCATTCGTTGATGATACCATTCCATTCCTTTTGATGATTCCATTTGATTCCATTAATTGATGATTCCATTCGATTTCATTCGATGATGATTCCATTTAATTCCATTCGATGATGATTCCATTCCATTCCATTCGATGATGAGTCCATTCGATTCAATCCCGTGATGATTCCATTTCATTCAATTCGATGATATTTCCATTCGAGTCCATTCAATGATTCCATTCGATTACATTCCAAGATGATTCTATTCCAGTCCATTCGATGATTCCATTCGATTCCATTTGATGATTCCATTCGTGTCCATTTGATGATTCCATTCAAGTGCATTCGATGATGATTCCATTCGATTCCATTCGATTATGATTCCATTCGAGAATATTCGATGATTCCATTCGATTATATTCAATAATGATTCCATTCGTGTCCATTTTATAATTCCATTTGATTCCATTTGATGATTCCATTCGAGTCCATTTGATGATTCCATTTGAATGTATTTGATGATTCCATTCTATTCCATTTGATGATGATTCCTTTCCAGTTTATTTGATGATGATTCCATTTGATTCCATTTGATGATTCCATTGGATTTCATTCTATGATTCACTTTGATTCCTTTTGATGATGATTCCATTTTATTCAATTCGATGATGATTCCATTTGATTCCTTACAATGATGAGTCCTTTCAATTCCATTTGATGATAAACCCACTCAATTCCATTGATGACGATTGCATTCAAGTCCATTCGATGATTCCATTGAAGTCCATTTGATGATGATTCCATTTGATTCCATTCGATGATGATTCCGTTCGATTCCATTTGATGTTGACTCCATTTGTTTCAATTCTATGATGACTCCTTTAGGTTCCATTT
Source organism: Homo sapiens (assembly GCF_000001405.40). NCBI lineage: Eukaryota > Metazoa > Chordata > Mammalia > Primates > Hominidae > Homo > Homo sapiens. The sequence goes on from NC_000002.12 coordinate 89,797,638, forward strand.
GATGATGATTCCATTCGGTTCCATCTGATGATTCCATTAGATTCCATTAGATGATTCCATTCTATTACATTCGTTGATGTTTCCATTCATTTCCATTCGGTGATGATTCCATTTGATGATGATTCCATTCAATTCCCTTTGGTGATGATTCAATTTGATTTCATTCCATGATTCTATGTGATTCCATTCAGTGATGATTCCATTCTATTCCATTCGATGAGTCCATTTGATTCCATTTGATGATGATTCACTTCTATTCCTTTCAGTGATTCCTTTCAATTCCATTCGATGATTCCATTCAAGTCTATTCGATAATTCCATTTGATTCTATTCAATGATGATTCCATTCGAGTGCATTCAGTGATGATTCCATTCGATTGCATTTGATGATTCACTTCGATTCCTTTTGATGTTGATTCCATTCAATTCCATTCTATGATTCCTTTTGATTCTATTCGATGATGATTCCATTCGATTCCATTCGAAGATAATTCCATTCTATTCCTTTCCTTGATGATTCCATTCGTTTCCATTCGATGACGATTCCATTTGATTCCATTTGATGATATTTCCATTCGATTCAATTCGATGATGATTCCATCAGAGTCCATTCAATGATTCCAATAGATCTATTTAATGATTTCATTCCATTCCATTCTTTGATTCCATGCGATTACATTGGATGATGATTCCTTTCAGATCCATTCAATGATTCCATGTGATTTCATTCGATGAAGACTATATTCGATTCAATTAGATGATTCCGTCTGATTCCATTCGATTATGATTGCATTCGATTCCATTCGGTGATTCCATTGGATTACATTCGATGATGATTCCATTCCATTCCATTTGATGATTCCATTCGACGATGATTCCATTCGATTCCTTTCAGTGACTACTTTCGATTTCATTCGATGATGTTTCTATTTGAGTGCATTCGGTGATTCCATTCAATTCCATTCATTGATGATTCCATTCGAGTCCACTCGAAGATTCCTTTCGATTCCATTTGATGGTGATTCCATTCGAGTCCATTAAATGATTCCATTCGATTCCATTCAATGATTCCATTAGATAACATTGGATGATTCCCTTTGATTCAATTCGATGATCATTCCATTCCATTCCATTCGATGATGATTCCATTTGGTTCCATTCGATGATGATTACATTAGTTTCCATTTGATGATGATTCCAATCAGTTCCATTGGTTGATGATACCATTAAATTCCATTCGATGATTCCATTCGATTCCATTCGATGATGATTCCATTCGATTCCATTCGATGAGGACTCCATTAGTTTCCATTAGAAGATGATTCCACTCCATTCCGTTTGATGATTCCATTCGATTCCATTCATTGATTATTCCATTCGATTCCATTCGATGACGATTCCATTCGGTTCCATTCGATGATGATTCAATTTGATTCCATTCTATGATGATTCCGTTTGATTCCATTCGATGATGAGTCCATTCGATTCCATCCTATGATAATTCCTTTTCATTAAATTTGATAATATTTCCATTTGAGTCCATTCTATGATTCCATTCAATTAAATTCCATTCGAGTCCATTCGATGATTCTATTGGATTCCATTCGATGATTCCATTAGAGTCCATTCGATGATGATTCCATTCGATTCCATTTGATTCCATTTGATGATTCCTTTTGAGTGCATTTGATGATTCCACTCGATTCCATTTGATGATGATTTCATTCGTGTCCATTCGATGATTCCATTCAATTCCATTCGATGATGACTCCATTAGATTCAATTTGATGATGATTCCATTCGGTTCCACCGCTTGATGATACCGTTAATTTCCATTCGATGATTCCATTCAATTCCATTCATTGATGATTCCCTTTGATTCCATTCAATGATGATTCCATTTGATTCCATTGGATGATGATTCCGTTCGATTCCATTTGATGATGATTCCACTCAATTCCATTCGATGATGTTTCCAATCGATTTCATTCGATGATTATATTTGGTTCCATTTGATGATTTTTCCATTCTCTTCCATTTGATGATTCCATTCAATTCCATTCGATGATGATTCCATGCATTCCATTGAATGATGATTCCATTCGAGTCCATTCAATGATTCAATTCAATTCCATTTGTTGATGATTCCATTCGAGTCCATTCGATGTTTCCATTAGATTCCATTTGAAGTTGATTCAGTTCGATGCCATTCGATGTTTCCATTCGATTCCATTTGAAGTTGATTCCATTCGATGCCATTTGATGATTCCATTCGATTTCATTCAGTGATGATTACATTCAATTCCATTTGATGATTCCATTCAATTCAATTTGATGATGATTCCATTCAAGAGTATTTGATGATTCCATTCGATTCCATTCGATGATGATTCCATTCCATTCCATTAGATGATTCCATTTGATGATTCCATTCAAGTCCATTCGATGATTCCATTCGAGTACGTACGATGATTCCATTCTATTCCATTCCATGATGATTCCATTTGAGTCCATTCGATGATGATTCCATTCAATTCTATTCGATGATTCCATTCGATTCCATTTGATAATGTTTCTATTTGAGTCCATTGGATGATTCCATTTGAATCCATTCAATTATAATTACATTCGAGTTCACTCGAAGATTACATTCGATTCCATTCTGTGATGATTCCATTCGAGTCCATTCAATGATTCTCTTTGATTCCATTCGATGACTCCATTCAATTCCATTCGATGATTCCCTTCAATTCCATTCGATGATCATTCCTTTAGATTCCATTTGATGTTTGCATTTGATTCCATTCGATGATGATTCCATTCCATTCCATTCGATAATGATTCAATTCGATTCCATTTGATGATGATTCTATTTGATTGCATTCAATGATGATTCCATTCGATTCCATTCGATGATGATTCCATTCCATTCCATTCAATGGGGACTCCGTTAGGTTCCATTTGTTTATGATTCCATTCCATTCTCTTTGATGATTCCATTCGATTCCATTCAATGATGATTCCATTCCATTCCATTCGATGATGATTTCATTTGATTCCACTCTATGATGATTCCATTCCATTTGATGATGAGTCCATTCAATTCAATCCCATGATGATTCCATTTCATTCAGTTTGATGATATTTCCATTTGATTAAATTCCATTCGATTAAATTGCATGTTGATTCCATTCGAGTCCATTCAATGATTCCATTGGATTCCATTCAATGATTCCATTCGAGTGCATTCGATGATGTTTCCATTCGATTCCATTTGATGATTCCATTCAATTCCATTTGATGATGATTCCTTTTGAGTCCATTCGATGATTCCACTCGATTCCATTTGATGATGATTCCATCCGTGTCCATTTGATGATTCCATTCGATTCCATTCGATGACTCCATTCGAGTGCATTCGATGATTCCATTCGATTCCATTCGATTATGATTCCATTCGATTCCAGTCATTGATAAAATCCGGTTTCATTCCATCATAATTCTTTTTGATTCCATTCAATGATGATTCCATTCGAGTCCATTCATTATTTCCATTTGATTCCATTTGATGATGATTACATTCGAGTCCATTGGATGATTGCATTCGAGTCCATTCGATGATTCCATTTGATTCCATTAGATGATGATTCCATTCGAGTCCATTCAATGTTTCCTTTCAATTTCATTCGATGATGACTCCATTCGTGTCCATTCGATGACTCCATTTGATGCCATTCGATGATGATTCCATTCCAGTCCATTTGATGATTCCATTTGATTCCATTCGATGATGATTCCATTCGAGTCTATTTGATGATTCCATTCGAGTCCATTCGATGATGATTTCATTCGAGTCCATTCGATGATTCCATTCAAATCCATTTCATGATGATTCCATTCGTGTCCATTCGAAGATTCCATTCGAGTCCATTCAATGATGATTCTACTCGATTCCATTTGATGATTCCATTTGATTTCATTCGATGATGATTCCATTTGATGCTGTTCGATGATTCCATTAGATTTCTTTCGATGATGATTCCATTCGATTCCTTTCAATGATTCCATTCAATTCCATTCAATGATGATTCTATTCGATTCCATTAGATGATTCCATTTGATTGCATTCGATGATGATTCCATTCACTTCCTGTCACTGATTCTATTCAATTTCATTCGATGGTTCCTCTTGATTCCATTCATGATCATTCCGTTTGAGTCCAATCGAAGTTTTCATTCGATTCCATTTGATGATTATTCCTTTCGAGTCCATTCGATTATTCCATTCAAGTCCATTTAATGATTCCATTTGATTCCATTTGATGATGACTCCATCCGATGCCATTCGATGATTCCATTTGATTCAATTTGGCGATGATTCCATTCGAGTCCATTCAATGACTCCCTTCAATTCCATTTGATGATTTTCCATTCGTGTCCATTCCATGATTCCATTCGATTCCATTCGATGATGATTTCATTTGAGTCCATTTGATGATTCCATTCGATTACATTCGATGATGATTCCATTTGTGTCCATTCGATGATCCTATTGAATTCCATTACATGATTTCACTTGATTCAATTCCATGAGTCCAGTCTATTCATTTCCATGATGATTCCTTTCAATTCAATTTCATGATATTTCCATTAGAGTCCATTCAATGATTCCATTCGATTCCATTCGATGATGATTCCATTTGTGTCCATTCGCTGATTCCATTTGATTCCAATAGATGATTTCCTTCGAGTCCATTCAATGATTCCATTCGAATGCATTCAATGATTCCATTCTATTCCATTCGATGATGATTCCATTCAAGTCCATTCAATGATGATTCCATTCGATTCCATTTGATTCCATTCGATGATTCATTTCAATTCCTTTTGATGATGATTCCATTCAATTCCATTCAATGATTCCATTCAATTCCATTCGATGATGATTCCGTTCAATTACTTTTGAAGATGATTCCTTTCGATTCCATTAGATGATAACTACATTCGATCCCATTGATGCCAATTGCTTTCGAGTCCATTCGATGATTCCATTCGAGTCTATTTGATGATTCCATTCTAGTCCACTCAACTATGATTCTATTCGAATCCATTCGAGGATGATTCCATTTGTATCCATTCGATGATTCCATTCGATTCCATTCGATGATGATTTCATTTGAGTCCATTTGATGATTCCATTCGATTACATTCAATGATGATTCCATTCAATGCCATTAGATGATGTATCTATTAGAATCCATTCGATGATGACCCCGTTAGGTTCCATTTGATGATGATTCAATTTGGTTCCATTCGATGATGATTCCATTAGATTTCACTCCATGATTCCATTCGATTCCCAAATGGAATCGTCATCGAATGGAATCGAGAGGAGTCATCGAATGGACTCGAAAGGAATCATCATCGAATGGAATTGAATGAAATCATCACACGGTTTCAAATAGAATCATCATTGAAAGGAATCCAATGGACTCATCATTGAATGGAATCGTGTGGATTCATCATCAAATGGAATCCTATGCAATCGTCCAATGTAATAGAATTGAATCATCATCGAATGGAATAGAATGGAATCATTGAATGAAATCGAGTGGAATCATCATTGAATGGAATCGAATGTAATCATCAATGAATGGAATAGAATGGAATCATGGAATGGAATCCAAAGTAATCATCATCGAATTGAACACAATGGAATCATTAAATGGACTCGAATGAAATAATCATAGAATGGAATTTAATGGAATCATTGAATGGAATTGAATGGAATCATCATCAAATGGAATCGAATGGAATCACTGAATGGACTCGAATGGAATCATCATCAAATGGAATCAAATGGAATCATCTAATGGACTTGAAAGGAATCATCATCGAATGAAATCGAATGGAATCACTTAATAGACACGAATGGAATCATCATCAAATAGAATCGAATGGAATCATTAAATGGACTCGAATGGAATATTATCACAAGGAATCAAAAGCAATCAACGAAAGGACTCAAATGGAATTATCAAATGGGCTCGAATGGAATCATCGAATGGACTCGAATGGAATCATCATACAATGGACTCAAATGAAAAGACTGAATGGACTCGAATGGAATCATTGTTGAATGTAATCGAATGGAATCATCAAATGGAAACAAATGGAATCATTTAATGGAATTGAAAGGAATCAGCATCGAATGAAATCGAGTGGAATCATCATCGAATGAAATTGAATGGAATCGTCATCAAATAAAATCGAATGGAATCATCATCAGATGGAATCAATTGGAATAATCACCGAATGGAATGGAATGGAATCATCGAATGGAATCAGACGTAATCATCATCAAATGGAATCGAATAGAAGCATCAAATGAATTAGAATGGAATCATCATCGAACGGACTTGAATGGAATCATTGCCGAAGAGAATCGAATGGAATCATCATCGAATGGAATTGAATGGAAACACCATCGAATTGAATCAAAAGGAACAATCATGGAATTGAGTCAAATGGCTCATCATCGAATCGAATCGAATGGAAAAATCATCGAATGGAATTGAATGGAATCTTTGACAGGAATCAAATGGAAGCATCATCGAATGGAAACGAATGGAATCATCATTGAATGGAATCGAATGGAAGCATCATCGAATGGAAACGAATGGAATCATCGTCAAAAGGAATCGAAGGGAAACATCAAATGGGATAGAACGGAGTCATGGAATGTAATCGAGTGGAATCATCAAATGGATTCAAACGGAATGATCATTGAAGGTAATCGAATGGAATCATAGAATGGAATTGAATGGAATCCTCATCAAATGCAATCAAATGAAATGATTGAATGGATATGAATGGAATCATCATCGAATGGAATCGAATGGAATCAAATGGAATAGAATGGAATCATCATTGAATGGAATTGAATGGAATCATCATTAAATGGAATTGAATGGAATCATCATCGAATGGAATCTAATGGAATCATCATCTAATGTAATCAAATGGAATCATCAACGAATGGAATCAAATTGAAAAATCAAATGGAATCTATGGGGATCATCATCGAATGGAACCGAATGCAGTCGTCATCGAATGGAATCGAATGGAATCATCACCGCATGGATTGAATGGAATCATCATCAAAAGGAATCGAAGGGAATCATTGAATTGAATCGAACAGAATCATCGAACAGAATCGAATTTAATCCTCATCAAACGGAATCAAATGGAAATAAAATCGAATGGAATCAAATGGAATCATCGAATGGACTAGAATAGAATAATCGAATGAAATCAAATGGAATCATTGAATGGAATTGAATGGAATCATCAAAAAGAGTCGAATGGAATCTTCATCAAATGAAATCGTTTGGAGTCATTGAATGGAATTGAATGGAATCATCGAATGGGCTCGAATGGAATCATCATCGAATGGAATCGAATGGGATCATCATCAAAAGGAATCGAATGGAATCATTGAATGGACCCGAATGTAATGATGAAATGGACTTGAATAGAATCATCAAATGGAATCGAATGGAATCATTGAATGGACTCGAATGAAATCACTGAATGGACTCTAATGAAATCACTGAATGGACTCGAAAGGAATCATCATCAAATGGAATTGAATGGAATCCTCGAATGGAATAATCAAATGGAATCGAATGGAATCATCATCTAATGGTATCAAATGGAATCATTGAATGGAATCGAAGGCAATCATCATTGAATGGAATCAAATGGAATCATCGAATGAATTCGAATGGAATCATCATCAAGTGGAATTGAGTGGAATAATAGAAGGGAATCAAATGGAATAAATGTCAAATTGAATGGAATGGAATCAATGAATGGAATTGAATGGAATCACCAAAGAATGCAATGGAATGGAAACATCATCGAATGGAATCAAATAGAATCATCAAATGGACTCGAATGGAATCATCAATGAATGGATTCGTGTGAAATAACCTAATGGGCATGAATAGAATCATCATCGAATGGAATCAAATGGAATCATCTAACGTACTCGAAAGGAATCATCATTGAATGGAATAGAATGGAATCATCGAATGGAACTGAACAGAATCATCATTGTATGGAATTGAGTGGAATCATCGAATGGACTCGAATGTAATCATCAGAGAATGGAATCAAATGGAATCATCAGATGGACTCGAAGTGAATGATCATCGAATGGATTCGAATGGAATCATCGATTTGACTCGAATGGAATCATCATCAAATATAATCAAAAGCAATCATCAAATGGATTCGAATAGAATCATCGAATGGGCTGGAATTGAATCATCATTGAATGAAATCAAATGGAATCATCGAATGGACTCAAATGAAATCATCATCGAATGGAATCGAATGGAATCATCGAAAGGAATCGAATGGAATCATCATCGAATGGAATGGAATGGAATCACTGATTGGACTCGAATGGAATCATGATCAAATGGAATCGAGTGGAATCATATAATGGACTCGAAAGGAATCGTCATCAAATGAAATGGAATGGAATCATTGAATGGACACTAATGGAATCATCATCAAAGAGAATCGAATGGAATCATCTAAAGGACTTGAATGGAATATCATTGAATTGAATCAAAAGCAATGATCGAATGAACTCAAATGGAATTATCAAATGGACTCGAATGGAATCATTGAATGGACTCGAATGGAATCATCATTGAATGGACTCATAAATGACTGAATGGTCTCGAATGGAGTCATCGATTGGGCTCAAATGGAATTATCGAATGGGCTGGAATGGAATCATCAAATGGACTCGAATGGAATCATTATCAAATGGAATCAAATGGAATCATCGAATGGAATCGAATGGAATCATCAAATGGAATCAATCAGAATCATCATCAAATGGAACCAAATGGAATCATTAAATGGAATCGAATGCAGTCATCATCAAAAGGAATCGAATGGAATCATCATCGAATGGAATTGAATGGAATCATCGAATGGAATCAAATGGAATCATCGAATGGAATTGAAAGGAATCAGCATTGATCAAAATCGAATGAGAGCATCATCGAATGGAATCAAATGGAATCATTGATTGGTATCATCGTCAAATGGAGTCCCATGGCATCATCAAATGGACTCGAATGGAATCTTCATAAAATAGAATTGAATGGAATCATCGAATGGAATCATCAATGAATGGTATCGAATGGTATCATTGAATGGACTCAAATGGGATCATCTTCAATTGGCATCAAAAGGAATCACCGAATGGACTCGAATGGAATAATCATCAGAACGAATCAAATGGAATCATCATCAAATGGAATCATCGAATGGCCTCGAATGGAATCATCATTGAATGGAATCGAATGGGATCAACATCGAATGGAATCGAATGAAATCATTGAATGGAATTGTTAAGAATCATCATCGAATGGAATCAAATGAAATCATCAAATGGAATCGAATGCAGTCATCATCGAATGGAATTGAATGGAATCATCTTCAAATAGAATCGAATGGAATCATTGAATGGAATCAAATGGAATCATCATTGAATGTAATCGAATGGAATCATCGAATGGAATCAAATAGAATGATCGAATGGAATTGAATGGAATCAGCATTGAACAAAATCGAAGGGAATCATCATCAAATAGAATCAAATGGACTCATTGAATGGAATCATCAGCAAATGGAGTCCAATGGAATTATCAAACGGACTCGAATGGAATCATCATAGAATGGAATTGAATGGAATCGAATGGAATCATCATCAAATGGAATCAAATGGTATCACTGAATGCACTCGAATGGAATCATGAACGAATGGTATCAAGTGGTATCATCGAATGGACACGAATGGAATCATCTTCAAATGGCATCAAAAGGAATCACCGAATGGACTCGAATGAAATAATCATCGAAAGGAAGCGAATGGAATCATCGAAAGGAAGCGAATGGAATCATCGAATGGAATCGAATGGAATCATCATCGAATGGAATCGAATGGAATCATCAAATGTACACGAATGGAATCATCATCATATGGAATCGAATGGAATCATCGAATGAAACCGAAAGGAATCATGATCAAATGGAATCAAATGGCATCATCATTGAATGGAATTGAAAGGAATCAACATCAAATGGAGTCAAATGGAATCATCATCAAATGGAATCCAAAGGAAAAATCATCGAATGCAACCGAATGGAATCATCATCAAATGGAAACGAAAGGAGTCATCATCGAATGGAATCGCATGGAATCATCATCGAATGGAATCGAATGGAATCATCATCGAATGACTTGAATGGAATCATCGAATGGTCTTGAATGGAATAATTATCAAATGGAATCAAAAGGAATTATCGAATGGAAACAAATAGAATCTTTGAATGGACTTGAATGGAATCATCGAATGGAACGGAATAGAATAATCAATGAACTCGAATGGAATCATCATTGAATGGAATCGAATGGAATCATCGAATGAAATCGAATGGAAACATCATCGAATGGAATCAAAAAGAATCATCATCAAATGGAATGGAATGATTCCCATCAAGCTACCAATGACTTTCTTCACAAAATTGGAGAAAAGTACTTTAAAGTTCATATGGAACCAAAAAAGAGCATGGATCGCCAAGTCAATCCTAAGCCAAAAGAACAAAGCTGGAGGCATCACACTACCTGACTTCAAACTATATTACAAGGCTACAGTAACCCAAACAGCATGGTACTGGTACAAAAACACAGATATAAATCAATGGAACAGAACAGAGCCCTGAGAAATAATGCCGCATGTCTACAACTATCTGATCTTTGGCAAACCTGAGAAAAACAAACAATAGGGAAAGGATTCCCTATTTAATAAATGGTGCTGGGAAAACTGGCTAGCCATATGTAGAAAGCTGAAACTGGATCCCTTACTTACACCTTATACAAAAATCAATTCAAGATGGATTAAAGACTTAAACGTTAGACCTAAAACCATAAAAACCCTAGAAGAAAACTTAGGCATTACCATTCAGGACATAGGCATGGGGAAGGACTTCATGTCTAAAACCCCAAAAGCAATGGCAACAAAAGCCAAAATTGACAAATTGGACCTAATTAAACTAAAGAGCTTCTGCACAGCAAAAGAAACTACCATCAGAGTGAACAGGCAACCTACAAAATGGGAGAAAATTTTCGCAACCTACTCATCTGACAAAGGGCTAATATCCAGAATCTACAATGAACTCAAACAAATTTACAAGAAAAAAACAAACAACCCCATCAAAAAGTGGGCAAAGGACATGAACAGACACTTCTCAAAAGAAGACATTTATGCAGCCAAAAAACACATGAAAAAATGCTCACCATCACTGGTCATCACAGAAATGCAAATCAAAACCACAATGAGATACCATCTCACACCAGTTAGAATGGCGATCATTAAAAAGTCAGGAAACAGGTGCTGGAGAGGATGTGGAGAAATAGGAACACTTTTACACTGTTGGTGGGACTGTAAACTAGTTCAACCATTGTGGAAGTCAGTGTGGCGGTTCCTCAAGGATCTAGAACTAGAAATACCATTTGACCCAGCCATCCCATTACTGTGTATATACCCAAAGGACTATAAATCATGCTGCTATAAAGACACATGCACACGTATGTTTATTGTGGCATTATTCACAATAGCAAAGACTTGGAACCAACCCAAATGTCCAACAATGATAGACTGGATTAAGAAAGTGTGGCACATATACACCATGGAATACTATGCAGCCATAAAAAAGGATGAGTTCATGTCCTTTGTAGGGACATGGATGAAATTGGAAACCATCATTCTCAGTAAACTCTCACAAGAACCAAAAACCAAACACTGCATATTCTCACTCATAGGTGGGAATTGAACAATCAGATCACATGGACACAGGAAGGGGAATATCACACTCTGGGGACTGTTATGGGGTGGGGGGAGGGTGGAGGGATAGCATTGGGAGATACACCTAATGCTCGATGACGAGTCAGTGGGTGCAGCACACCAGCATGGCAGATGTATACGTATGTAACTAACCTGCACAATGTGCACATGTACCCTAAAACTTAAAGTATAATAATAAAAAAAAACAAACGGAATCGAGTGGAATCATCATCGAATTGAATCCAAAGGAATCATCATTGAACGGAACCGTAAGGAATCATCATCAAATGGAACCAAAAGGAGTCATCATCGAATGGAATTGCATGGAATCATCATGGAATGGAATCGAATGGAATCATCATCAAATTGAATCTAATGGAATCATCGAATGGAATTGAATGGAATCATCATCGAATGAATTGAATGGAAACATCGAGTGGTCTCCAATGGAATCATTATCACATGTAATCGAATGGAATCATGGAATACAATCGACTGTTATAATCATCGAATGGACTCGAATGGAAACAACATCAAATGGAATGGAAAGGAATTATCGAATGGAATCGAATAGAATCATCAAATGGACTCGAAAGGAATCATTGAATGGAATGGAATGGAATAATCAATGGACTCAAATGGAAACATCATCTAATGGAATCGAATGGAATCATCGAATGGACTCGAATGGAATCATTATCAAATGGAATCAAATGGAATCATCGAATGGACTCAAATGGAATCTTCCTCGAATGGAATGGAAAGGAATCATCGAATGGACCTGAATGGAATCATCATCGAATGGAATCGAATGGAATCATTGAATAGACACGAATGGAATGATCAACGAATGGAATCGAATGGTATCATCGAATGGACTCGAATGGAAACATCATCGAATTGAATCAAATGGAACCACCAAATGGCATCAAAAGGCAACATAAACGAATGGAATCTAAGGGAATAATATAATGGACTCGAATGGAATCATCGAATGGACATGAGTGGAATCATCATCAAATAGAAAAGAAAGGAATCAGTGAATGGTATCTAATGGAATCATCATCGAATGGAATCGAATGGAATCATCGAATGGAATCAAATGGAATCATCATCAAATTCAATCTAATGGAATCATCGAATTGCCTCGAAGGGAATCATCATCGAATGGAATCGAAAGGAATCATCGAATGGAATAGAATGGAATCATCATCGAGTGGAATGGAATGGAGTCATCGAATGGACTCGAATGGAATCATCATCAAATTCAATCTAATGGAATCATCGAATGGACTCAAAGGGAATCATCGTCAAATGGAATCGAAAGGAATCATCGAATGGAATCGAATGGAATCATCATCGAATGGAATGGAATGGAATCATCGAATGGACCCGAATGGAATCATCATCAAAAGGAATCGAATGGAATGTTCGAATGGACACGATTGAAATCATCATCGAATGCAATTGAATGGAATCATCATCGAATGGAATCGAAAGGAAACATCATCGAATGAAATCCAATGGAATCAACAGATGAAATAGAATTGAAACATCATTAAATGGAATTGAATAGATTCATCAAATGAAATCGAATGGAATCATCATTGAATTGAATTGAGCGGAATCATCATCGAATGGTATTGAATGCAATCATCGTCAATTGGAATCGAATTGAATCATCACCGAATGGAATCGATTGGAATCATCATCGAATGGAATCGAATGGAATTCCATTCGATTCCATTCCATTCCATTTCATTCTATGCCATTCCATTCGATTCTATTCCATTCGACTCCATTCCATTCCATTCCGTTCCTTCCGATTCCATTCCATTCTATACCTTTCCATTCCATTCCATTGCAGTCATTTCCATTCCATTCGAGTCCATTCCACTCCAGTCCATTCTATTCAAGTCCACTCCATTCCAGTCCATTCCATTCTATTCCATTGCGTTCGATCCATTCCATTCCATTCGATGCCATTCCATTCGATTACACTCCATTCCTTTCCATTGCATTCCATTCCATTCCATTCCATTGCATTCCATTCCATTCCATTTGATTGTATTCCATTCGAATCCATTCCATTGGAATCAATTACATTGCAATCCATTACATTAGAGTCCGTTCTATTCCATTCCATCAAATTCAGTTCCATTCCATTCGATTCCATTCCATACTATTGCATTCCATTCGATTCCATTCTATTCGAATAAATACCATTCGAGACCATTCCTTTTGAGTCAATTATATTTGAGTCCATTCCATCCCACTCCATTACATTTGGGTCCATTCCACTCCATTCCAATCCATTCCATTCGATGAAATTCCATTCGATTCTATTCCATTCGAATCCATTCCATTCAAGTCCATTCCATTCCGTTCCATTCCATTCCATTCCATTCCATTCCATTCCATTCGAAGTCATTTCATTCGACTCTATGCCATTTGACTCCATTCCATTCCATTCCGTTCCATCAGATTCCATTCCATTCTATTCCTTTCCTTTCCATTCCATTCCATTCCATTCCATTCGTTTCCATTCCATTCCGTTCCATTCCATTCCATTCCATTCGTTTCCCTTCCATTCGAGCCATTCCACTCCAGTCCACTACATTCCATTCGTTTCCATTCCATTCGAGTCAATTCCACTCTAGTCCATTCCATTCGAGTCCATTCCATTCCATTCTATTCCTTTCGAGTCCATTCCATTGAATTCCACTCCATTCGATATCTTTCCATTACACTTCTTTCCATTCTGTTCCTTTCAATTCCATTCAATTCCATTCCATTTGATGCCATTCCATTCAATTTCATTCCAGTCGACTCCATTCCATTCGAGTCCATTTCATTCCATTCCATTACTTTCCATTCCATTTGATTCCAATCCTTTATATTCCATTTGGTTCAAGTCCATTCCATTCGACTCCATTCCATTCCAGTCAATTGCATTCGATCCCATTCCATTTGATTCCATTCCACTCGATTCCACTCCATTCCTTTCCACTGCATTCCATTCTATTCCATTTCATTGCACTCAATTCCATCCCACTTGATTACATTCCATTCGCTTCCATTCCAATTGAAACAATTAAATTGCAATCAATTACATTCGAGTCCGTTCTATTCCAGTCCATTCCATTCCACTGCAGTCCATTTCATTTAATTCCATTCCATACTATTGCATTTCATTCGAATCCATTCTATTTGAATAAATTCCATTCGAGACCATTCCATTCAAGTCCACTCTATTTGAGTCCATTCCATTCGAGTCCATTACATTTGGGTCCATTCCACTCCATTCCAACCCATTCCTTTCAATTCCATTCCATTCCATTCGATGCCATTCCATTCCATTCTATTCCACTTGAGTGCATTACATTCAAGACTATACCATTCCATTGCATTCCATTCCATTCAAGGCCATTCCATTAGATTCTATTCCATTTGACTCCATTCCATTCCATTCCATTCCTTCCGATTCCATTCCATTCTATTCCTTAGCATTCCATTCCATTGCATTCCATTCGAGTACATTCCACTCCAGGCCATTCCATTCGAGTCCATTCCATTCCAGTATATTCCATTCGAGTCCATTCCATTTCACTCCGTTCGAGGACTTTCCATTACAGTCCATTCCATTATATTCCCTTCAATTCCATTCAATTCCATTCTACTTGTTTCTATTCCATTTGATTCCATTCCATTCGATTCCATTCCGATTGAGTCCATTCCATCCAATTCCATTCCATTCCATTCCATTCCATTCCGTTCAGTTCGATTCCAATCCGTTTGATTCCATTTTGTTCCAGTCCATTCCATTCGAGTCCATTCCAATCCACTCCATTCCATTCGATTCCATTCCATTCGATTCCATTCCACTCGATTCCACTCTATTCCATTCCATTGAATTCCATTCTTTCCATTCCATTGCATTTTATACTATTAAATTACATTGCGTTCCATTGCATTCCACTTGATTACATTCCATTCGATTCCAATCCATTCGAATCAATTACATTGCAATCCATTACATTCGAGTCTGTTCTATTGCAGTCCATTCCATTCTGGTCCATTCCATTCAATTCCATTCCATTTGACTCCATTACATAGTATTGCATTCCATTCGAATCCATTCTATTCAAATCAATTCCATTTGAGAACATTCCATTCGAGTCCATTACATTTCGTTCCGTTCCATTCCATTCCATTCTATGCCATTCCATTCGATTCTATTCCATTCGAGTCCATTCCCATCGAGTCAATTCCATTCCATTCTGTTCAATACCATTCCATTTGATTTTATTCCATTCGACTCCACTCCATTCCATTCCGTTCGGTTAGATTCCATTCAATTCTATTCCTTGCCGTTCCATTCCATTCCGTTCCATTCCATTCCATTCGTTTCCATTCCATTGGAATCCACTCCACTCAAGTTCATTCCATTCAAGACCATTCCATTCGAGTCCATTCCATTCCATTCGATATCTTTCCATTACACTTCAATCCATTCTATTCCTTTCAATTCCATTCAATTCCATTCCATTCGATTCCATTACCTTCGATTCCATTCAATTCCATTCCATTCGATTCCATTCCATTCGACTCTGTTCCATTCGATTCCATTCCATTCCATTCTGTTCCGTTAGATTCCAATCAGTTCGATTCCATTTTCTTCTGGTCCATTCCCTTCGAGTCCATTCCATTCCAGTCCAATCCATTAGATTCCATTCCATTCAATTCCATTCCATTTCACTCGATTCCACTCCGTTCCATTCCGTTGCATTCCATTCTATTCCATTCCATTGTTTTCCATTCCATTCCATTTGATTACATTCCATTCGATTCCATTCCATTCGAATCAATTACATTGCAATCCATTACATTCACGTCCGTTCTATTCCACTCCATTGAATTCCAGTCCATTCCATTTGATTCCATTCCATTCGATTCCGTTCCATACTATTGCATTCCATTCGTTTCCATTGCGTTCGAATCAATTCCATTCGACACCATTCCTTTCGAGTCCATTCTATTTGAGTCCATTCCATTCGAGTCCATTACATTTGGATCCATTCCTTTCCATTCCATTCTTTTCATTCGAATCAATTCCATTCGACACCATTCCTTTCGAGTCCATTCTATTTGAGTCCATTCCATTCGAGTCCATTACATTTGGATCCATTCCTTTCCATTCCATTCCATTCCATTCGATGCCATTCCATTCAATTCTATTCCACTTGAGCGCATTCCATTTGAGTCCATTCCATTCCACTCCATTCTTTTCGATGCCATTCCATTGGATTCTATTCCATTCGATTCCATCCCATTTCATTCCATTCCATCAGATTCCATTCAATTCTATTCCTTTACATTTCATTCCATTAGGTTCCATTTCGTTCCATTCCATTCCATTCGTTTCCATTCCAATCGAGTCCATTCCACTCCAGTTCATTCCGTTTGAGACCATTCCATTTGAGTCCTTTCCATTCGAGTCCAATCCATTCCATTCCATTCCATTCAATATCTTTCCATTACACTCCATTCCTTTCTATTCCTTTTGATTCCATTCAATTCCATTCCATTCCATTCCATTCGACTGCCTTCCATTCGACTCTGTTCCATTCGAGTCCATTCCATTCCATTCCATTCCGTCCTGTTCGATTCCATTATGCTCTTGTCCATTCCATTCAATTCCATTCGATTCCAGTCCATTCCATTTAATTCCATTCCATTTGATCATATTCCATTCCACTCAATTCGACTCTGCTCCATTCCATTGCATTCCATTCTATTCCATTCCATTGCATTCCATTCCATTCCATTTGATTAAATTCCATTCGATTCCATTCCATTTGATTCCATTCCATACTATTTCATTCCATTCGATTCCATTCTTTTCGAACAAATTCCATTCGAGTCCATTCCTATCGAGTACATTCTATTTGGGTCCATTCCATTTGAGTCTATTACATTTGGGTCAATTCCATTCCATTCCATTGCATTCCATTCGATGCCATTCAATTCGATTCTCTTCCATTCAAGTCCATTCCATTCCATTCCATTCTATTCCATTCGATGTCATTCCATTTGATTCTATTCCATTCGACACCATTACATTCCATTTCGTTCCATCCAAATCCATTCCAAGCTATTCCTTTCCATTCCATTCCATTCCATTCCATTCCATTCCATTCCATTCCATTCCATACCATTCCATTCGTTTCCATCACATTCGAGTCCATTCCTCTCCATTCGAGTCCATTCCATTCCATTCGATATCTTCCCATTAAACTCCATTCCATTCTATTCCTTTCTATTCTTTTCCATTCCTTTCCATTGCATTCCATTCCATTCCATTCCATTTGAGTCCATTCTATTCGAGTCCATTCCATTCCATTCCATTCCATCCGATATACTTCCATTCCATTCCATTCCATTCTATTCGACTCCATTCCATTCGAGTCCATTCCATTCCATTCGACATCTTTCCGTTACACTCCATTCCGTTCTATTCCTTTTGATTCCATACAATTCCATTCCATTCTATTCCATTCCATTCATTTCCATTTCATTCGTGTCCATTGCATTCGAGGCCATTCCATTCCATTCCACTCCATTCTATTCCAATCCGTTCGATTCCATTTTGTTCCAGTACATTCCATTCGAGTCCATTCCATTCCATTCAATTCCATTCCATTCCATTCCTTTCCATATCTTTCCATTCCACTCAATTACACTCCTTTGCATTTTATTGCATTTCATTCTATTCCAATTCATTGCATACAATTCCATTCCATTTTATTACATTACATTTGAATCCATTCCATTCAAATCAATTACTTTGCAATTCATTGCATTCGAGTCTGTTCTATTCCAGTCCATTCCATTCCGGTTAATTCCATTTGATTGTGCTCCATTAGATTCCATTCCATACTATTGCATTCCATTCGATGCCATTCCATTTGTTTCTGTTCCATTCGAGTCTATTCCATTCGAGTCCATTCCATTCCATTCCATTCTATTCCATTCCATTCGAAGCCATTCCATTCAATTATATTCCATTCGACTCCTTTTCATTCCATTCAGATGCATCTAATTCCATTCCATTCTATTCCTTTCCATTCCATTCCATTCCATTCGTTTCCATTCCATTCGAGTCCATTCCTCCCCATTCCATTCCATTCGAGTCCATTCCATTCCACTCCATTACATTCAATATCTTTCCATTACAATCCCTTCCATTCTATTCCTTTCGATTCTATTCAATTCCTTTCCATTTGATACCATTCCATTAGATTCCATTCCATTTGATTCCATTCCAATCGGGTCTATTCCATTCCATTCGATATGTTTCCATTACACTCCATTCCATTCTATTCCTTTCGATTACATTCAATTCCATTCCATTCGATGCCATTCAATTCCAGTCCATTCCATTTGATTCCATTCCATTCGATTCCATTCCATTTAATTCCATTCCATTTAATTCCATTACACTCAATTCCACTCCATTCCATTCCGTTGCATTCCATTCCATTTGATTACATTCCATTCGATTCCATTGCATTCAAATCAATTACATTTCAATCCTTTACATTCTAGTCCGTTCTATTCCTGTCCATTCCAATCCGGTCCACTCCATTCAATCCCATTCCATTCAATTCCATTCCATACTATTGCATTACATTCAATTCTATTCTATTCGAATAAATTACATTCGAGACAATTCCTTTTGATTCCATTCTATTTGATTCCATTCCATTCGAGTCATTTACATTAGGTTCCATTCCATTCAATTCCATTCCATTTAATTTGATACCAATAAATTCGAATCTATTCCATTTGAATATATTGCACTCGAGTCCATTCCTTTCCGTTACACTCCGTTTGATGCCATTCCATTCGATTCTATTTCATTCAAATCCATTCCATTGCTTTCCTTTCCATCCTATTCCACTCCATTATGTTTCTTTCCATTCCATTCCATTCCGTTAGAGTCCACTCCACCCCAGTCCATTCCATTTGATTCCATTACCTTCCTGTCCATTACATTACAGTATATTCCATTCGAATTCATTCCATTCCATTTCATTCTATATCTTTCCGTTACACTCCATTCCATTCTATTCCTTTTGATTCCATTCAATTCCATTCCATTCGTTTCAATTCCATTCGATTCCATTCCATTTGATTCCATTCCATTTAACTCCATTCCATTCAAGTCCGCTTCATTTCATTACTTCCATTCCATTCCATTCCATTCCGATTGATTCCAATCCGTTCCATTCCATTTTGTTCCATTTCATTCCATTCGAGTCCATTCCATTCTAGTCCATTCTATTACATTGCATTCGAGTCCATTCCATTCCAATCCATTCCATTACATTGCATTCGAGTCCATTCCACTCCATGCTATTCCATCTGAGTCCATTCCATTCCATCCCATTCGAGACCATTCCCTTCCTTTAAATTCCACTCCATTTAACTCGGGTTCATTCCGTTGAATTCCATTGGAGTCAATTCCATTACATTCCTTTCAAGTCTATTCCATTGCATTCCATTATATTCAATTCCATTCCATTCCATTCCATTCCATTCCATTCGAGTCTATTCCATTTCATTCTATTCCATTGGATTCCTTTCCATTCCATTCCATTAGAGTCCATTCCATTAATTTCCATTGTAATCCATTCAAGTCCTTTCTTTCCATTCCATTCCATTCATTTCCATCCCATTCCTTTCAAGTCCATTCCATTCCATTCCACTGTACTCCATTCAAGTGCATTTCATTCCATACCATTCCATTCCATTCTAGTCCAATCCATTCCATTCCATTCCATTCCATTCCATTCCATTCCATTCCATTCCATTCCCTTCGGGTCCATTGATTTCCTTTCCATTCGAATGCATTCCGTTCCATTCTAGTCTATTCGATTCCATTACAATCCACTCGATTCCATTCCATTCCATTCCATTCCATTCCATCCCATTCCATTCCATTCCATTCCATTCTATTCCATTCCATTCCATTGCTTTCCCTTCCATTCCAATCGGGATGAGTCCATCGCACTCCATTCGAGTCCATTCCATTCCATTCGGGTTGATTCCATTCCAGTTCATTCCAGTACGTTTCATCACATTCCATCCTTATCGTGTCCATTCCATTCCAATCCATTCCACTCCATTCGAGTCCATTGCATTCCATTACAATAAATTCCATTCCATTCCATTCGGTTCCATGATTTTCCATTCCATTCCATTCAATCCTTACCATTCGAGTCTATTCAATTCCATTCGATTCCATTAAATTCCGTTAAATTCGAGTCCGTTCCATTCCATTATATTCTGGTCAATTCCTTTTGATTCCATATGAGTCCATTCCATTCCATTCCATTCCATTCGAGACCATTCCATTCCATTCCACATGAGTCCACTCCATTCCATTCCATTCCTTTCCATTCAAGCTCATTCCGTTCCATTCCATTCAGGTCCATTCCATACCTATCCTTTCGAATCCATTCCATTCTTATCCTTTCGAATCCATTCCATTCCATTCCTTCCCATTCGAGTCGAGTGTTTTCAATTCCATTCCATGACATACGGGTCCATTCCATTCGTGTCCATTATATTCCATTCCATTCGAGTCCACCAGATTGCATTCCATCCCATTTGAGTCCACACCACTCCATTCCACTTGAGTCCATTCCGTTCCATTCCATTCCAATCGGGTCCATTCCATTCCATTCCATTCGAGTCCACTACGTTCCGTTTCATTACATTCGAGTCCTTGCCATTCCATTCCACTCGATTCATTTCCATTCCATTCCATTTACATCCATTCCATTCCATTGGATTGCATTCCATTCAATTACATTTCAGTCCATTCCATTCCATTCCATTCCATTCCATTCCATTCTTTTGAGGCCATTTAATGCTTTTCCATACTATTCAAATCCATTCCATTCCATTCCATTCCTTCCCATTCCATTCAAGTACTTTCGTTTCTATTCCATTCCATTCGAGTCGGTTTCATTCCATTACAGTCCATTCTTTTCAAGTCCATTTCACACCGTTATTATCCATTCGACTCAAATCCATTCCATTCCGTTCCAGTCCATTAAAATCCATTCCACTCCATTCCATTCGAGTCCATTCCCTACCAATACATTGCACTCAAGTCCATCCCATTCCATCCAAGTCCATTACATTCCATTTCATTCGATTCCATTCTATTTCCTTCCATTCTATTCCATTCAATTCCATTACATTTCATTCCATTCAAATCCATTCCATTGCCTTCCATTCTATTCCATTCAGTTCCATTGCATTCCATTCCATTTCATTCCATTCAAATCCATTCCATTGCCTTCCATTCTATTCCATTCATTTCCATTCCAATCCATTCCATTTCCTTCCATTCAATTCCATTGTAGTTCATTCCATTCCATTGCATTCCATTCAATTCATGTCCATTCCATTCCACTCCATTCCATTTCATTCCTCTCCATTCCATTCCATTCCATTCCATTCCATTCGGATCAACTCAATTCTTTCCTTTCGAGTCCATTCCATTCCATTCCAATCCATTGCATGCCATTCAAGTTCATTCCACTGCCTTCCATTTCATTCTAATCATTGCAATTAATTCCATTCTATTCCACTTGAGTTGATTCCATTACATTCCATTCCATTCGGGTCCATTCCATTTCATTTGAACTCATTCCGTTCCATTCCATTCCTTTCGAGTCCTTTTCATTCCATTCCATCCCATTCCATTCTTTCCATTCTATTGCATTCCCTTCCATTCCATTCCATTTCATTCTTTTTGAGTCCATTTTACTCAACTGCATTCAATTCGAGTCCATTGCATTCCATTCCATTCCATTTCATTCCTTACCATTCCATTCCATTCCATTCCATTCTATTACATTCCTTTCCATTCGTGTCTATTCCAATCCATTCCATTCCATTCGAGTCCATTCCTCTGCATTCAGTCTCATTCGAGTCCATTCAATTCCATTCGAATCCTTTCCATTCCCCTTCACTCGATGGCATTCTATTCCATTCCATTTCATTCAAATCCATTCCAATTCATTTGGGTCCATTCCGTTCTATAACCTTCTGTTCGATTCCATTCCATTCCATTGCACTGCTTTCGGGTCCATTCAATTCCACTGCATTCTATTTGAATCCATTCCATTCCATTCCATTCCATTCCATTCCACTCCATTCCATTGAACTTGAGTCCATTCCATTCCTTTCCATTCGAGTCCATTCCATTCCATTTCTTCCCATTAGATTCCTGTCCATTCTATTCCTTTCCATTCGAGACCGTTCCATTCCATTCCATCCCATTCGAGTCCATTCCATTCCATTCCCTTCCATTCCATTCCATTCGAGCCCATTGAATTACTTTCCATTATATTCAAGTCAATTCCATGTCATACCGTTCCTTTCGAGTCCGCTTCATTCCATTCAATTCCATTGCATTTGAGTTTATTCCATTCAATTTTATTTCACTCTATTTGATTCCATTCAATTCCTTTCATTCCATTGGAGTCCATTCCATTCAATTACATTTCAGTATATTCCATTCAATACCATTCGCGTCCATTCAATTCCATTCCATTAGAGTCCATTCCTTTCTATTCCATTCTGGTCAATTGCATTCCATTCCATTCGAATCGATTCCACTCCATTACATTCGAGTCCATTCCTTTATATTCCACTCAAATCCATTGCATTCCTTTCGACTCCATTCCATTCCACTTTATTCGAGTCCATTCCATTCCTTTCCATTCTATGTCATTCAAGTCCATTCCTTTCCATTCAACATGAGTCCATTTCATTCCATTCCGTTTGACCCCATTCCATTCCATTCCATTAAATTCGAGTCTATTCCATTCCATTCGAGTCCTTTCCATTCCCTTCCATTCTCTTCCATTCGAGTCCTTTCCATTCCCTTCGATTCTCTTCCATTCAAGTCCAATCCATTCCATTCCATTCCAATCCATACCTTTCCATTCAATTCCATTCCAATTAATTCCATTCCATTCCAATTCATTCCATTCCATTCCATTTAATTCCATTCCATTCAATTCGAGTCCATTCCATTCCTTTCTGTTCCATTAGATTCTTGTCCATTCTATTCCTTTCCATTCGAGACTGTTCCATTCCATTCCATCCCATTTGAGTCCATTCCATTGCATTCTATTCCATTCCATTCCATTCCATTCCATTCCATTCTTTGCCATTCCATTCCATTCCATTCTATCCCATTCTATTTGAGTACTTTCCGTTCCCTTCTATTACATTCGATTCCATTCCCTTCCATTCCATTCCATTTGAGTCCATTGAATTACTTTCCATTTCATTACAGTCAATTCCATGTCATTCCGTTCCTTTTGAGTCCACTTCATTCCATTCAATTCCATTGCATTTGAGTTTATTCCATTCAATTTAATTTCATTCTATTTGATTCCATTCAATTCGTTTCATTCCATTGGAGTCCATTCCATTCAATTACATTTCAGTATATTCCATTCAATTCCATTCCGTTAGAGTCCATTCCTTTCTATTCCATTCTGGTCAATTGCATTCCATTCCATTCGAATCCATTCCACTCCATTCCATTCGAGTCCATTCCATTATATTCCACTCAAATCCATTGCATTCTTTTTGACTCCATTCCATTCCACTTTATTCGAGTCCATTCCATTCCTTTCCATTCTATGTCATTCAAGTCCATTCCTTTCCATTCAACTTGAGTCCATTTCATTCCATTCCGTTTGACTCCATTCCATTCCATTCCATTAAATTCGAGTCCATTCCGTTCCATTCGAGTCCTTTCCATTCCCTTCCATTCTCTTCCATTCGAGTCCTTTCCATTCCCTTCGATTCTCTTCCATTCAAGTCCATTCCATTCCATTCCATTCCATTCCATTCCAGTTCATTCCTTTCCATTCAATTCCATTCCATTCCATTCCATTCCATTCCATTCCATTCCATTCGAGTCCATTCCATTCCATTCTATTCCATACCATTCGAGTCCATTCCATTTAATTCCAATCCATTCGAGCACATTTCATTCCATTGAATTCCATTCCAGTAGAGTTAATTCCATTCCATTACATTCCATTCCGGTCGAGTCCATTCAATGCCATTCCATTCCATTAGAGTCCCTTCATTCAATGGTATTCCATTTGAGTCCATTCCGTTCCATTACATTTGAGTCCATTCCATTCAAACCAATTCCACTGCAGTACATTCTACTCCATTCCATTCCCTTTGTTTCGATTCCATTCCAATCCATTTCATTTCAGCAAAATTCATTGCATTCCATTTGAGAACATTCCATTCCCTTCCATTGGTGTACCTTCCATTCATTTCCAATCAAGTCAATTCAATTCTATTCAATTAGAGTCCATTCCATTCCATTCCATTCCATTCCATTGCATTCCATCCCATTGCTTTTGTTTCCATTCAATTTATTTCCTTTCCATTCGACTACATTCCTTTCCATTCTATTCAAGTCCATTCCATTCATTCTATCCCACTGCTTTTGAGTCCAATCAATTGCATTCCATTCCATTCGAGTCCATTATATTCCACTAGAGTCCATTCCATTGCATTACATTCCATTCGAGTCTCTTACGTTCTATTCCATTCGAATCCATTCCATTCAAATCCATTAAAGTCCGTTCCATTAAATACCATTGTATTCCATTCGAGTCCATTACATTTCATTTCGTTCCGTTCATGTCCATTCCATTCGTGTCCACTCCATTTCATTCCAAACCATTTGTGCACATTTCATTCCATTGCATTCCATTCCAATCGAGTTCATTCCATTCCCGTACATTATATTCCATTCGAGTACATTGAATATCATTCCATTCCATTCGAGTTCATTCCATTCAATGGTATTCCTTTTGAGTCCATTCCATTCAATTACATTTGAATCCATTCCATTCAAAGCAATTCCACTCCAGTCCATTCTATTCCATTCCAGTCCATTCGTTTCTATTCCATTCATTTCAATTCCATTTGAACAAATTTCATTCCATTCCATTCCATCAGTGTCCATCCCATTCCATTCCATTCCATTCCATTCCATTCCATTCCATTCCATGAGTCCATTCCATTCAATTCCATTCGAGTGAATTCCATTCTTCTATTCCATTTGAGTCCATTCCATTGCATTCCATTCCATTCGAATCCATTCCGTTCCATTCCATTAGAGTCCATTCCATTGCATTCCATCTCACTGCTTTTGATTCCATTCAATTTATTTCCTTTCCATTGGACTCCATTCCATTCCATTCGATTCCATTACATTGCATTTCATCCCACTGCTTTCAAGACTACTCAATTTCATTACATTACACTCGAGTGCATTCCATTCCATTCCATTCGAGTACATTCCATTGCATTCCATTTCGTTCGAGTCTATTCAATACTATTCCATTTCAGGCCATTCCATTCCATTCCATTAGAGTCCGTTCCATTAAATTCCATTAAATTCCATTCGAGTCCATTCCACTAAATTCCATTATATTCCATTCGAGTCAATTACATTCCATTTCGTTCCATTCATGTCCATTCCATTCCTTTCAAGTCCATTCCATTGCATTCCTTTCCATTCCTTTCTATTCCATTCAATTCCATTCGTGTCCATTCCATTTGAGTCCATTCCATTGCATTGCATTCCATTCGAGTCTATTCCATTCTATTTCATTCGAGTCCATTCCACTCCATTCCATTAAGGTCCGTCCCTTTAAATTTCATTGTATTAAATTCATGTCAATTCCATTCCATTTCATTCCATTCCATTCATTTCCATTCCATTCCATTCAAGTACATTCCATTCCATTCCTTTCAAGACCACTCGAATCCTTTCCATTCTGTTCCCTTCAAGTCAATTCCAATCCATTATATTCCATTGAAGTCCATTCCATTCCATACCTTTCAATTCCATTCCGTTCCATTCCATTCGGGTGGATTAAATTCCATTCCATTAGAGTCCATTCCATTCTATTCCATTCGGGTGGATTCCATTCCATTCCATTCCAGTACAATCCATTTCATTCCATCCCTTTCGAGTCCATTCCATTCCAAACCATTCCATTACATTCGATTCCATTACATACCATTCCATTAAATTCCATTTCATTCCGTTCAGTTCATTTAGTTTCCATTCCATTCCACACCATTCCGTTCCATTCGAGTACATTCGTTTCCACGTGGTTCCATTAAATTTCATTAAATTAGAGTCCATTCCATTTCATTCCATTAAAATTATATCCTGGTCCATTACTCTCCATTCCATTTGAGTCCATTCCATTACATCCATTCCATTCGAGACCATTCCTTTCCATTCCACTCAAGTCCATTCCTTTCCATTCCATTCATTTCCATTCCATTCCATTCCATTTCATTCCATTCCATTCGATTCGGGTCCATTCCATTCCTATCCTTTCGAATCCATTCCATTGCATTCCTACTGATTAGAGTCCATTCCTTTCCTTTCCATTCCATTCCATTACATACGAGTCCATTCCATTCCATTGCATTCCATTCAGGTCCATTCCATTCCATTTAATTCGAGTCCACTACATTGCATTCCATCCCATTCGATTCCCTTCCATTCCATTCCACTAGAGTCCATTCCATTCCATTCCTTTCCATTGCATTCCATTCCATTCCATTCAGGTCCATTCCATTCCATTCGAGTCCACTACATTCCATTCCATCCAATTCGAGTCCATTCCATTCTGCTCCACTCGATTCATTTCCATTCCATTCCATTGGATTTCATTCCATTCAATTCCGTTCCAGTCCATTCCATTCCATTCCATTCTATTCTATTCCATTCATTTCGTGGAGACTTATTTCCATTCCATACCATTCGAATCCATTCCATTCTATTCCATTCAAGTACTTTCCAATCTATTCTATTCCATTCGAGTCCGTTTCATTCCATTCCTTTCCAGTCCATTTGAATCCATTCTTCTTCATTCCATTCGAGTACATTGAATACCAAACCATTCCACTGGAGTCCATTCTATTCCATTAGACTCCATTCCATTTAATTTCATTTGAGTCCATTCCATTGCCTTCCATTCTATTCCATTCCATGTCATTCCATTCCAATCCATTCCATTCCATTCCATTTCATTCCTTTCAATTATATTTCAGACCATTATATTCCATTCCAATCGTGTCGATTCCATTCCATTCTATTCCAGTTCATTCCTCTCCATTCGATTCCTTTTTATTCCATTCCATTCGGATCCATTCAACTCTTTCCATTCGAGTCCATTGCATTCCATTCCATTCCATTCAATTTTGTTCCTTTCCACTGTAAGCCATTCGAGTTCATTCCACTGCATTCCATTTCATTTGATTCCATTCCAATCAATTCCATTCTATTCCACTTGGGTGGTTTCTATTGCATTCCATTCCATACGTTTCCATTCCATTTCATTTGAATTCATTTTTTTCCATTCCATTCGATTCGATTCCATTTCATTCCATTCCATCCCATTCCATTCCTTTCCATTCTAATGCAATCCATTCAAATCCTTTCCATTCCATTCCACTCCATTCCATTCCTTTCCATTCAACTCCATTCCATTCCTTTCCATTCCATTCCAGTCCATTCCATTCCGTTCCATTCCATTCCATTCCTTTCGGGTCCATTCTCATCAACTGCATTCAATTCGAATCCATTCCGTTCTATTCCATTCCTTACCATTCCATTACATTCCATTTCATTCCATTCCATTGCATTCAATTCCATTCCATTCCATTCGTGTCTATTCCATTCCATTCCATTCCACTCGGGTTGATTCCAATCCATTCCATTCCATTGCATTCCATTCCATTCCTTTCCATTCCATTGCATTCCATTCCATTCCATTCCATTCCATTCCATTCCATTCCATTCCATTCCATTCCACTCTGCTTGATTCCATTCCACTCCAATCCATTCCATTCAATTCCACTCGGGTTGATTGAATTCGATTCCATTTCATTTTATTCCATTCCATTCCATTCCATTCCATTCCATTCCATTCCATTCCACTCTTGTTGATTCCATTCCATTCCATTCAATTGCATTGCATTCCATTCGATTCCATTCCAGTTGATTCCGTTTCATTCCATTCCATTCCATTCCACTAGGGTTGATTCCACTCCATTCCATTCCATTCCACTCGGGTTGATTCAATTCAATTCCATTCCATTCCATTCCATTCCTTTCCACTCGGGTTGACTCAATTCCATTCACTTCCATTCCATTCCACTCGGGTTGATTCCATTCCTTTCCATTCCTTTCCCTTCCCTTCCGTTCCATTCCATTCCACTCCATTCCGTTCCTTTCCATTCCACTCCATTCCATTCCTTTCCATTCCATTCCAGTCCATTCCATTCCGTTCCATTCCGTTCCATTCCTTTCGGGTCCATTCTCATCAACTGCATTCAATTCGAATCCATTCCATTCTATTCCATTCCTTACCATTCCATTACATTCCATTTCATTCCATTCCATTGCATACAATTACATTCCATTCCATTCGTGTCTATTCCATTCCATTCCATTCCACTCGAGACCATTCCACTGCATTCAATCTCATTCGTGTCCATCAAATTCAGTTCCATTCCATTCCACTCGACTCGACTCCTTTACGTTCCATTTCATTCAAATACATTCCAATTCATTTGAGTCCATTCTGTTCCACTCCATTCCAGTAGAGTATATTTCATTTCATACATTTCCATTCCATTCCATTCCTTTCCATTGCGTTCGGGTCCAATCAATTCAAATGCATTCCCATTGATTCCATTCCATTCCCTTCCATTCCATTCATTTACATTCCTTTCGGGTCCAATCATTTCCGTTCCATTCGAGGCCATTCCTTTCCACTCCATTCCATTCCACTCGAGTCCATTTCTATACATTCCTTCCCATTCGAGTCCATTCCATTCCATTGCATTACATTCTTGTCCATTCCAGTCCTTTCCATTCGAGTCTGTTCCATTCCATTACATCCCATTCGAGTCCATGCCATTCCAATCCATGCCATTCCACTCCATTCCAGTCTTGCCTTTCCATTCTTTTCCATTCTATTACTATCCCTTCCATTACACTCCATTTGAATATATTCAATTACATTCCATTCCATTCGAGTCCGTTCTATTCCATTCTGTTAGATTCGAGTCCGTTTCATTCCATCCAATTCAATTCAACTGCATTCCATTTGATTCCATTCCATTCCATTTCATTCCATTCCATTCCATTCCACTCTACTTGATTCCATTCCATTCCATTCCATTCCATGCCATTCCATTCCACTCTGATTGATTCCACTCCATTATATTCCATTCCATTCCATTCCACTCGGGTTGATTCCATTCCATTCCATTCCATTCCATTGCATTCCCTTCCATTCCATTCCATTCCATTCATGTTGATTCCATTCCATTCCATTCCATTCCAATCCATTCCATTCCATTCCACTCGGGTTGATTGAATTCAATTCCAATTCATTCTATTCCATTCCATTCCATTCCACTCTTGTTGCTTCCATTCCATTCCATTCAATGGCATTGCATTCCATTTGATTCCATTCCAGTTGATTCCTTTCCATTCCATTCCATTCCATTCCATTCCACTAGGGTTGATTCCATTCCATTCCATTCCACTTGGGTTGATTTCATTCAAATCCATTCCATTCCATTCCATTCCATTCCATTCCACTCGGGTTGACTCAATTCCATTCACTTCCATTCCATTCCACTCAGGTTAATTCCATTCCATTCCATTCCTTTCCCTTCCCTTCCATTCCATTCCATTCTAATCCATTCCATTCCATTCCATTCCACCCGGGTTGATTCCAATCCATTCCATTCCATTCCTTTCCATTCCATTCCATTCCACTGCATTCCATTCCATTCCATTCCACTCGGGTTGATTCCATCCCATTCCATTCAGTTGCATTGCATTCCATTCCATTCCATTCCAGTTGATTCCATTCCATTCCATTCCATTCCATTCCATTCCATTCCATTCCATTCCACTAGGTTTGATTCCATTCCATTCCATTCCATTCCATTCCATTCCATTCCATTCCATTTCATTCCTTTCCATTCCACTCTATTCCACTCGGGTTGATTACAATTCACTGCATTATATTCCATTCCATACGATTCCATTCCCTTCCATTCCATTCCACACAGGTTGATTCAATTCCATTCAATTCCATTCAATTTCATTCCATTCCTCTCGGGTTGATTCCATTCCATTCCATTCCATTCAAGTTGAATCCCTTAAATGCCAATCCATTCCTTTCCATTCCATGCGTGTTGATTCCATTCAATTCCATTCCATTCCATTCCATGCCATTCCATTATATTGCATTCCATTCCATTCCTTTACAGTTGATTCCATTCAATTCCATTCCATTCCATTCCATTCCATTCTATTGCATTCCAGTCGTGATGATTCCACTCAATTCCAGTCCATTCCATTACATTCCAGTTGATTTCATTCCTTTAAATTCTATTCCATTCCATTCCATTTCATTCCATTCAATTCCTTTCCATTCCACTCGGGTTGATTCCATTCCATTCCATTCCATTCCATTCCAATCAGGTTGATTCCATTCCATTCCATTCCATTCCATTCCATTCCATTCCATTCTATTCCATTCCATTCCACTCGGGTTGATTCCATTCCACTGAACTCAATTCCATTCCATTCCATTCCACTCGGGTTGATTCCATTCCATTCCGTTCCATTTCATTCCATTCCATTCCATTCCAGTCCATTGCATTCTATTCCAGCTGATTCCATTCCATTCCATGCCATTCCATTCGTGTTGATTCCATTCCATTCCATTCCATTCCATTCCATTCCATTCCATTCCATTCCACTCAGGTTGATTCTATTCCATTCCATGCCATTCCATTCCATTCTATTCCAATCCATTCCATTCCACTCTATTCCACTCGTGTTGATTACATTCGATTCCATTATATTCAATTCCATTCTATTCCATTCCATTCCACTCGGTTGGATTCCATTCCATTCCATTCCATTCCATTTCATTCCATTTCGCTTGGGTTGATTCCATTCCATTCTATTCCATTCCATTCCATTCCATTTCACACGGGTTGATTCCATTGCATTCCATTCCATTCCATTCCATTCTATTCGATTCCATTCCATTTCATTCCACTCGGGTCGATTCCATTCTGTTCCATTCTATTCCATTCAATTCCGTTCAACTTGGGTTGATTCCATTCCATTCCATTCCATTATATTCCATTCCATCCAATTCAATTCCATTCCATTCCACTCGGGTTGATTCCATTCTGTTCCATTCCATTCCATTCCCTTCCATTCCACTCGGGTTGATTCCATTCTGTTCCATTCCATTCCATTCCCTTCCATTCCAATCGGGTTGATTCCATTCCATTTCATTCCATTCCATTCCACTCGGGTTGATTCAATTCTATTGCAATCCATTCATTTCCATTCCATTGCAATCGGTTTGATTCCTTTCCTTTCCATTCCTTTCCATTCCAGGCCATTACTCTCAGGTTGATTCCATTCAGTTCCATTCCATTGAATTCCATTCCATTCCATTCCATTCCACTCGAGTTGTTTCTACTCTGTTCCATTGCATTCCATTACACTCGTGTTGATTCCATTTCTTTCCATTTCATTCCATTGCCTTCCATTACACTCGTGTTGATTCCATTTCTTTCCATTTCATTCCATTGCCTTCCATTCCATTCCATTCCATTCCATTGCATTCCATTCCTTTCAATTCCATTCCACTCACGTTGATTCCATTCCATTCCATTCCATTGCTTTCCATTCTATTCCACTAGAGTTGATTCCTTTCCATTTCATTCCATTCCATTCCATTCCACTCGAGTTGATTCCATTCCATTCCATTACATTACATTACATTCCACTCGGGTTGATTCATTTCCATTCCATTGCATTCCATTGCATTCCACATGGGTTGTTTCTATTCCATTCCATTTCATTCCATTCCATTCCACTCTGGTTGATTCCATTCCATTCCATTCCATTATATTCCATTCAATTCCATTCCTTTCCATTCCAGTGCATTCCACTCCAGTTGATTCCATTCCTTTCCATTCCATTCCATTGCGTTCCATTCCACTCGCGTTAATTCTATTCCATTCCATTCCATTCTATTCCATTCCTTTCCACTCGTATTGGTTCCATTCCTTTTCATTCCCCTCCATTCCATTCGATTTCATTGCATTCCATTCCATTTCATTCCATTCCACTCGGATGGATTCCATTACATTCAACTCCATTCCATTCCATTCCATTCCATTCCATTCCATTCCATTCCATTCCATTCCATTCCACTCGGTTTGATTCCATTCCATTCCATTCCATTCCATTCCATTCCACTCCATTCCATTCCGTTCCACTCGGGTTGATTCCATTCCATTCCATTCCATTTCATTCCATTCCATTCCATTCCACTCCATTCCATTCCGTTCCATTCCATTCCACTCGGTTTGATTTCATTTCATTCCATTCCATTCCATTCCATTCCATTGCATTCCACTAGGGTTGATTCCATTCCATTCCATTTCATTCCATTCCAATCCATTCCATTCCTTTTCACTCGGGTTGATTCCATTCCTTTCCATTCCATTCCTTTCCATTCCATTCCATTAAACTCGTGTCGATTCCATTCCATTACATTCCATTCAAGTCCATTCCATTCCACTCGGGTTCATTCCATTCCATTCCATTCCATTCCATCTCATTTCATTCCATTCCATTCCACTCGGGTTGATTCCATTCCATTCCATTCCACTCCAATCCATTCCATTCCATTCCACTCAGGTTGAATCCATTGCATTCGGTTCCATTTCGTTCCATTCCATTCCAATTCATTCCGTCCCTCTCGGGTTGACTTAATTTCATTCCATTCCAATCCTTTCCATTCCATTCCACTCGGGTTCATTCCATTCCATTCCATTCCATTCCATTCCATTCCATTCCATTCCATTGCATTCTAGTTGATTCAATTCCATTTGTTTCCATTCCATTCCATTCCATACCCCTCGTGTTGATTCCATTCCATTCCGTTCCATTCCAAACCATTCCATTCCATTTCAGTTGATTCCATTCCATTCCATTCCAATCCATTCCGTGCCATTCCATTCTACTCCATGCCACTCGGGTTGATTGCATTCTATTCCATTCCATTCCATTCCATTCCATTCCATTCCATTCCATTCACTTGGGTTGATTCCATTCCATTCCATTCCATTACATTACATTACATTACATTCCACTCGCGTTTTTCCATTCCATTGGATTGCATTACATACCATTCCGTACCATCCCAATCGGTTTGATTACCTTCCGTTCCATTCTGTTGCATTCCATTCCATAAACTTCCATTCCAGTTGATTCCATTCCATTCCATTCCATTCCATTTCATTCCACTCGGGATGATTCTAATCCTTTCCATTCCATTCCAATCTATTCCATTCCATTCAACTCGGTTTGATTCCATTCCATTCCATTCCATTCCATTCCATTCCATTTCATTCCATTCCATTCCTTACCATTCTACTCGTGTTGATTCCATTCCATTCCATTCCATTTCATACCATTCCAGTTTTTTCCATTCCATTCCATTCCATTCTATTCCATTCCATTCCATTCGCGTTGATTCCATTCCTTTCCATTCCATTCCAGTCCATTCCCCTCGGGATGATTCCATTCCATTCCATTCCATTCCATTCCATTCCATTCCATTCCACTCGGGTTGATTCCATTCCATTTCATTCCATTGTATTCTTTCCATTCCATTCCATTCCATTCCACTCGGCTTGATTCCATTCCATTTCATTCCATTCCATTCCGTTCGGTAAATTCCATTCTATTCCACTCCGGTATATTCCATTCCAATCCATTCCATTCCATTCCATTCCATTCCACTCTGGTTGATTCCATTCCATTCCATTCAATTCCATTCCATTCATTCCATTCCACTCGGGTTGATTCCATTCCTTTCCATTTCATTCAATTCCATTCCATTCTGGTTCACACCATTCCATTGCATTCCATTCCGTTCCATTAAATTCCATACAATTACATTCCATTCCACACGTTTTGATTCCATTCCATCCCATTCAATTCTATTCCATTCCATTCCATTCCATTCCATTCCTCTCGGGTTGATTCAATTCCATTCCTATCCATTCTTTTCCATTTCATTCCACTCGGGTTGATTCCATTCCATTCCATTCCATTCCATTCCATTTCATTCGGGTTGGTTCCATTCCATTTCTTTCCATTCCATTCCATTCCACTCCACACTGATTGATTTCATTCCAGTCCCTTCTATTCCTTTCCATTCCATTCCATTCCATTCGACTCGTGTTAATTCCACACAATTCCATAACATTCCATTTCATTCCATTGATTCCATTCCACTCGGATTGATTCCATTCCATTCTATTCTTTTCCACTCGGGTTGATGCCATTCCTTTCCATTCCCTTCCATTCCATTCCACTCGGGTTGATTCAATTCAATTCCATTCCATTCCATGCCACTCCATTCCATTCAACTCCGGTTGATTCCATTCCATTCCGTTCCATTCCGCTTCTTTCCATTCCATTCCATTCCATTCCTGTTGATTCCATTCCATTGCATTCCATTCCATTCCATTCCATTCCATTCCACTCGTGTTGATTCCATTCCATTCCATTCAACTCCGTTCCATTCCATTCCATTCCATTCCATTCCATTCCATTCCATTCCACTCAGATTGATTCCATTCCATTTCATTCCATTCCACTCCATTCCATTCGAATACTTTCCACTCGGGTTGATTGCATTCCATTTCATTCCATTTCATTCCATTCCATTCCATTCCATTCCATTCCATTCCATTCCATTCCATTCCACTAGGATTGATTCCATTCCATTCCATTCCATACCTTTCCACTCTGGTTGTTTCCATTCCATTACTATTCATTCCATTCCATTTAATTCAATTCCATTCGATTCCCTTCCATTCCATTTCAGTTGATTCCATTCCATTCCATTCCATTCCATTCAGATTGATTCTATTCCATTCCCTTCAATTCCACTCGGGTTAATTCCATTCAATTCAGTTCCGTTCCATTCCAGGCCATTCCATTCCATTCCACTCAGATTGATTCTATTCCATTCCATTCCGTTCTATTCCATTCCGTTCTATTCCATTCCATTCCATTCCATTCCATTCCATTCCATTCCATTCGTATTGATTCTATTCCATTCCTTTCCATTCCATTCCATTCCAATTGTGTTGATTCCATTCCATTCCTTTCTATTCCATTTTATTTCACTGGGGTTGATTCCATTCCATAGCATGCCTTTCCACTCGTGTTGATTCCATTCCATTCCATTCCATTCCATTCCATTCCATTGCATTCCATTCCACTAGGGTTGATACCATTCCATTCCATTCCATTCAGGTTTATTCCTTTCCATTCCATTCCATTCCATTCCATTCCATTCCATTCCATTCCTTTCCTTTACATTCGATTTCATACCATTCCACTCGGGTTTATTCCAATCCATTCCATTCCATTCCATTCCATTCAACTCCATTTCATTCCATTTCATTCCCCTCGGATTGATTCAATTCCATTCCTTTTCATTCCATTCCATTCCATGCCATTCCAGTTGATTCCATTCCATTCCGTTCCTCTCCATTCCACTCCTTTACATTACATTGCATTCCATTGTATTCCACTCACGTTGATTCTATTCCATTCCATTCCATTCCACTCGGGTTGATTCCATTCCCTTCCATTACATTCTATTCCATTCCACTCCACTCGCTTTGATTCCATTCCATTGAATTCCATTCCATTCCATTCCACTGGCGTTGATTCCATTCCATTCCATTCCATTCAATTCCATTCCACTCGTGTTGATTCAAATCCATTACATTACATAACATTACATTACATTAACTTCCATTCCAGTTGATTCCATTCCATTTTTTTCAATTCCATTCTACTCCACTCTCGTTGATTCCATTCCATTCCTTTTCATTCCATTCCATTCCACTCCATTCCTTTCCACTCGGGTTGTTTCCATTCCATTCCTTTCCATTGAATTCCATTCCACTCGTGTTGATTCCTTTCCATTCCATTCCATTCCATTAGATTCCATTCCATTCCACCCTGGTTGATTCCATTCCATTTCATTTCTTTCCATTCCATTCTATGTCTTTGCATTGCATTGCATTCCACTCGGGTTGATTCCATTTCATTCTATTCCATTCCATTCCGTTCCTTTCCATTAAAGTCCTCTCGGGTTTATTGCATTCCATTCCATTCCATTATATACCATTCCACTCCATTCCATTCCATACAATTCCACTCTGGTTGATTCCATTCCATTCCATTCCATTCCATTCCATTCCATTCCATTCTATTCCACTGGGGTTGATTCCTTTCCATTTGATTCCATTCCATTCCATTCTACTCGGGTTGATTTGATACCATTCCATTCCATTCCATTCCATTCCGTTCCACTCTGGTTCATTCCATTCGATTCCAATCCATTCCATTGCATTCCATTGCATTCCACTCGTGATGATTCCATTCCTTTCCAATTCAAACTGAGTGGAATGAAATGGAATGGAATGGAATGGAATGGAATGGAATGGAATGGAAACATCCCGAGTGGAAATGAAAGGAATGGAATTGAATGCAATGGAATGGACTGGAATTGAATGGAATGGATTGGAATGGAATGGAATGGATTAGAATGGAATGGAAAGGAAAGGAATCAACTCGAGTGGAATGGAATGGAATGGAATGCAATGGAAGGGAACTGAAAGGAATGGAATGGTATGGAATGGAATGGAATGGAATGAAATAGAATTAACACCAGTGGAATGTAATGAAATGTAAAGGAAAGTAATGGAATTAACTGGAATGGAATGAAATGGAATGGAATCAACACGAGTGGAATGGAATGGAATGGAATGGAATAGAATCAAAACAACTGGAATGGAATGGAATGGAAGGGAAGGGATTGGAATGGAATGGTATCATTCTCAGTGAAATGGACTGGATTGGAATGGAATGGAATGAAATGTAATGGAATGAAATCAACCCGAGTAGAATGGAATGGAATGGAATGGAATGAACACGAGTGAAATGGAATGGAATGTAATGGAATGGAATTGAAAGGAATGTAATGAAATGGAATCAACCCGAGTGGAATGGAATGGAATGGAATGGAATGGAATGGAATAGAACGGAATGGAATGAAATGGAATGGAATGGAGTCAAACGGAGTGGAATGGAATGGAAAGGAATGTAATGGAATGGAATGGAATCAACAGGAATGGAATTGAAAGGAATGGAATGGAATGGAATCGAAGGGAAGGGAATCAACCCGAGTGGAATGGAATGGAATGGAATGGAATGGAATGGAATGGAATGGAATGAAATCAACCCGAGAGTAATAGAATGGAATTTAATGGAATGGAATGGAATGGAATCAACTGGAATGGAATGGAATAAAATGGACTGGAAAGAAATCAACCCGAGTGGAATGGAACGGAATGGAAAGGAAGGGAATGGAATGGAATGGAATGGAATGGAATGAACCCAAGTGGAATGGAATGCAATGGAATGGAATGGAATGGAATGGAATGGAATGGAATGGAATGGAATGAACCCAAGTGGAATGGAATGCAATGGAATGGAATGGAATGGAATGGAATGGAATAGAATGGAATGGAATGGAAAGGATTCAACCCGATTGGAATGGAAGGGAATGGAATTGTATGGATTGGAACCAACCCGAGTGGAATGGAATGGAATGGAATGGAATGGAATGGAATCAACCCGAGTGCAATGGAATGGAATTGAATGGAATGGAATGGAATCAACCCTAGTGGAATGGAAAGGAATGGAATGGAATGGAATGGAACAGAATGGAATCAACCCGAGTGGATTGGAAAGGAATGTAATGGAATGGAATGGAATGGAGTCAATCCGAGCGAAATGACATGGATTGGAATGCAATGGAATGGAATGGAAGGGAATGGAATAGAATGGAAAGGATTGGAATCAAAAGGAATGGAATGGAATGGAATGGAATGGAATGGAATGGAATGGAATGGAATGGAATGGAATGGAATGGAATGGAATCAACCCTAGTGGAAAGGAATGATATGGAATGGAATGGAATGGAACGAAATGGAATGGAATGAAATAAATCTGAGTGGATTGGAATGGAATGGAATGGATTAGAATGGAATGGAATGGAATCAACACGACTGGAATAGAATGGAATGGATTGGAAAGGAATGAAATCAACCTGAGTGGAATGGAATGGAATGGAATAGAATGGAATGGAATGGAATCAACTGCAATGGAATGGAATGCAATGGAATGGAATGGAATGG
The DNA here is from genome assembly GCF_000001405.40 of Homo sapiens. NCBI lineage: Eukaryota > Metazoa > Chordata > Mammalia > Primates > Hominidae > Homo > Homo sapiens. The sequence continues at coordinate 89,837,075 of NC_000002.12, forward strand.
AATGGAATTCAATAGAATGGAATCAACAAAATTGGAATGGAATGGAGTGGAAGGGAAAGGAATGGAATGGAATGGAATGGAATTTAATGGAATGGAATCAACCCGAGTGGAATGGAATGGAATGGAATGGAATGGAATGGAATGGAATGGAATGGAAAGCAATGGCAAGAATTGGAATGGAAAGGAATCGACCCGAATGGAATGGAATGTAATGAAATGGAATGGAATGGAATGGAAGGGAATGGAGAAGAATGGAATGCAATGGAATGGAATGGAATGGAATGGAAAGCAATGGCAAGAATTGGAATGGAAAGGAATCGACCCGAATGGAATGGAATGTAATGAAATGGAATGGAATGGAATGGAAGGGAATGGAGAAGAATGGAATGCAATGGAATGGAATGGAATGGAATGGAATGGAATGGAATGGAATGGAATGCAATCAACACGAATGGAATGGTTTGGAATTTAATGGAACGGAATAGAATGTAATTGAATGGAATCAACCCGTGTAGAATGGAATACAATGGATTGGAATTGAATGGAATTGAATTGAAAAAATCCGAGTGGAATGGAATGGAATGGAATGGAATGGATTGGAATGGAATGGTATGCAATGGAATGGAATGCAATGGAATGGAATGAATTGGAATGTAATCAACCCGAGTGGAATGGAATGGAATGGAATCGTATTTAATGTTTTGGAATGGTATCAAAATGAGTGGAATGGAATCGATGGGAATGGAATGGAATGCAATGGAATGGAATGGAATGGAATGGATTGGAATGGAATCAACCCGAGTGGAATGTAATGTAATGTAATGGATTGGAATAGAATGGAATGGAACGCAATGAAACAGAGTAGGATAGAATGGAATGAAAAGGAATTGAATTGAATTGAATGGAATGGAATCAACAAGATTAGAATGGAATGGAGTGGAATGGAATTGAATGGAATGGAATGGAATCAACCCGTGTGGAATGGAACGGAACGGAATGCAATGGAATGGAATGGAATGGAATGGAATGGAATGGAATGGAATGGAATGGAATGGTATGGAATGGAATAGAATCAAACCGAGTGGAATGGAAAGGAATGGAATGGCATGGAATGGAATGGAATGAAATGGGATAGAAGGGAATGGAATCAACCCGAGTGGAATGGAATGGAATGGAATGAAACTTAAAGGAATGTAAGGGAAAGGAATGGAATGGAAACAACCCGAGTGGAATGGAATGAAATGGAATGGAATGGAATGGAATCAACCTGAGTGGAACGAAAGGGAATGGAATGGAGTGCAATGGAATGGATTCGAATGGAATGGAATCAACCTGAATGGAATTTAAAGGAAAGGAATGGAATGGAATGGAATGGAATGGAATGGAATGGAATTGCATCAACACGAGTGGAATGGAATGGAATTGAATGGAATTTATTGGAATGGAATGGAATGGAATGGAATTTAATCAACCTGAGTAGAACGGAATGGAATGGAATGAAATGGAATGGAATGGAATCAACCCGAGTGGAATGATATGGAATGGAATGGAATGGAATGGAATGGAATGGAATGGAATGGAATGGGATGGAATGGAATGGATTGGAATGGAATGGATTGGAATGGAATGGAATGGAATGGAATGGAATGGAATGGAATGGAATGGAATCTACCTGTGTGGAATGGAATGGAATGGAATGGAATGGAATGGAAAGTAGTGGAATGGTATGGAATCAACCCGAGTGGAAAGGAATGGAATAGAAGGAAATGGAATGGAATGGAATGGAATCAAACCGAGTTGAATGGAATGGAATGGAACGGAATGGAAGGGAGTGGAATGGAATTTTATCATCACGAGTGGAATGCAATGGAAAGGAAGGAAAGGGAATGCAATGGAATGGAATCAACCCAAGTGGAATGGAATGGAATGCAATGGAATGGAATGAAATGGAATGGAATGCAATAAAATGGAATGGAATGGAATGGAATCAACACGAATGAAATGGAATGGAATCAACCCGATTGGAATGGAATAGAATGGAGTGGAAAGGAATGGAATGGAATGGAATGGAATGGAATGGAGTGGAATCAAACCGAGTGGAATGGAAGGAAATGGATTGCAATAGAATGGAATGGAATAAAATGGAATGAAAGGAATGGAATCAACCCGAGTGGAATGGAATGGAGTTGAATGGAATAGAATGGAATGGAATTTAAAGGAATGGAATCAACTCGAGTGGAATGGAATGGATTGGAATGGAAGGAATGAAATGGAATGGAATGAACACGAGTGGAATGCAATAGAAAGGAATGGAATTGAATGGAATGGAATGGAATGGAATGGATTGGAATGGTTTGAAATGGAATAGAATGGAATGGAATGAAATGAAATGGAATGGAAAGGAATCAACGTCAGTAGAATAGAATCGAATGGAATTGAATAGAATGGAATCTAATTGAATGGAATGGAATGGAATGGAATGGAATGGAATGGAATGGAATGGAATGGAATTGAAAGGAATGGAATGAAAGGGAATGGTATAGAATGGAATGGCATGGAATGGAAACAACCCGAATGGAATGGAATGGAATGGAATGAAAAGGAATGGAATCAACCAGAGTGGAATGGAATGGAATGGAATGGAATGGAATGGAATGGAATGGAATGGAATGGAATTCAACAGAATCGAATCAACCCGAGTGGAATCAACTGGAATGGAATGGACTGGAATGGAATGGAATGGATTGGAATGGAATGGAATGGAATCAACCCCAGTGGAATGGAAAGCAATGGAATCGAATCAATTGGAATGCAATGCAATGGAACGGAATGGAGTGGAATGCAATGGAATCAACCTGAGTGGAATGGAATGGAATGGAATGGAAGGGAATGGAATGGAATGGAATGGAATGGAATGGAATGAAATGGAACTGAATGGAATGGAATCAACGTGAGTGGAATGGAATGGAATAGAATTGAAAGGAATGGAACGATATGGATAGGAATGGAATAGAATTGAATGGAAAGGAATTGGATAACCGCGAGTGGAATGGAAAGGAATGGAATGGAATGGAACGGAATGGAATGGAATGGAATAGAATCAACCCGAGTGTAATTGAATGGAATGAATGGAATGGAAAGTAAATGATTTGTAAGCAATGGAATGGAATCAATAGGAAGGGAATGGAAAGAAATGAAACGGAACGAAATGGAATGGAACGAAATGGAATGGAATGGAATGGAATGGAATGGAACGGAACGGAATGGAATGGAATGGAATGGAATGCAATCAACCCGAGTGGAATGGAATGGAATAGAATGAATTGGAATGGAATCAACACGAATGGAATGCAATGGAATTGAATGGAATAGAATGGAATGTAATGCAATAGAATGGAATGGAATGGAATGGAATCAACCCGACTAGAATGGAATGGAATGGAATGGAATGGAATGGAATGGAATGGAATGGAATGGAATGGAATAGAGTGGAATGGAATGAAATGGAACGGAATGGAATGGAATCAACCCGAGTGGAATGGAAAGGAATGAAATGTAACAGAATGGAATGGAATCAACGTGAGTGGAATGGAATGGAATGGAATTGATTGGATAGGAAAGGAATAGAATGGAATGGAAAGGAATTTAATAAAAGCGAGTGGAATGGAATGGAATGGAATGGAATGGAATGGAATCTACCTGTGTGCAATGGAATGGAATGGAATGGAATGGAAAGGAGTGGAATTGTATGGAATCAACCCGAGTGGAAAGGAATGGAATAGAAGGAAATGGAATGGAATGGAATGGAATCAACCCGAGTTGAAAGGAATGGAATGCAATGGAATGGAAGGGAGTGGAATGGAATTTTATCATCACGAGTGGAATGGAATGGAATGGAAGAAAGGAAATGCAATGGAATGGAATCAACCCGAGTGGAATGGAATGGAATAGAATGGAATGGAATGCAACGGAATGGAATGAAATGGAATGGAATGCAATAGAATGGAATGGAATGGAATGGAATCAACACGAATGGAATGGAATGGAATGGAATGGAATGGAATGGAATGGAATGGAATGGAATGGAATGGAATGGGATGGAATGGAATGAGGGAATGTCATTGAGCAATGAAGGAATGTCATCCTTACCCAGATGCCAGCCACCTGTCTCACATCCAGGACAGAGTCTCCATCTCCCCTCCAGCAAATATGCATGTATGTGGGCATGGTGGCACGCCCCTGTGATCCCAGCTACTCCATAGGCTGAGGTGGGAGAATCGCTCGTGCTTGAGAATTCAAGTTTTCAATGAGCCATGATCACACCACTGCACTTCATGTTGGGTAACCGAGTGAGACCCTGTGATTTTTCCCCTACATTTTACAGAATTTTTTTTTTTTTTTGCCTCTTCCTTCCATTAATTTGCGTTTTGTCCGTTCATTTTCTGCAAACCTTTAGAGGGCAAATGAGAAGTTTCCCTTTTTCTCTCTAAATGAGTAAGTTCCTCAAAATTTGGGCCCCTGAATAGGCAACAGGAGGGTGTGTGCAGGGGCTCCGCCACAGTGATTTGACCACTCCCAGTCAGGCATCAGTAATACTCCCCAGAACCCCAGGCTGAAGCCCACTGATGCTGATGTAGTTCAATCCACTTCCTCTGCTACTGCACCAGGCTGATATGCCTTGGCCCCTGTTAAAGGTGTGAGATATAATGGGTGCAAATCTGTGTTCAGTTTTATCCAAATCCAAGTGCTTTCCTACTTTTTCAACTTCCCTGTTTTTCTATTTAACACTTATTGCTCACTCCGTAAGACAGTAGAGACGGCATTCTCCTCTAGTTATCCTCAGGGAGAGCTGGCTGAGGACAATTAGTAACACCTTGGTTGTGAATGCCAAATAGATTTTGTAATTTCATGTCAGATGCAAGATCCTAATAGTAAAATTATTTTATTACAATTGTCTCTCGCTGATAGAAAAAGGGAGTAATTGAAATTCTAAAAGTTGGTTTTAAAAGTAAAAAGCAAATCCTGAAAGATGTAGTATCCTAAAGATGTAGTATTTTCCATGAATCACTGGGAAAGTAAAGGATGATAAAAACCTTTTTGTTCCCCATAGTGCAGAATTCAACACTGGACAGACTGCAGGAATGGGAGCATTCGGGGAATACAGGAGAGGTCAGTTATTGTTTAACTAAACTGCCTTGGGTTATGGTGGGTGGGATGCGGTTGGTGGTGGTGATGGCAGTTGATGTGGACCCACAAAGGAGCCAAATATGATACTTGTGAAGAACCACAGAGTTGAAGGCTCTGCTGCCTGGCTTCCTGGGTGGAGCCTGTGCCACTGGAAGTCTCACAGGAAAGTAAAGTCGTGAGTAGTGCTTTAGGTGTGTAATCACCAAAGATTTAGTGAAGTCCCTGTGCAAGGAGACCTGAGGTAATGTCACTCAGTCCTAAGTCAAATCCCAACAGCAAAGCAGAGCTTCTGAAACTCATTCTGCCCCTAGAGGAGGTTTAGCAGAGACCACTGGTTCGGTCTGGAGATGTCACAACCACTGACATGCAGAGCACAAGGCCAGGCAGGGTCTACACTTGCAGGGGATCAGTGTGGTTCGAGGTCAATGTGCACGATTCAGACATGTATTCAGGATGCTCTGTGCATCTTTGGGGATTTGGAAGAACATGCTGAGTCCGTGGGAGTTTTATGTTCTTCTAGCCCATCTCCTACAGCCTGCCTGATGATTCAGACCTCAGCAAATGCCCTACGGAGGACACGGGCCATGTATAGAGGCTGCTCTGTGCAACTCCTGATGGTCAATCTGATTCTCCTTTCTGAGGAGAGTTCCTCTGCTTGTGCCAAGAGAGAGACTGTGTCCACATGCAAACTTGGCAGATATGGCAGGAGGACAAAGAGTCAGGCCAGCATCAGCTAAACTAGAAGGGATGCTTTTCACTTTGGAATTTTAGGTCACTTAGTTCTCATTTCTTCTACTGTTCTCTGATGTTATTAATATAAACTTTTGTATTGTTTTCTCTCCAGGTTCTTGCAGTGGTTCTTTAGCCTTTCAACCCTTACATCGTTGCCCCAAAGTAGGAAGATTCCTTTTGAAACTTACTGGTCATTTAGAAATGACAATTTGGGTACCAAATTATCACAAAAAATAAAAGGTTTTGAAATAAGTAAATGTATATATGTATATATATGTATATATATGTGTGTATATATATGTGTGTGTGCATATATATATATATTTTGTTTTGTTTTGTTTTGTTTTGTTTTCTCTTATCTTGAGACTGAGTCTTGCTCTGTCACCCAGGCTGGAGTGCAGTGGCGTGATCTCGGCTCACTGCAAACTCCACCTCCCGGGTTCAAGCCATTCTCCTTCCTCAGCCTCCTGAGTAGCTGGGACTACAGGTGTCCGCCACTGTGCCCGGCTAATTTTTTGTATTTTTAGTAGAGACGGGGTTTCACCATGGTCTCGATCTCCTGACCTCATGATCCACCCGTCTTGACCTCCCAAAGTGCTGGGATTACTGGCGTGAGCCACCGCGCCCGGCCTGCATGGTGTCACTTAAAATAATTCTTCAGAAATATTTATGAACGAATCATGGGCAAATCAGTTCCATTTCATGAGGTGATATAATCAACACATAGAAGTGTTTGCACCCATAGGACAAAATACCTTTGTTTCTGGTTAAAATAATCAAACCCATCAGAAATGATTGTCTATTCTAGGATGATCCACACCATGGTAAGTGAAGTTAAAACAGTATTCCCCAGGAGAAAAATCAAAAAATAAATAAATAATGAAGGCATGGTATATAGAAAGAATCTGTCACACATACAAAGATAGACAAGTCTTCAGAGGACTTTTCTACACATATTCATGAGTGAGAACACACATCCAACCAAAAATACGTTGATTTCACTTCCACAATCAGCAGTGTGGAGACTAAAGATAGTACAATTAAAATTACATTCTTAACCCAAAAGTCCAAAAACAAAGAATAGATAGTTTACAGAAAAGAGTTTGTAAAGCACAGAATGACAGGTCTACAGAAGGTATTCACAAGTGAGAAAACACATCTAACCAAAATTCTAGGGATTTCACCATCACAAACACCACTTTGGAGCCTGGAAATGCTGCACAGCCTCCTGTGAGCAGGACACTCACCGGGTCCCTGAACAGTGTGATGGCCCCAAACACAAACCTCAAAGTAAGTTCAGCCTCTCAGTGTGGCAGGAGCAGGTGCGGTGCCAGGGGATGTGTCTCCAGCAGTTGGAGTCAGGTGGGCTCAGGGAGATGACTGGAAAGCCTTTGAGGAAGGAAGAGGCCATGAGGCCTTAGTCATAGGCACAGGCTCCTCTTCTGTGTGAACAGGGCCAGGGTCCTCCAGGACACCTTCCAAAGCCTCCTCTTTCCTCCACATGTAGGGCGCTGAAGCCCCACCAACCCTCCAGGGTTTGCTGCCACATCATCCCTGGAGCAGCCCCTAAGGTTCCCTGCTGTTCTCATGGCTGTAGGGATGCTCAGTCATGTCACTGTAAGGGAACCCTAGTGTGTCCTGTCCTCACCTGCTGCCACTGATGACCTTCATAGCGAGTCTCCATGCCTTTGCCAAGTGACCCCACTCTCACCAACCATCAGGAGGCTGGAAAATGGCCTGCACTCCATGATGTTCGGCTTATGAGTAAGTCAGGGCTCAGGGCAGTCTCATGTTTGTGCAGCTCATAATAATATCACACAGGAATCCTATTTTGACTTTCCCTGACTCCTCATTCTCTCTGAGCAGTAACTCACTCTGCTCGTCCACTCTAAGACTTTCTTCTTGTGCAGCTGCTAATGGTGTTTTCATTTGGAGACTGATATGACTGTATTGGTGGAATACTAGATGTGTGCTTGTCACATCCTCACATTTCTAAGAATAAAAGACCCTTCTTTTGAGTGGCATTTATTCTTTTTTTCCTAGTTTGTCAGGATTACATTTCCAGTGATTGATGTGAAAACTTCTTTGCTAAAACACATTCATAATGCTATAAATTAACTGCATTTTTTTGAATCTCATAAATTTGGATATGTGATGTTTACTTTCAGATCCAAGTACTTTTTAATTTCCCTTTTTGTTGCTTCTTTGCCCCAAACTACATATAGTGGTACTTTACATATTTTCCAAATATTTAGATTCTTTTTGGCAAATTTTTAAAAAATTAAATTTAGAATTTCAGTGGCTTTATTGGTAAGAGTTGTTTTTGGTTACACTGATGAATTGTATAGTAGTGAACTCTGGGCTTTAGCTACCCATCACCCGAACAGTGTACCTTGTGCCCAATAGGTAATTTTTCATTCCTCCTCCTTCTCCCACCAACCCCATTCTGATAACTTTCTGTTTCTGATTTCTAATACAATCCCCTCAGTTATGAATAATTTATTTTTTTGATTTAATCAGCTTGGTTTTTTTGAAATATCTTGTTGCCCAAAATATAGTGTATCATTAGCCAATGTTTTGAAAGACCATGGAATCTGCTGTGGTTTGGTGGAGTGTTCTCTAAGTATCAGCCTTGTCCAGATGGTTGATAGCATTGTTGAAGTCGTTTGCATCCGCAGTGGCCCAAGAGGCTGGGCCGTTTGCACTTCAACCTGGATCTGCTGCAGAGCCCTTTTCTATCCTGAGTCCCACTCACGACTGGCTGACTTTCATGTCACCTGCTGGGCCAAACCTGTATTCCAACGGGTAGAATATGTAGCCTCCAGAAACCAAAGAAGTCCTATTTGTGGCTTCCTTCTTTGAAAGACAAAGACACATATTAACAACACTGGAATAAAATAAATATTCCTGTAATCCTGAACTCTGATTCACTCCGTCTTTATGTTACACACATTACAAAGGCCTTATTAATGGGGACACCATTTAGTGGCATTTGATGGCAGCAGTAGAGACGAATGCCCAGATTCAAGGTGCAGGGCAATACCAGCCAGGGGAAATCAGCCTCTCAACCACAGCCACAATATGACTAGGCAGCCACAAAGAGTTCCCAAGTAATTTTCTGATCATTGACCCGGTCGTGGTGCAGTATCTGGACTTGCTCTCTAATGAGGAAAATTTAATGTTGTGATGTCCTTGATTCTACTGCACCAACATTCATCTGGTCTGTTTGTCTGTCAGCCACTCACAAGGACACTCAAGTCAAATTCTCTAAATATATAATTGTCTTCCTTCAAATTCTAGAGAAAAGGTTGATTTTAGATTTGCCTAGCAAATTAAATATTTTAATGCTATTAATAGGATCATTTAAATGGTATCCTTCTCTTAGTCTCTCTGCAAAGGTTAACCTGGGGCAAATTTCATAATAGGTTTTTCTTTATTTTCATTTTCCTCTATAACTTCTGAGTAAGATGACCTACTCTGAGAAAACCTATGAAGTTAGTTTTAACCCAAAACAAAATCATTATTTTGAAATTTAATACCATCACAAGCCAGAGACAAAAGATATTACTCTTGCTTTATGGCTTATTAGGACTATTAATGACTAGTAAGTATTTGCTTTAATCTTCCATAAGTCAATAGGTTTCTTCCTTTTATTTTGCCTTATACAAATAATTGTATAATAGTTTTCCTGTTATAACAGATTTGTGTACCTTCTTATTTTCAGTATTAATTTTTGCCTAGGACTGCTAGGATTCCAGAATACAAAAGAAACCATTTTCTAGGTTGAGGATGTTTCTAATTTACTAAGGTAAGACTATTTACTATGAGTAAGATCCAGCTAAATCAGTAGCTAGCAGGAAATTATGCCTCTAGTCCTCTGTTAAACATGATAGTTTTATTCTTGACTGCTCCTGGGAAGTCAGAATTTATTTCATTTTATTACTGATGCTTCATTTTTTTTTTTTTTTTGCTGGTAGATATTTTAGAAGAGTTAATATCTAGAAGTATTCCAACATAAGGGCAACTGGCTCTTCACAGAGCATTTACACTTGGGTGATCCTTAGCTCCTGCCCAAGAATCACCAAGTTATAATGAAGTTCACTGCTGTGATGTGAAGCTGCTGCTTCCAGAAGGGCAGAGTCACTATTTCCAGTTGTCAATGCAGAGGCTGTATTATTATTATTAATTATTAATAGTATTATTATAAGACAAGAAATGAGCACTAAATGCTTTATTCAGCTCTTGTCTGTTTCCTTTTCTGTACTTTTGATTTTTGCTAACAGGAGGTGAAAAGAAGCAGTTAAAGGAAAAATTCAGCTGTCTTTAGAACTCAGTTTGATTGATTTGAACCATAATTTTTCTCTAGAGTCTTAAACATTATAAATTATAATTTATATAAACATTTGCTTGATTCTTAAAATTGTTTAACATGAAAAAAACGATGTGAGAACTCACAAATTCTATTTTCATTTTTTCTACAGGTAAACTATCTTATCTAAGTTACAAGTAAATAAGTTATTGCACTTTATTTTCTTGTTATATTCATTGAAGTTCTTATCTAAGTTACAAGAAATAAGTTATTCCACTTTATTTTCTTGTTATATTCATAGAAGTTCTTATATCAACTGCAGCTTCTACTACAGTTTAAATGGCTAGAATCCCCAATTTAGTCTCTAAAAACTTCTTGGGATCTTCATTTCCCATCTCTCAAGTAAACCAGGTTTTACTATAAGGCCTCAAGGCTAACTTCACATTCAAAGAGTAGAAAAATTATACTAACTTCTCAGGCAAGCTATGGTTTTATAGAGTTTTACTTTTGAGGACGGAGACCCCTTTCTTCAAGGATGTGAATTCGAGGGGAACTTATGAGACACAGAATGCTCAGGAAGAAAACAGACTCATAACTTCACTTTGTGCAGTTGGTGGGTGTGGTGGATTCTCCAGAGATATTAACAAGCACAGAGGAGAAGCCCACCACTTAATCCCACAGCTGTGTGGATAGTTTCATAGGATTTCTGAAAACCTTTTCCAAGAAAAAGTAGAGACCAGAATTGAAACATTTGGAAACAGGTTCAGATGAGACAGATCTAGAACAGGGTCCGAAGATTCAGAAAAGTCTGATATGGAAACAATGCTGTTTCTTTCAATGTTTGGAGAGAGAGATTCTCAGAAGCAGAAGACACACATTCAAGGAGCCTACATTCCCTGTGCTCTCTCCCTGTGTTCCAGAATATTTATCCATGAATCTCTGTTCCAGCGAGGGACAATTTCAGTTAGTGAGACAACGCAGACGGCTTCATTCCCAGGTGCCTGGGAGCCAGGAATCCATTCACAGGACCTGTAGCTTCACAGATGGAAGCTCCATTTGTGGGTGACTTGGTCTTAATTCTCATCTAAGGACAAACTCTCACCTTTAATTTAAAGAAGGTTCATTGATGCTCAGGTAGGGAACAGGCCTCTGTGTGTCTCAGCCTCATCCATAACAGTGTGGGTTTGCACTGTCTGGACTAATACAGTCTGTAGAACAAAGTCTACACGATGTGCAACAGGGATCTATAAATGAGAATGCTATGTTGTTTATTTCAAAACTGTGGGCTTATTTCTCAATGGCCTGTGCCAAACTCAAATTTTAAAACGTAATTGTTTTAAAAACCACAAAAATAAGAATAGTTTTAACCTTTTAGAAAATACTTAATCTACATATCCAGAAAGCCTGACCCACATCTGCTAGCAGTAGGTAAGACAAGCCCCGGTTTATGAAAACCTTAAACTTAATACTGGTCTCTGTAGCTCTCTGACACAGAAACTCCCCACTGTGCTGCTGTGTGGCATCCCCTAAATGCATATCCCTTCTACAGTGTCCTGCACATTTTGAGAAACAACCCTGGCACCTGATTCTCTGGACTACCACCTGCTGTGAGGGACTTCTTGCTGTAAACCTGTCAAAGCTTCACCCAATAGACTAGGTCACATGTGCTACTGCCGTCTGTGGTCATCTGTTTTTCCTTGGTCAGCCAACAAATCCCTCAACCCCCCTACAAACAGGATCACAGTGTCCACCCCATAAACACTGATTCCCGGTAATGAACACAAACAATTCCACTTCCAAGACTCTCTTCTCAAGTCATATGAGTAATACAGTTCTTTTCAATTACATGGATCCCAAACTAACCAATCAGGAAAAGGAGACACAGCCACACTAAACCCTGCCTGTAGAAATCCTCCCTCATTCAGATGACCATGATTCAGATGAGAGACACATAGAGGCCTGCTCCCACCCTGGTTCAAATGTAGGTTGCTCTTCCATCTTGTCTGTGTCCACTGTAGAGTGACCAGCTTTGTCTGCTGCTGTGAAAGCCCTGGTAGGATGCATCAACAGATAAGAGAGGGAGGATTCTGGTTAGAATTAGTAATAGTGTTCTTTAAGTCTACAGTTTAAATCGGGTAATTTCAAAGGCTTTTTCTGACTAAAAAAGGATTTGTCCAAGTTTTTACATTTTCCAGATATGTAAGGCGACAAATCATGAGATTTTTGTTAAAAATCCCAGGGGTAGTCTTTTTAATGGTTCATTCATTCTCATAGAAAACAGCAATGCTCTCCTAAATTCAAGCAATCTAAATACTTTGTGAAAATAACATTTTCAAGAATTGGCTTACAGTAAAAGAAAACAGGGCAATTTTTTTTACTGTTAATCACTTTCCTGCAATTCAAATCTTTGCATTAGATAATGGATAAAACTGATTATTGATTTAACACCCTTTCAGAATAATTATTTAAAACTAACAATAAAATGGACCATTTTGTTCTATTTTAGTTAGGCTGTTTATGTCTCCTTCTTCCATTCCTTCAGCTTCAGATGTTTCTGACTTTTTTTCACTACCATGGTTAAGAGTCTGACCTTTTCAACACTAAGAAGCAGATCAGAATTTGCTGACATCATCAGAAAAAAAGTCGGGTACCCAAAATTTGCAACATGTAATAAGAGAAAAGAATAAATAAAATTTTAACAGTGAAATATGAGACTTTTATTTCAATACCTCCTCGTAGCTACTGTTTAATATCATCAGCCCATATTATTGTCATGGAGTTCAACATTTGAAGGTCAATATCATTTTTAATCAAGTATGTTTTCCGATCTTATTAAAAAATGATATTTTGGTAGATTCCCCAGAAGATATTCAGATCAAGCTTTCTTTGCAGTCTTACCTACAATGGCATTTATTTGTGTTCTTGGGCAATTAAGTATGGCTTTGTGTTAAATTACCCAAGCTTACATCACACTACAAGCTAGTCCTTCATTGTTACTGGATTATTATTTTTTTTTCAGAAATGTGACTGTCCTTGTGAAACTATTTATTGTTGGCACCATTATTCAGGAGCTGTTCAATGGAATGTTAAGCACATCGATGACAAATAAAGAACAGTGTGGTTGTTTTTCTGTTTAATGATCAGTTGTATGGTAGGTTCACATCCCTAAGCTGTGAGCATTTTTACATAAAGTCAAGAAAATATCAGTTACAAGTACAGGTTACCCAGAGATGTAAAACTGTGAATGCAGTTCTTGCTCTTTATACACAGAGAATTTCCTTTGGATCTGTGGACTCGTGGCTGTGGCTGCACCACATCCAGGCTGGGGGAGACTCACGTCTCACTCAGAGTTGACGAGAACCTGGAAGCCCTGACAGGACCTGATTCCACATGACCAGGGAGACTGTGTGGGAAGAGCTTTTCTAATCATCACTTGAAAAAACATCATGCAAAGTTATTTCTTATTTGTTCTGTATCATTAATCTAGAAGATTCTTCCCTTAAGACAGAGTCCTCTGGGCCAGGCACAATGGCTCACACCTGTAATCCCACTACCTTAGGGGCCAAGGCAGGCAGATCTCCTGAGGTCAGGAGTTCAAGACAAGCCCAGACAACTTGGTGAATGAAACCCCATCTCTACTAAAAACAAAAACAGAAACAACAAAAAAGAAAGAGCCCTCTGGTTAACCTTGTATGTGTGAGACGATTATGATGAGATAGATCCCAGATTGAACAACTGGTCACCAGGAATTTTAAATTTGCTGCTGGAGGCACAAAATTTTGTCTCTCTTTCCTTTTTCTTACACTGGGCTCTTGGCTCTAAATGTAGAGGCTCACATCATTCTCCCTGTGAGGCGCTTGGACAGAGAGCTCTTATGCTGTTCACTCACCAGGTGCCAAGGCAGAGTAGATTCTAATATTTGAGTTGAACATTCTTGAACAGTTATCCTGGAAACAGTAGATACCAGACAGCCCTTGAACTGGCTCCAGGCCGCTTTTTATTTGCAGGCTCTCAGTTCAGCAGTGCTTGTGGGGATGGGCCTGTTTCATACTCTAGATTGACTGGGAGGGAATCAAGCCAGATGGCATTCACCTCCCAGAGATGTATCCTAGACACACATTTCCACATTGTCAGGGTTCTGGTGCTTTCTTACAGTCATGCCCTACACAGTGTGTCCCTACAAAAGGTCCGAACTTTCACCTTCAGATCCTTCTTCCCTTGATTGTGGGCAAACTTGGCTGAATCTAGTTCTGTTTTATTCCAAAGGACAATTTATATCACATTGTTCACAGAAGAGACATTCCCCCTGCCCCGTCAACCTTTTCCACACCACTGCACCCACCAGGTGATTTGCATATTGTCCCCTAGGGTGGACCTTCCCTTGTGAGTCTGAGATAAAAGCTCAGCTCTATCCTTGCCTTGACTGATCAGGACTCCTCAGTTCACCTTCTCACCATGAGGCTCCCTGCTCAGCTCCTGGGGCTGCTAATGCTCTGGGTCCCTGGTAAGGACAGAAAGAGATGAGGGAGGACAACTGGGTGGGAGGTGAGCTCTGTGGGCTCCACAGCTTCACATGTTTATTCCAATAATGTGATAGAGGCACATGGTCTATGCTCCAGGGAATGGAATTCAGGTTTGTCTTATGAATAATCAGGATTCACCTCCAGGGAACGATGACCAGTGCTCTGATTAAGAACTTGAAAAAAAAGAGTTCCCTTGTGGCTAATAAATAATGGGTCTATTTTAGAAAGTCTACTTTTCATGATATAAATCAAAACTTTAAAAATGTAACTGTAAATTTATATCACAAGAGAAATTATGAAAGTTGCTCATAATGTATCTATATAAACTTGCACTTCTCTGTTATTATTTCAGGATCCAGTGAGGATATTGTGATGACCCAGACTCCACTCTCCCTGCCCGTCACCCCTGGAGAGCCGGCCTCCATCTCCTGCAGGTCTAGTCAGAGCCTCTTGGATAGTGATGATGGAAACACCTATTTGGACTGGTACCTGCAGAAGCCAGGGCAGTCTCCACAGCTCCTGATCTATACGCTTTCCTATCGGGCCTCTGGAGTCCCAGACAGGTTCAGTGGCAGTGGGTCAGGCACTGATTTCACACTGAAAATCAGCAGGGTGGAGGCTGAGGATGTTGGAGTTTATTACTGCATGCAACGTATAGAGTTTCCTTCCACAGTGGTACAGCCCTGAACAGAAACCTCCCTGCTGTGGTGCCCCAGCTGCTCACATGCACTGCTTGTCTGGGGAGCAGGTCAGCAGCGTCTCTGAGTCTGCAAAAGAGGAGGCTGTTGGAGAATACAGGGCAGGGTTTGCTTCTGAGGACTCTGCCTGGGACTACAGGTGCATGCCACTAAACATGGCTAATTTTTCTATTTTTTTGTAGAGTCGGTGCTTCACCATGTTGCCCAGCCTGTTGTCAAAATCATGGGCTCAAGCCACCCACCTGACTTGGCCTCCCAACGTGCTGGCAGTACAGTGTGAGCCACTGCGGCAGGTCAGCACCCCTGTTTATGTTCCTGTCACCTGCCACAGCCTTGACTCTCATAACCAACAGGAAAATGAGGAGGTTCTAGGGCCCTGTGAGTAAAAAACTGGGATGATAGGGAAAGGAGAATGGAATCTCATCTGAATCCTCCTTCCTTGCCTACATTTGTTTAAATTTATTGAGCAAAAGGGCCAGACTACTGATCATTTCTGGCAAAACATGTTGAGTACATTTTAGGGTTTAACAGTTTTGGGTACCTTTCAAAGAAAATATTTGGTTATATGTAAAATTGGTATTTTCCCACTTTTTAAATTCCTACTTCTCCTGTTTGCCATTCTTCTCCACTCCATGAGACAGTAGAGACAGGATTATTCACTAATTCTCCTCTGGCGGAGCTGGCTGAGGACAATCAGTAAGATCTTGGTTGTGAGTGTCAAATAGATTTTGTAATTTCATAGCAGACGCAAGTTCCTAATACTAAAACTCTTTGATTACAATTACCTCTTGCTGATAGAAAAAGGGAGTTCTTGAAATTTTGAAAGTTGGTTTTAAAAATAAAATGCATACACTGGAAGATGCAGTATACTAAAGATGTAGTATTTTCCAGGGATCACTGAGAAAATACAGGATGAGGTAAACAGTTTTATTTTCCAAAGTTCAGAATTTGAGATTGGGCAGACTGCAGGAATGGGAGCATGAAGAGAACATAAGAGAGATCAGCTATTGTTCAATTACACTGCCCTTGATTATGGTGGGTGGGGATGTGGCTGGTGGTGGTGATGGCAGTTGATGATGTGGATCCAAAAAGGGGCCAAATGTGTTACTTGTGAAGAACCACAGAGTTGAAAGCACTGCTGCATGGCTTCCTGGGTGGAGCCAAGTCTTCGCACTTTCCAAACTTTCTCTCTCCTTTATTACTCACATGAAACTGCCCTCTCTAGTATTATGGTGGAAAAAGCATTCTGCACCAGCTATTTTCATGGGAGTATGGCCAAGGATAATTATTTTTACTACTTATGGATTTTTAAAATCCAGGACAGATATAAATCCTAATACCAAAATAGTTTGATTTGCCTCAGTTGCCTTTTGCTGACTGAAAATAGAGTTCTTCCAATTCCAAAAGTGGGCTTTGAAAATAGACAAAATAATTCAGATGGAGAACATAAAGTTTACATAATGTACCACAGGAACAATGCAGAATTATATGAGATTTTTATTTCCTTCTCAAATTCTTAGAATTTTAAAAATATTTTACTGACATAGCATTTTAAAGAGAAAATTTTTAGTGCTATGTTGTCATAAGAAAATGATTCAAAGAATGAATAAATGCATTATTTTTATATGATACTATTCCTGAAAATAAATCTGAATCCTCTATTTTAGTTGTTAATGCATAGAAAAATTATGCTCTTAATATATTCCATTGACAATAGTGCTCTAAATTTATATGCTTCCTTAATTTGAGGGCTACAGTCTGATAAATATCTATCTACATTTTGTCATGCAACTTTTAAACCTAACAGAAATGCTTTCGTTAAAAAAGCAACAGTGCTTTCTCTACCATAATGCTAGAGAGGGCAGTTTCGTGTGAGTGGTAAAGGAGAAAGTTTGGAAAGTGGGAAGACAGCAATTTTGCAATATGACCAAGTGTTATCATGCAAAAAACTATCCCCAAACCAGTCATTTCTAACATGTATTTCACTTGTGTTACCACTAATCTGCATCCATGATCTGATCATTCTGCCAAATAAATTTACACGAACCCGAGTAATGAGTGATGTCTGTCACATGTGATAACACGGTGTAGAGACACAAAAGACTGAATCAACAGAACAAGATCCTGATACAGGCTAAGGGTTTAAATAATACTTGAGATGATTTATTTCAAGATAACAGATTCCATAGGAAGTGCAATTAAAATTCCAATGTGTCATTTCTGTTAGGTTTAAAAGTTGCGTGGCAAAATGTACATAGATATTTATTAGACCGGAGCTCTCAAACTAAGAAATATGAGACACTCAATATGTTATTGAAAAATACTAATTAATGCATCATTGACCCTATATTTTATTACATAATGCAGTAAAAGAAAATAAAATGTAAGTAGCAAGAGCACGAGGTAAGCAATGCCATCGTCACCTTTAGCCCTCCTGGGATTGACAGCACCTAGTCACCTTGAGTTTCTGCTTTTCTGCGAGACAGGAGATAAAATGAAAACCCATTCAAGGTAGTTAGTTATATTTTGGAGAAAGCAAACAAAGATACCACCTACATGATGCTGATATCCCAAAGGCATATATTCTCAAGTCAAAATAGTGAAAAGTATATGATCCCCAAAACTGAAAGGGGAGAGATACAAGGAGAATCAGAGCATGATCAAATTTAATTACAAAGAAGCCTCATAATATGGTGAACTAAATGTAACAAGGTTTCTTTGTCTGTTGCCATGGCAGTGCAGAGGCAGGCAGGTGGCCTTGGTGGTGTAGGTGGCTCTGCTCCGTGAGGTCACTCCGGTGGGCAGGAGGCACGAACACCCTGAGAACACAGCCTTCCTCCTTCCTCACAGTCATTGCCTGCCCAGCCATCCTCAGCAGCATGAGGTGGGACAGAGTGGAGAGAAAGCTGTTTTCTTCTAAAGACTAAAAACAAAAACAGAAAAAAAAAAAACAAACCTGGAGCTTTCCATCAGTGACAAATGTACTTTTGACTCAATCACACATTTGAGAAGTTTTCCAGTGAGTGGATCTGCAGATAAACCCACATTCGTTGTTTGTTTGTTTTAATCTGAAAATGTGTTTACATGATTCTTGAAAATATTTTTTGACTGTAAACTTATATTTGTAGTAGCCTATTTGAAGTTATCATTTACTATTTCATAATTGCTACTAAAAAGTTATTGTTAAAAAAATCTGTGACTCTAACTGTTCTTGTTTGAAAGGAATACGTCTTTTTAAGACACTCAGACTCCTTTTAAGCTCCTCATTTGGCCCTCCTTTGTTTCTGATTCAATGTATTGTTTAATTTGTTATTTATGACTAATTAATCTATTAATTAATTTTCACAATCACAGAATCAAATGTCCCATAAGTTGCTATGTCAAAGACCTGCCTGAAGATGGCACACATGCTCCACAATGAACAAAGGACAGCACCATGGTCTCAGGAACACTGGGAAGTAGGAGTGCTGGTGTCCCATTATCAACAGGGAGCCCTAGAGTTAGAGTCAAATCTTCCCTGTGACCTGGGCACCTGGGAGGAGCCACCCGTGTGCTGAGCTGTGGGAACCTGCCCCATGCCCTGAGACTGGAAGCACGGCCTTGGCTGTGTCCCACCTGCTATGGACTGAATTGTGCCCTCAGATTCATGTTGAAACCCTAATTTTCAATGTGACTGTAGAAATCAGAACCTCTAAAGATGTAATTGAGGTCATGGCAGGGGGTGTCCCTGATCCAGTAGGATTCATGATTTTGTAGGATCCAGAGACCTCTCCTTTTTCTTCTCTCTCTCTAACCGCCTTCCCCTCCATGGAAAGGCTGTGTGAAGACATGGTGAGAAGGTGGCACCTACAAACCAGGAATAAGGTCTTTAGCAGAAAACAAACTCTGCTGAACGTCGATCTGGGATATTCCAGGCACCAGAAATGTGAAAATTAAATTCTGTGGTTTAGCCATCCAGCCCCGTGTTACGGTGTGGCAGCGGAAGCTGACTCATCCATCTTCCCCACCCTCTGTGAGCAGATCAGCTTCAGGAGGCCCTCGTGGACATGGGGTCCCAGCTTTGCTCTTCTTCCTCCTGTTTTTCCAACTCTCTGGTGAAGAGGGAGGACTCAAGATTCATCATCAGTTTCTGTGCATTAAACATGAATGTTTCCTTCAAGATGAAGTTTTTAGCCCATTTTGCTTTCTCAGAATTTAATCAAACTGAATGAAGTATGTACTTACAATTAATATTTGGGGATGTTCATATTTGTTCCCCCCTTATATGACAGTTGGGATATTGTGTGGTGCTCATCTCCAGGCCCCTCCCTGTGTTCCAGGAGACAGGGTCACTGTCACCAGCAGAGCCAGTCAGGGAAATAACAGTGTCTAGCCTAGCTCCTTGTGAAATAAGGGCTGACACTGAGCTCCTGCTGGCTCCCACTGCTCCCTGGACACGATGCCTGCCTGGGTCAAGGGGGTGAGTCTGGACAGACGTCACTCTGGCCATCAGTAACCTAACTACCTTCATGACCTCCCACTGTGAACAGAGTCCCGGAAGCTGCTGGAGCCATGAAAGTTGGACAGAGAAATCCCACATCACTGCAGTCAGAGGGGGGCTATGAAAAGACCGTGGGGGGGTTTCATACTATGACCACCCAGCACTGAGCCATGGCTGCCACTCTGTCTGATGGGAGCCCCCAGGGGAAGATCCACTCACACTGTGCTCTAGAGGTCGTTTTTGTCACCATCTTTGTTCTAGCTGGTTTGGGCCAGTTTCTGTAGTGCATCCTGTTTTGTCCAGATCCTGTTCTGGTCAGCGTTGTCATGACCAGTGTTGTGATCAGTGCTCAGAATACAAGCCCTGATGATCTCCTACCTTATACTCACTGCCTTCTGTGAACCAGATGTTCTGATAAGGGTCCTGTTGGATCCTACTCGAATCAGTTGCCACACAGACCCTCACTGAGGGCTGAGGGCCACAGACATCTGAAGATAAACAGAGGTCCAGAGAATGATAGCCTGTGACTGTCCTCTGTAAAGACAGCTGCTCCCCAGATGGCTGAGGGCTGTCTTTGGCTGTGTCCTTCTTTCTGAATGATAATGAGGGATAGAGCAGGTCTCTAAGCAAAACCTCAGCAAGGCCTTCCTATGTGTGCTGCTCTAACCTGGACATAGGTGGCACTGGATACACTTAGGGAAGTGAGGAAATTTATAGTCACAAGGAAGAGAGAGAAAGGAGGAGAGAGAGAGAAGAGCCTGTGATGTGTGTATAGTACCAACACTGATAGTATGTTCTTTAATGGTTTATTGTTGAGTATGATGCTCAAATGCTCAGGTTCTATTCCATGCAGCCGATACATATACCTTATATAGGAAAAGGGCCTTTGCATATATAAATTAAGGATTATGAATTGGGCAGATTATCCTGTATTGACCAGGTGGGCCCTAAATGGGCCTGTCTTTATTAAATGTCTGTCTATCTCTCTTATAAGGACATCACGATTGTCCTTATAAGATAGACATAGACAGACATTTTAACAAAGTCTGCAGAAGAGAAGGCAATTTGAAGACAGTGGCAGAGATTGAAGTGATGTGGACTCAAGCCAAAGAAAGTTGAAGCCACCAAAAGCTGGAAGAAGCCAAAAAGTAGACTCCCCGCTGGAGTCCCTGCAGAAGCTTTGATGACAGCCTGCTCTTGACCCCTGAAACTAGTGCTGGACTTATGGCCTCCAGAACTATAGGAGGAGAATATATTTCTGTTGCTTTAAGCCACCAAAGTTTTAGTAATTTGTTATAGCAGCCCAAGAATTCTAATAAAAATGGGGCTTAGGATAAGTCCAGCCTAAAGGTAGTATGATGATTTGCACTCTCCACCTTCATTTCTCTAATGTTACACATAATTGGTTAGAAGAAGATTTTTATGATGGAAACATTGTACAGGAAGCCACCCAGTATATACAGGGGCATCTGTTAGTTACAGAATAAATATTGACAGTTCTTAGTTGAAAATGACATCTGAGGCTGGGCTTGGTGGCTCACGCCTATAATCCCAGCACTTTGGGAGGCCAAGGCGGGTGGATCACAAGGTCAGGAGATGGAGATCATCCTGGCTAACACAATGAAAAATCTGAAAAATACAAAATTTTTCAGAAATTCTGAAAAATACAAAAAATTAGCCAGACATGGTGGCACGTGCCTGTAGTCCAAGCTACTCGGGAGGCTGAGACAGGAGAATCCCTTAAACTCGGGAGGTGGAGGTTGCAGTGAGCCGAGACCACACCACTGCACTCAGGCCTGGGCAAGAGAGCAAGACTCTGCCTCCAAAACAAACAAACAAACAAACAAACAAAAAACCCACCAAACCAGGACTTTTTGAACTCAGCTCTGAACCAAGTGGACCTAATAGACATCTACAGAACTCTCCATCCCAAATCAACAAAATATACATTCTTCTCAGCAGCACATCGCACTTATTCTAAAATTGACCACAAATGCCTTATGTAAATGACGAGTTGATGGGTACAGCAAACCCATATGGCACATGTACACCTATGTAACCTGCAAGTTGTGCACATGTACCCCAGAACTTAAAGTGTAATAATACAAAAAAATGACATGTGACTAGTAGTATCTTATCTAGAATCTTCATTCTAAGATACTCAAGGACGCATAAAAGGGACCCTAAGTAGTCTTTTCATACATATATATGCACATATATATGTATGAAAAGCAGTCTTTTCATCAACTAGAGAAACCCTCAGGACAGCCCTTAATACCCTTGGTGATACATTTCAGATGAGTAAACTGTTATCAGAGCCCGTAGTTGAAACTATTCAACAGAGATGGTTTGCCCAAAGATATGTGGTCAGCAATTGTCAGGGCTGAGCTTGGAACCCAGGTCTGCATAACCTTAAATATGTTGCTTCCACATG
The DNA here is from genome assembly GCF_000001405.40 of Homo sapiens. Lineage (NCBI taxonomy): Eukaryota > Metazoa > Chordata > Mammalia > Primates > Hominidae > Homo > Homo sapiens. The sequence continues at coordinate 89,859,438 of NC_000002.12, forward strand.
GCCACGTTTGTTTCATATACGATTGAATGGCCTTTAAATTCAAAGAAGAGACAAAGCCAGAAGAGTGGTGTGAAATTCTCAACACAAGCTCCCTGCTACCTCTACACCTTACCGTGATTACTCCAATTATAAACTCAGGCTCTCATGCAGTTTTGTCTACAAAGCAAAACTTCCTCAAAGTCTTTACAAATACTAAATGTCTTTCTTTCAGATTCGAGGGCAAGAGCACATCTTGCATTGCCCTGAACACTTTGCATCTTTTCTACCATTCTCATCTTTCTGTCCCAGTCCTTCCTTCTCAAATGATGTCCTGTAAATCTGATTTCTCCCCCAATATGAAAACAAATGAACAAATATTCCCCTACTTTTCTCATATCCAGAGGATACAAGAGTTAATCACATATCCAGAGAGTACGAGAGTTAATCAAGGGATTTATGCAAGAGTGTTTACACATAACAAGGATTCTGGTGCTAGCCATCTTCACAGTGAAATTTTCTGTGTGTCTTGCTAAAATTGACACTAAAAAATGACAAGATAAAAATATTTGGAAGAACAGAGGGCAACCATGCCCTTAAGGAGGTAAAAGACACCCCTGCCCCTTGTGTTAGTTTCCTACTCCTGCTGTAACAAGTTATCAGAATCTTACTAGTTTCATACAACACAAATTTATTATCATACAGTTCTGGCAGTGAGAAGTCTCACTGATTTATAATCAAGGTATCCGTAGTTCTATATTCCTTCTGGAAGTTCCAGGGGAGAGAATCTGATTCTCAGCTTTTCATCTTCAAAGATAGCCCCATGTTCCGGGCTGCCTGGCCCCTTTCTCCATCACTGAAGCATCCCTGTCCATTGTCCCTATTCCTCTCTGACTGTTACCCCCACTCCTCCCTATTATAAAGACCCTTCTGATGACGCTGTCTTTCCTAGATAATTCAGCTGTTTCCTAAATTTTCTGAATATCCCTATGCATGAAAAAAAAAGAATTGGCAAGTATTCAGACTATACTTTCCAAGAATGAGGGTTTGTCCACTGTTTTAGGTTGGATCTTTCAGGGACAATGATGCCCATGCAGGCAGCATATTTATAATGCACAGTAAACACTAGGAGGAAACAAGGCAGTGAGAGAGGAAAGAGAGCAGCGATACCGAAAATGTCCTCAGCGAGAAGCTACCACAGAGGATGAATGGAGATCAAGCCCACGTGGAAACATGGGAAAATGTCTCAGTATTTTTCCACCTAAGAAGGGAGGGAGATGGGGTATGTATACACCTCCCTGTCCTCACTGATTGAGGGCTTTCCGAGAGGATGCTCATTCCAGGTGCTGTGATAGGCCATGTGTACAGGCAGGGCTGCCTTCTCCAGCTTCAGATAGAGCAGTGAGGAAAAGATATGGCCATGGGGGGTCAGCAGAAGTACAGCAAAGGGAAAAGGGAAAGGGTAGCAAGAGTGACAACTATATTCACCCCCCCACACACACACACACACACACGAAATTGTGTATTGCAATCCAGAACTGCTTCTCTCTGAACCTAAATCTTAGCAAGCAGTTTACCAGTAACTGCCCTTGAAATTCAGGCCCCTGGAAAGGAGCAGGGGGTTGTGTACAGGCTATACCACAGCAGTCTGCCCACCCTTAGTGATGCATGAGTAATGCTCCCTGGACTCCCCAGGTTCTAGTCTTCTCATGTCGATGTAGTTGATTCCACTTCCCTTGCTGCACAACCAGGCTGGGATGCCTGGGCAGAGGCAGACATGTGAGGTATAGGGGTTCAAATCTGTTTCCAAGTTTTATCCAGCTTCAAAGCATTTCTCCGTGTACATGAGCGGTGGCTTGACAGGAGATGGAGACTCTCTTTCCTGGATGTGAGGCAAGGAGGCAGGCGTCTGAGTCAGGATGATGTCCCTACTCACTGCTAAAGAGAAAAGTGGCTTTGATGGTGCAGGGCAGGGAAATGCACTGAGTGGTCGCCACCCTCACAGAAGAGAAAGTGTTCACTGACCTGGCCTTTCCCCAGGGCCTCTCCCTCCCATTGCTTTCCAGAAAGCCATGATTTTTGAGAGCCACACCTGAACACTCACAAACATTATGGTGGGAAAAGCAGATCAGAGCATTAGGCAAGTTGCATTACCTTGGCCTTCTTCCTTTGGAGACAATTGATGTGGGGTTCTAGATTGACCCAGAGTTTCAAGTTCATCCTGATTCAGGCTTCAACAGCTGGAGGAAGAAACAGAGATGTTTTTTGAAGTAAACAGATCTAGCATTACTAATCAACCCTTCATACTGATGACCTATGGGAAATAATACCCAAGGGCAGAAAAATGGGCAGAATAAGGGGAGCCCCAAACCAAGACGAAGCTGCTGCCCATTGAGACCCTGGGTATTACAGAGACCTATAGCTCTGATAATGGAAGATCTATGAGTGGCACAGGCGCTGAGGAATCACAGCATCATTATCGTGCATCTGCAGGGAATTGCTTGTAAATATACTGGTAATTACAAATGTTTAAGGTCACTACAAATACTTTGGAGTGTATTAAATATGCTTCTGATAAAGACTGTTTTTCTCACATGAAACAATGGGAACCATGTGACAATCACAGAGGTGTTGTTACTATAGCAAAAGGGATTGTTACTCTCCACATCCCTTTAAGTAACTTGAAGGCCTGATAGACCCACCCTCTAAGACTTCATTAGACATTCCCTACGAATGGTTATACTCTCCTGTATACTCCCAATACAACTCTAAAATATATTATTCCATATAGTCCTTAGGTTTGTATTAAAGTTTGACTTTTTTCCTTCAAAATATCTCTTGTCACAACAGCGGCTCTAGAGAGAAATACATTCCCTCCAGGCAAATCTATGCTGCGCTGGTCTGACCTGGGACCCTGGGGACATTGCCCCTGTGCTGAGTTACTAAGATGAGCCAGCCCTGCAGCTGTGCTCAGCCTGCCCCATGCCCTGCTGATTGATTTGCATGTTCCAGAGCACAGCCTCCTGCCCTGAAGACTTTTTTATGGGCTGGTCGCACCCTGTGCAGGAGTCAGTCTCAGTCAGGACACAGCATGGACATGAGGGTCCCCGCTCAGCTCCTGGGGCTCCTGCTACTCTGGCTCCGAGGTAAGGATGGAGAACACTAGGAATTTACTCAGCCAGTGTGCTCAGTACTGACTGGAACTTCAGGGAAGTTCTCTGATAACATGATTAATAGTAAGAATATTTGTTTTTATGTTTCCAATCTCAGGTGCCAGATGTGACATCCAGATGACCCAGTCTCCATCCTCCCTGTCTGCATCTGTAGGAGACAGAGTCACCATCACTTGCCGGGCAAGTCAGAGCATTAGCAGCTATTTAAATTGGTATCAGCAGAAACCAGGGAAAGCCCCTAAGCTCCTGATCTATGCTGCATCCAGTTTGCAAAGTGGGGTCCCATCAAGGTTCAGTGGCAGTGGATCTGGGACAGATTTCACTCTCACCATCAGCAGTCTGCAACCTGAAGATTTTGCAACTTACTACTGTCAACAGAGTTACAGTACCCCTCCCACAGTGTTACAAGTCATAACATAAACCTCCAAGGAAGCAGATGTGTGAGGACGAGCCACCCCAGATGCTCCTCCTGGTGCCTCCATCTGCTGAGAGCATTTCTCAAACTCAGTCAGGTTTTGAAAGTCATTGGGAGACTTTTGTAGAGGGGACCAGGGAGGCTCCTCTGAACTCTAAGCCTCTTTTGCCCCTATCCCCAGGAGAAAAGATGTGACAATGCCTGTCCTGATTGAATAAGGAAGAGATACAAGTCCACCTGAGGAGTCTGTGTTATGGGATAATTGGAATTTACACAGCAAAAGAGAAGCTATTCTCGGTATTTCAAGGAGAAATTGTTCAAGTTGAATAAATTAGAGTCTAAACTAGTCTTTTTGAAGCCTACGGTATGTTATTCGTGAAGCAGCCACTAGAGACAGGGGATTCTCAGGTGCTCCTGCAGAAGTCAGAGTGCACCTGCCCCTGGTGGTATGTGCTGAGTACCGTGTGATGATCCTCAGACCTGTCTGGGAAGCCGAGGGCTGGGGTGCTGATGCTCTCAGCTGCCTGCAGCACGTCTCCAGGTGATTCTCCAGTCCACAAACAATTCCACATGTTTTACTTCAGATGTCAGAGTACATGAATCCACCACTCTGACTTCCCAATCTCATGGGAGTGCCTCTCATTAAGCAACTCTAAAGAAACCATAGAGAGAAAAGGAGTTTTGGAAAATGTGCGTCCAGAAGTGATAGTAGCGATGGGGAATTGACAGCTGACAGGTCAGTAAGGTTGCTCTTTCCACAAGGCTCAAAACTTTGCCAGTTACAGATTGTCCCAGAATATACTCGAATGTGCTATCACGTCTTACGAGCAACTCTGGGTTCATAGCAAGAAAACTTCATTAAGTCATAGATGAAACAGAAAAATCAGGAAACTGTATGAAATACATTATAAGGCTGTGTGTGGTAGCTCATGCCTGTAATTCCCAGCACTTTGAGAGGCTAAGGCAGGAGAATTGCTTCATCCTAGGAGTTTGAGATTGGACTGGGCAACATAGGAAGACTCTGTCTCTACAAAAAACAAAACAAAACAAAAAGATAAATAGATAGTTATAACAATCGTTTGACAACCTTTTTCCTTGACAAAAAGGAAAACAAGAGAAAATCCTAAACATGGATGTAGCATTTTTCCTCTTAATATGAAAGTCCTCTGCTACTCAAAACTATCCAGAATCCAGTAGCACCTTAGCAATACTGAGAGGGTGCCTTGCAAGATACATAGCAGGCCCACCTCAAATTACCTGAAAGAGAATCTTCATTTTAACACGGTAACAAGTGATCTACATAAAGCTTAACAAGGTATGTTTTAGGTGATATTTTAGCTAAAGAGATTTATTTTTTTCTCAATGAGGATATTTAAGAAAATTTCAATGGAGAGTCACATGTTGAAAGCACACCCAGCTTTACTTTCAAATTGATGCAACATTGCATTTGAAAACATTTTGAAGATTACAAAGGTTGAAAATCATAATTATATATGTCCATAGAATTATCAAATAACTTCATGTTTAAATGGAGTAAACATTTTTAGAAACTTTAATAATTACCAAGTGAAAGAATCAATTAAAGTTGTGTGTACCTATGTTAGAGATTCTCGGGCTTAATTGTATCAGGTCAGCTTGGTTTGGGATTTGTCTACTCCTGCGACCTGCCATGAGAATCTTCTGCCCTGAGTAGTCAGTGTCCTTCAGGCTTGGCCTCAGATAAATGCAATCCATAGGCTGGAGACAAGCTCGATTCCCTGCAGCCGAACCAACCAGCTGAGCCCTGCCTTGGGATCAGCCAACTGATTATTAAAATGAACATTCAGGAATATGAAAATAAATACTTAGTGTTAATAAGACACTAAGAGTTTAAGTGGTTGATTGTCAATAATTATTGTGCAAAAACTGACCAATACAGTATTTATACATCTACCTATTTAGATAGATGCATTTTATTAAAATTGATGGCATAAATATGAATATTTATTAATCCATATATAGAGATACTAAGACAACATTTAAAACATTAAAACTTAATACCAATAAAAACCATGAAATTGATGTCATTTGGGGAAAATACATATTTGAGTGTATATAACATACATATTGGTGCATTTATATTTTTGAAAAATTATTGGTTGCATATACGTATATGTACACATATTTATCTTTAAATAAGTCTATTTAAGTATATTTATATATCCATATAGAAGTAACACATGCATATTTACAAAACAATTATATAAAAATGAAATCTGTGAAGGTGATTTCAGTTTCCCCCCATAAGAACACTGGTGCCCGAGACCTGGTGTAGTATCTGCTGTGGCTACAGAAAGTTCCTTTATAACCTTTAGTTATAAAATACTCACCTAATGGGTATTTACACCTTAAAATATTTTTCTAACTCAAGTGGAGGGGTAAAGGGTATGAATGGGGATAACTGCCTACTGTTAAAAATTAATCATTTCATCCTATGGAAGTCCAATCATGCATATGCTGCCAATGATGCCATGCTGGATGGAGTTCTCATAACTGGGTGCTGTATTGATGTCATACCACTGCCATGGTAAAGGATACCCTGGGAGACTAGCAGTCACAAGAGTGGGCAAACCCGAAGGGTGAAGTCACCGTACACTTTGCAAAGAGGGATTAGCAATTCCATAACATTGGCTATTGGTTTGGAGAGATCACCAGGCCTCAGAAGAAACAAAACTGAAGGACTCGAGACAAAGTTGGTTTGGAAGAGCTGTGACTGGATCTTTGAAAATACGTCAAGATCAAAAATAAATGCTTCCTAAGTGAATATTCATATCTATTCCATTACTGAGGACCAGCTCTTAGTAATTAAGACGATCGAATGCTTGGCCTTCAGTCAGTCAACTTTCCCAGATTTTTTAGGAAGTGACATGAACCATAGAAATCCATGCAGGAGCTCAACAATATGAATTTCAGTTAATGAGGCTTGCATACCTATGGCTCTTCTGAGCATTCAACTTGCCAAGTAGCATTACCCCTCCCAAACCACTAACATCTAACCACACATCAGTGATCAGACTAACAACGCGTGTCAAATGAGTACAGTGCACCTAACCCAGCATCCAGAGGACAGTGGTAGTTTTCCTGTATATGGATTTGCCTTTCTTGTCAGTCATGTTTCTGCCAGAATCATCACTTGGAAGTATCTATAGCAAAAAAAAAAAAAAAAAAGTGAAGCAACGTATATTCACGATGTTGTCATGTGTCCAGGGGCAGCTGTCCTTATAGAAAAGAGAAAATCCATTAGTAGTCAGGAAAAGCCAAAACACTAACCCTTGTAATGTCAAATCACTGTCTTACCAGATGTGCTGGAGGCCCTGAAACACTGATGTGTATGACGTTGTTACCCCCATTAACAGAATAGGAGAATCTGAGAGATGACTATTTATTATGGGTACAGAGAAGATTGAAATGTTGTTTCTATTCACTCTTGTCTGGTTTTCCAGTTGATAGTTCTTAATTCAAAGAATTAGCATGATAATTGTTGCATTAAATTGAAAAAAATGATGAACATGTGGCCATTTAGTTCTTATTATGGTTCAGGACAAACTTTGAACAAAGGGTCCTATGGTGTGGGCTGGGGACATACAACCTGATAATCAAGGAGAAATAGGTTTCCTTCTACATATTTTAGAGAGGAAGTAGAGAAAATGTGGAAGCTAGAAGAATTTCAAGATTGTTTTTATTTACTGACATTTCCTCTGGTAAAAATTTCTCTTAACTTCAACAGACTTCAGAATGAAGCTTTGAGTAACACGCAGCTGAAGCATCACATGCACTTGGATGCTAGTGCAGCAGAGGGGAGATGAAACACACAGTGAGCTTAGGAGATGAGAACAGCAAAGGCAGCCTCTTGGTCAGCTTGAGTTGAGAAGCACAAGAAACAGTCCATTCATTCCTTCTACTTGTTCTATCATTGAATCAGGTGACTATGAGAGAAGCCACTGTGCCTGGTGAGGCAAAATTGTGTTTATTTTGATGCATTAGGTGACTTAAAACCAGATGGAAAAAGCAGAGGAGTGAGTGCAGGCAGCTCCCAGCACTGATTTCACTCCTCCCTGATCAAGATATCACTCATCCTTGTCTCCATGATCAAGAAAATTCCAAGGCCAGGCGCGGTGGCTCACGCCTGTAATCCCATCACTTTGGGAGGCCAAGGCAGGCAGATTGCCTGAGGTCAGGAGTTCGAGACTAGCCTGGCCAATATGGTGAAACCCCGTCTCTACTAAAAATACAAAAATTAGAAAAGCATGCTAGCACACGCCAGTAATCCCAGCTACTCCGGAGGCTGAGCCAGGAGAATCACTTGAACCAGGGAGGCAGAGGTTGCAGTGAGCCAAGATCATACCACTACATTCCAGCCTGGGTCACAGAGCAAGACTCCTTCTCAAAAAACAGAAAGAAAGAAAAAGAAAAGTCCTCCTATTGTGACAGGAAGATGGTGAGGCAGGAGGCTGTGCCCACAGGACGGTGCTGTCTGATCAAGTTTCTTGATCCTGTGTGAATTTGCTTAGGATAATGGCCTCCAGCTGCATTCACGTAGCTCTAAAGGACCATTATTTCATTTTTAATTGCTGTGTAGTATTTCATGGTGTATATGCACCACATGTTCTTAATCCAGCCTACCTTTGATAGTCATTTAGGTTGATTTCATGTCTTTTCTATTGTGAACAGTGCTGCCATGAACGTATGTGTGCACATGTCTGTATAGTAGAACGATTTATATTCCTTTGGGTATAGATGTAATAATGTGATTGCTGGGTCGAATGGTACTTCTGTTTTAAGTTCTTTGAGAAGTCGTTATACTGCTTTCCACAACTGCTGAACTAATTTACATTCCCACCAGCAGTGTATGAGCATTCCCTTTTCTCTGCAACCTCACCAGCATCTGTCATTTTTTGCCTTTATAGTAATAGCCATCCTGACTGGCATGAGATAGTATCTCATTGTGGTTTGATTTGCATTTCCATGATGATTAGTGATGATGACCATTTTTTTATGTTTGTTGGCTGCTTGTATGTTTTCTTTTGATTAACTTCTTTTAGGTTTCCTTCTACCTATTTTAGAGAGGAAGTAGAGAAAATGTGGAAGCTAGAAGAATTTCAGGATTGTTTTTATTTACTGACGTTTCCTCTGGTAAAAGTTTCTCTTAACTTCAACAGACTTCAGAATGAAGCTTTGCGTAACGCAGCTGAAGCATCACATGCACTTGGATGTTAGTGCAGCAGAGGGGAGATGAAACACACGGTGAGCTTAGGAGATGAGAACACCAAAGAGTTGAGAAGCACAGGAAACAATCCATTCATTCCTTCTACTTGTTCTATCATTGAATCAGTTGACTATGAGAGAAGCCATTGTGCCTGGTGAGGCAAAATTGTATTTATTTTGATGGATTAGGTGACTTAAAACCAGATGGAAAAAGCAGAGGAGTGACCTCAGGCAGCTCCCAGCACTCATTTCACTGCTCCCTGATACGTGTCTGTTTCATGGCCTTTGCCCATTTTATAATGGAGTTGTTTCTTGTTGTTGATTTTTTTAAAATTTTTTGTAGATTCTGGATCTTAGACCTTTGTCAGATGCATAGCTTGTGAATATGTTCTCCCAGTTTGTAGGCTGTCTGTTTACTCTGTTGTTAGTGTCTCTTGCTGTAATGAAGTTGTGTAGTTTAATTAGATAGCACTTATCAATTTTTGTTTTTATTGCAATTGCTTTTGGAGTCTATGTCATGAATTCTTTGCCTGAGCAAATGTCAAGAATGGCATTTCCTAGATTTTTATTAGAGTTTTTAGAGTTTAGATTTTATATTTAAGCCTTTAATCCATCTTGAGTTGGTTTTTCTATATAGTGAAAGGTTTCCATTTCAGTGCATATAGGTACCAGTTATCCCAGCAGCATTTATTGAATAAGGGGGTCCTTTCTTCATTGCTTGTTTTAGTCAGCTTTGTCGAAGATCAGATGGTTGTAGGTGTGCGGTTTTACTTCTGAATCCTCTAGCCTGTTCAATTGGTCTAGGGTTCCTGTTTTTGTAGCAGTACTCTTCTGATTTAGTTACTGTAGCCTTGTAGTATATCTTGAAGTCGTGTAGTGTGATACCTCCAGCTTTGCTCTTTTTGCTTAGGATTTTTTTTTTTTTTTTAGCTCTAGTTTAGTTCCAAGTAAATTTTAGAATTTTTTTTCTAATTCTGTGAAAAATGTTATTGGTAGTTTCACAGGAATAGCATTGAATCTATAAATAGCATTAGGCAGTATGACCAGCTCAAAAGTATTGATTCTATCCACGCAGGTGGAATGTTTTTCCGTTTGTTTGTGTCATTTCTGATTTCTTTCAGCAGTATTTTGTCGTTCGTGTTGTAGAGATCTTTCACCTCTTTGGTAAGCTGTATTTCTAGGTATTTTATCCTTTTTATGCTTACTGTGAATGGGATTGGGCTCTGGGACTGGCTCTTGGTGTGAATGGTATTGGTATATAGAAATGCTACTGATTTGCGTAAATTGATTTTGTTTCCTGAAATATTGCTGAAATTATTTATGAGATCTAGAAGCTTTTGGGCAGAGAGTGTGGGGTTTTCTGAGTATATTATAGTATCGCCTGCAAAGAGAGATAGTTTGACTTATTCTCTTCCTATTTGGATGCCTTTTATTTTTCTCTCTTGCCTGATTGCTCTGGCTAGAAATTCCAGTACTATGTTGAATAGGAGTGGTGAGAGTGGGTATCCTTGTCTTGTTCTGGTTCTCAACGAAAATGCCTCCAGCATTTGTCAATTCTGTGGGATGCTGGCTGTAATTTTGCCATAAATGGCTGTTAATATTTTAAGTTGTGTAGTTTCATTGTCTAGATTTTTGAGGGTTTTTAGCATGAAGGGGCATTGAATTCTATCAAAAGGCTTTTCTGCATCTAATGAGATGATCCTGTAGTTTTTGTATTTAGTTCTGTTTATGAGGTGAATCTCATGTATTGATTTTTACATTTTGAACCAACCATGCATCCCTTGACTAAAGCCAGCTTAATTATGGTGGATTAGCTTTTGATGTGCTACACAATAATGTTTGCTAGTATTTTTTTCAGAAAGTTTGTGTTTATGTTCATGAGAGATAGCGATCTGAAGTTTTTATTTATTGTGCCTCTGTCAGTTTTTACTATCAGGGAGATGCGGGTTTCATAGAATGAGTTAGAGAGGAGATCTCCCACCTTGATTTTTTTGGAATAATTTCACTAGGATTGGTACTAGCTTTTTTTATATGTCTGGTAGTATTTGGTTGTAAATCCATTTTTTCCAGGACTTTTTCTGATAGGTGGGCTTTTTACTACTGATTCAATTTCAGAACTCATTATTGGTCTGTTTAGGCATTCAGCTTCTTCCTGCGAGATTCTTGGTAGATTGTTTCCAGCAATTTATGCACTTTTTTCTAGGTTTTCTAGTTTTTGTGCATAGAGGTGTTGGTTATAGGTTCCAAGGGTTTTTCGTTTGTTTGTTTGTTTTATTGCTGAGGGTTGAGTGATAATGTCCTGTTTGTCACTTCTGGTTGTTTTTCTTTGGATATTGCTTTTTTCTTTATTAGTCTAGCTTGCAGTCTATCAATCTTATTTCTTCTTTCAAAGACCTAACTTTTGATTTCACTGACCTTTTGTTTGGTTTTTCTCCTCTCTATTTCATTCAGGTCAGGTTTGATTTTGATTATTTCTTCTTCTACCTTTGGGGTTGGTTCACATTTGTTTTTCAGATTTCTCTAGGTATGACGTTAGGTTGTTAATTCAGGATTTTTCTAACTTTTTGTTGTGCACATTTAGCGCTATAAACTTTCCTCAGAACACTGCTTTTGCTGTGTCCCAGAGATTGTGGTATGTTGTCTCTTTTTTTTTCATTAGTTTCAAAGAATTTCTTAATTCTTACCTTAATTTCATTGTTTACCCAAAAGTCTGTAAGCAGCAGATTGTTAAATTTCTACTTAATTTTATGGTTTTTGAAAGATCTTTTTGGTGTTGATTTTTACTTTTTTTGCACTTCAGCCTGAGAGTGTGGTTGGTATGATTCCATTTCATTTTATCATTTTTATTTTTTGTATTTGTTGACACTTGCAGTATGGCTGAGAGTGTAGTCAATTTTAGAGTTTTTGCAACGTGTAGATGGGAAGAATGTATATTCTGTAATTTTTAGTGGTTGTTCTGTAGATGTCAGTTTGTTCCATTTTGTAAAGTGTCATGTTTAGGTTCTGAATATGTTTGTTACTATTCTGCCTAAATCATCTGTCGAATACTGTCAGTGTGGGTTGAAGTCTCACTCTATGATTGTGTGGTTATCTAGGTGTTTTTGTAAGTCTCTAAGAACTTATTTCACAAATCAGGGTGCTCCACTGCTGTGTGCTTATATAATATATTTAGGATAGTGAAGTCTTCTTGTTAAATTTAACTCTTCATTATTATGTAATGCTCTTCTCAGTCCTTTCTGATTATCGTTAGTTTTGTTTTGTTTTGTTTTGTTTTTTGAGACAGAGTCTCTCTCTGTCTCCCAGGTTGCAGTGCAGTGGCGCGATCTCGGCTCACTGCAAGCTCCGCCCCCCGGGTTCACGCTATTCTCCTGCCTCAGCCTCCCAAGTAGCTGGGACTACAGGCGCCCGCCACCACGCTCGGCTATTTTTTTTGTATTTTTAATAGAGACAAGGTTTCATCGTGTTAGCCAGAATGGTCTCGATTTCCTGACCTCGTGATCTACCCGCTTTGGCCTCCCAAAGTCCTGGGATTACAGGTGTGAGCCACCGCGCCCAGCCATGATCATTGTTAGTTTTAAGTCTGTTGTATCTGAAATAAGAATAGCAACCCCTGCTCTTTTTTGCCTTCCATTTGTTTGATAGATCTTTCTTTCTCCCTTTACTTTGAGCCTATGTGTAATCATTAGAAACCACCTGAAAGAACAATGACCAGTGCCTTGAATAATATCTTTTAATAAAGGGTCTCTTGTACCTAGTAAATACTAAGCTTATTTATTTATTTATTTATTTATTTATTTATTTATTTATTTTGTTGCCCAGTTTCGCTCTTGTTGCCCAGGATGGAGCGCAATGGTGCGATCTCGGCTCACCAAAACCTCCGCCTCCCAGATTCAAGTGATTCTCCTGCCTCAGCCTCCCAAGTAGCTGGGATTACAGGCATAAGCCCCCAACCCCCAGGTGATTTTATGTATTTTTAGTAGAGATGGGGTTTTTCCATGTTGGTCAGTCTGAACTCCCGACCTCGGGTGATCCGCCTGCCGCGGACCAAGAAGTGCTGGGATTACAGGCGTGAGCCACCACAACCGGCCTAAGCTCATTTTTAAAAACGTATTTTTTATGATGTGAATAAAAAATCTTTTAAAAGATAAATGATAAATCCATATCATAAGGGAAATCGTGATACTTGCTCATAATATTTGTACATAACTTTGTACTTCATCTCCTGCAGGTCTAGTCAGACCCTCCTGCATAGCAATGGAAACACCTATTTGTATTGGTAACTATAGAAGCCAGGCGAGTCTCCACAGCTCCTGATCTATGGGGTTTCCAATGGGGCCTCTGGAGTCCCAGACAGGTTCAATAGCAGTGGGTCAGGCACATATTTTAAACTCAAAATTAGCAGGGTGGAGGCTGAGGATATTCGACTTTATTAATACATGCAAGCTACATAATATCCTTGCACAGTGGTAACGCCTTGAACACAAACCTCCTTGCTGGGGTGTCCCAACTGCCCACATGAGCTGCTGTCTGGGAGCAGCTCTGCAGGGTCTCTGAGTCTGCGGAAGAGGAGGCTGTTGGGGAACTCAGGGAAAGGGTTTGCTGCTGAAGACTCTGGCTCATGAGAGCCTCAGCTGTGCCTCAGTCACATATGTTAAGGTCCCATCAGCTGCCATGGCCTGGGGAAGACATCATCAGGAGGAGAATTCTTGGGGGCCATGAGCCTTGGGAACAACCAGCTATGATGAAGGGAGAGTGAATGAAAGCTCATCCCTCCCTATCTTGCCTACATTTTTCAAGGACATTTACTTGTCAAAACAACCAGACCGTGGATGCAGATTAGTGACAACACAAGTGGAATACGTGTTGGAAATGACCAGCTTGGGGTTTATTTTATACAAGATGATACTTGGTCCTATTGAGAAATCATTTTTTTCATTTCATTCTCCCAACCTTGTATCTTTTTTAGCACTCGTACACTAAACTGCCCTCTCCAGTGTCATGCTGGAGAAGGTATTCTACACAAGCTGTCCTCAGGGGAGTGTGGCAAAAAATAATTAGTAAAAATGTTTAGGTTTGACTATTCATAGACTTGGTAAACACATGGCAAATAAAAGATCTCAATGCCAAAATACTTCAATTCTCCTCAATTACCTTCATCCCAGTGAAAGTTCTTCCAGTTACAAAAGTGAGCTTTGAAAATAAACAGAATGAACTCACAGATGGACAACATAGACTCACTAAATATGTCACATGAATAATGCAGAATTACATAATATTTTTTCTTCTTACCCCAGTTTTAAGAATTTAAAAAGCATTTAACCTAAGTACTGTTTTAGAGGTGACAAATTTAGTGGTGTGTCCCCATGAGAAAATATTTCAAACATTACCAAAATTCCTTGTTTACATATTACATCATCGTTCCTAGAAAATATATCTAAATCCTCTATTTTAGGTATAAAAGCAAAAAAAAGTAAGGTTTCAGTTGATTTCACTTAAAATGGTATTTTAAATTTCCATCAAACTTAATGATGAGTCATGTCAGTTACATGACAGAACATGGTGTGATAGAGACAAAAGAATGATTGAAGGAACAGAACAAGAAGCTTCTGCTTCAGCCTTAGGATTTGAAGTATATTGGAGATTATTTTCCATTCTGTGATAATGGATTCAATGGCCACTGCAACTAAAATTCCAAAGTGCCATTTCTATTAGGTTTCATAGATATAGGGCAAAATTTATGTAGAAATCAAGCAGACTGGAGCCCTCAAATTAAAAAACATTAGACACTTTTAAATATGCTATTTAAAAATCCTAATAAATACATCGTGGAGTGTAAATGATTTTACAGAATGCTATTTCAGAGAAACAAAGCGTAAGTAGCAAGAGCAGGAGCTGAGAAATGCCATCATCGTCTTTAGTACTCACGTGATTGACAGCACCTAGTCGCTGTAGATTCTGCTTTGATGTGAGACAGGGATAAGGTCTAAACTCACTCAAGATGTTTAGATGTATTTAACAAGGAAACAAACATACAGCCTACATGATTTTGATATCCCAAGGGCTATACTCTCAAATCAAAATGCTAAAAAAATGATATCAAAGACAGAAAGGGGATTCAAGAAGAACCAGAGGATAATCAAATTTATTACAAAGAAGCCTCAAAAGCTCAGAGCACAGCCTACCTCCTTCCTCACAGCCTCTGCCCCCATTCCCATTCCTCAGCAGCATGGGGTGGAGCGGAGAGGAGAGAAAGCTGTTACCCCTAGAGAGCCTCTCTTTTCTTCTAAAGACCTAAGAAAATTCCAGCTTTCCACCAGGGATAAATGTTCTTTTGCCTCAAGGATTCATTTGTGCAATTTTTTACTGTGTGAATCTCCTGATAAACTTGCATTTTTGTTCGTTTTAATTTGAATATATATTTACACAATATTTGGAAATAATTTTTGAACATATAATCATATTGTGGCAGCCTATAGAAGTTGTCATTTACTGTTGGTAATTGTTGCTAAAAAGTCATCTGCAAATGAAAGACTTTCATCTGTGACTAACACACCTCCTCTGAAAGGAATCTGGCTTTTTCGTCTCTTCAGGCTCTTTTTAAGCTCTTCAATTGGCCTTTGGCTTTTTCAACATGTAATTTATTCAGTTTAATTTATTATTTATGCAAAATTAATGAATTAGTTTTCCCTATTACAAAATAAAAAATCGTGTGTATTGCTATGTCAAACACCTGCCCCTAGATGGCAAACAAATTCCACAGTACAAAAAGAGAATGCCATGAACTAAGAAATACTGGGAATGTAAGGATGATGGTGTCTCACTGTCAACAGGGAGCCCTTTGGCTGGAACAGGGTCTCATGTGTGACCTGGAGCACCTGGGAGGAGCTGCCAGGGCTAAATGGTGGGGAAAATCTGCTCTGTGCTCTGTGCGCTGAGACTGGAAGCTGGGCCCTGACCCCCAGTGTAGCTGCGAGAGATGATCGAGGTAGATGGGGTTAAAGGAGGTCCTAAGCATGAGATCCCTTGCAATAGAATTAGTGCTCTTATCCGAATAGCAACCAGAGCTCTCCTCTTCCTTTCCTCCCTGTCTCTCCCTCTCTCTTCCCAACCCCCATCCCTTTTTCTCCATGGCTGTCTATGAACCAGGAAGAAAGTTCTTAACAGAATGTGTACCTGGTTGGACCTTGATCTTAGACTTCCAGCCACCAGAAATGTGAATATAAATTTCTATTGCTTAAGCCATCCAGGCTTTGGGATTTTGGCGTGGCAGTGCCAGCAGATTCACCCACCGTCCCAACCCTCTCTGAGCAGGATCAGCCTCAGGAGGCCCTCGTGGACATGGAGACACAGCTTTCCTCCTCTTCTGCTGCTGTCAGACTCTGGTGAGGAGGGAGGACTCAGGCTTCATCCTCAGTTTGGTTGCACTAAATACAAATGTTTCCTTCACCATCAGGTAACTAGCCTTTTTGCTTTCTGATTAGAATTACATCAAACTGCAGGAACAACTATGCCTATTTATACAAATGTACATATCACATTGTGAACCCAGAACATTTGAGACAGGTATAAGGTAATTTAGAAAGTTTATTTTGCCAAAGTTTAGGACACGTTCCTGTGACACAGCCTCAAGAGGTCCTGCAGGCATGTGGCCAAGGTGGTCAGAGCGTAGCTTGGTTTTAAACATTTCAGTGAGACATGAGACATCAATCAACATATATAAAATGAACATTGGTTTGGTCTGGAAAGGCAGGACAACTCCAAGCGAAAAGCAGGGCAACTGGAAGCAGGGAGGGGCTTTCAAGTCCCAGGTAGGTGAGAGAAAAACTTGCCTTCCTTTAAGTTTCTGATTAGCCTTTCCAGAACAGGTAATTAGATATGCATTTATCTCAGGGACCAGAGGGCTGACTTTGAAAACAATGGGAGGCAGATTTGCCCTATTCAGTTCCCAGCTAGAATTTTCCCTTTAGCTTAGTGATTTGGGGAGCCCAAGATATTTTCCTTTCACAATATTTATTCGTAATATAGATGCATAGTAGATACAAAGATATCACTGCAATTTACATCTATAATATTATACATATTTAATATACAAAGTTTGTTACAAATGCATATATACATATACACATAATTTTATGTTTATTTAGCACGTGCTCCTTTTTTTTTCTAACTATAACAGAATCAGGCTCAGTCAGGACTCTGCGGACATTTGCTGACCTCTTTGGCTCCAGCACAGTCCTGGTCATTGAGAGCCAGTGAGAACAGAGCTGAGAGCAGCCCACCCCAGGAGCTTGGGCCCAGCCCCAAGGCCCTTGTCTCTGAGACTTTCCTCCTGGTGGCAGGCTCTGGGCTTGAAGCAGTGCCCATGAGTGTGTGAGCAGTTTCCTTCCCTGAAGCCCCTGTGAGGCAGACCTGTGGGCAGAGCCTTTGGTTCCCAGGTCCTCAGCCCCTTGTCTCAGTAGAGCAGCTGCTTCCTCCACAGCCCAGGGCCAGAGCCCAGCAGCTTTCAGACAGTGCAAGTCTGACCTTAGCCCTGATTTAAGGATCTTATTATAAATGTCTCTACAAGTATTCTGGTAACTGAAAGTATGTCCTTGACTTACATAAATGCATAGGCTACATTTCCACAATTGCTGAAACTAACAAGGTCATGTGAGAAATTTAAAATTTGACTTCGTTTTCATCCTCAGGGCCCGGCTTCTTCGAATGTTGCAGTATGAAGATGCACCTAGCTTTTCTCCTCCTCATACAACTTTCCTTAAAAGCACAGTGGAATTTAAAATTTTGTCACCTACAGAGCAGCCACCCTCTCCTCTTTTAGTGTATAGGGCGCTGTCTCTGTCCTGCTGTGCATGACAAGGACACTGAGCCGCTCCCAGCCCAGGAAAGGAGCAAGGTTTAGGTGGACATGTGATCAGCTCCACAATGAGATGTCATGGGTGTGAAGGAGGGGCAGGACTTCTGGAGAAAATGGTGATCCGTCATAAAAAGAGGGGTGATGAAGAGCTTTGCCCTTCATTTCCTCTTTGGGCAGTTACCAGAGGACATGAAGCTTACAGTCCCTGCAGCCTTCTTGAGACCATGAGATGTTGAGCCCAAGACAGAAAAACCAATGTGGTCAAGTTTACCAAGCAGTAATGTAGAAAGAATCTGGGGCCTTTCTCCTGTCACCAAGCTGCTGTATTAACCCTGAATGTGCCAAACTTCAGATCTCTTCTCATTGCTTAAGCCATTGTTATTCTTTCACTTGTTTCTAAAATTATTGTCGCTTATCCTTGAATGATACTGAAGAAAAAGAGCCTCGTTGGCCATAGACCTGCCCTTTAGGAGAAGAAATGCATTATCATGCGTGTGTATGTGTGTGTTTGTGGGTGTCAAAGGCAGTAAAAGCAAGAACCAGAATAAGTGATGTCCTTTCCTGACATCTTGGCTCTGCTGTATTTATAGCTAAGGAAACCCAAACCACTGCAAAGAGTTCATAATTTCTGCTCTCTTCCTGTCTCAGTTTCATGTTTTATATCTTAAGGATGAACATCTTTTTGTTGTCCCTAATTCCTCCCTCCTTTATGATCATGAAATTAAAATAGTGGTCAAGAAAGAGACAAGAACACTTGAAGAAGACATAAAATCTGTGGACTGTACACATCTCCTCAACAGCGACATCATGCTAGCAGTTTTCTCCTTCTTCTCAGTGGTTTTTGATGGGAAGATGCTAACTCCTCCAACCAGGTATCTATCAGAGGTTGCGTTTGGAGGGCTTACAAAGAAAAGCTTCCAGGCAGTTAGTGCTGGATTCTGGGGAGTGTAGCAGGAGGGTGAGTCTGGATTCCCAGCATGGGGAGGCCAGAGTGAATTCTGAGAAAGGCTGTGCATGTGGGAAGAAAAGAATTAGAACTCAGAACTGTGGTCACAACCTTAGGAGCCAAAGAATGAGACACTAACACAAATGCAGCTCAGAGACAACTCAGACTAAAAGTGTTATGATCAATTGTCATCTTGTTTGTCTTTCTAATACCACACATAAAGAGTAGGTAGAATTGTTTACAGTGGAAGCTATGCACATGAAACCCCACTGCCCTTAGTGATGCACTTGCTTGTTGTAGAATAAATATTGAAGAATTTGAATTGAAAGTGATGTCTGGCTAGTAATATCTTACATAGCCTTTTTATTCCAGCATGGTCAAGGGTACATAAAAAGAGGACTGGATATATATATATTAGAAAGATAAACAAGATGACAATTGATCATACATATATATATATATTTACACACACACACACATACACACACACACACACACACACATACTTCAAGGCCCATCATCTGATTAAGTCCTCAGGAGACCCCTTGATATACACAGTGTTCCATTTCACAGATGAAGAAACCAATGATCAGAGCTCATGGATGGTTTATGCAAAATCACATGATCAGCACATGTGGGCTGGAATTTGAACCCAAGTCTGTGTGGCTTTATTATATTTCTTTCATGCAGCCACTTTCATCCCATAGTTGAGCCCACAGTCTATAATAAGGGAGAAGACACCGTAGGGACAGTGTGGACTCCACAGCTTCCTGCTCTCTCTGTCTTACACCATGCTGACCTTAATCGTAAACTAGCCCCATCTGCAGTTTTCCCTAGAAAACACAACTCTGTCAATGTCTTTGTGAGTTGCAAATGACTTTATTTTGGACTTGTGAGGAAGGACACATCTTTCTTTTCTCTGGCCCCTTCTACATCTCCTCTTTCTCTTCCAATTTCCCTGGCTCAGTCTGTCCCTCTCAGAATGTGTTCTGCAAGTCTAATTTGCCCTCCTAATATAAAAACAAACCAAAGAACAATCTCCCCTCCTCTCACGTGCTATGACAGCTGATCTCTAGGCTCTCAGATACCCAGATTGTTCCAGAGCCAATCAAGGGATCTGACCCAAGACATTTTCTGCCTTAGAGGAATTCTGGTGCTACCTCCTCTCAAAATAATATGTTCTCTGTCTTTTCAAAATTGACGGGAAATTATTACAAGGTGAAGATATTTGGGAGAACAAGAACAGCCATGCACTGAGGAGATAAAAGCCATCTCTTCCTCTTGCATTAATATCCTATTGCTGTTGGAACAAATTAGTATGACCTCACTGGCTTCATACAACACAAATGTATTATCTTACAGTTCTGAAAGTCAGAAGTCTCACTGAACTAAAATCAAAGAGTGAGCAGGGCTGTATTATTTCTGAAGGCTCCAAGGAAGAGAATTGGATACTAAGTTTTCATCTTCAAGATCTCTCAGATTCCTTGCTTCTTGGCCCCATTCTGCCACAACAGCATTCCCCTCCATTGTCCGGGCTCCTCTCCAATTGTGACCCTCCTGTATTTTCTATTATAAGGACCTTGTGATTACATTGGTTTGAGACAGGCAATCTAGGATACTCTCCTCATGTCAAATTTCTTAACTGAATCACATCTGCCGAGTTCCTCTTGACATATAAGGTAACATTCATAGATTCCAAATATTAGGACATAAATATAATTAGGGTGGGGGGTCCTTATTTATCCCCAAAACAACTCCCATTATTCCCACAACTGCCCACCCCTAAAGTCAAATGAAAATTCACAAGGCTGTTTTATGAGGCAAGGAAGCAGGAAATAATTTGTGATTTGGAGACTCTCTGACCTGTGGGTTTTAAGAGTAGGGGTTAGTTATTCCACCGCCTCTAATGTGGACCTCATGGTGTGCTGCTATTTTTTTTTTTTTTTTACTGAGACAAAGTCTCTCTCTCTGTTTCCCAGGCTGGAGTGCAGTGGTGCGATCTTGGCTCACTGAAACCTCCGCCTCCCGGGTCCAAGCGATTCTCGTGCCTCAGCCTCCCGAGTAGCTAGGATTACAGGTGCCTGCCACCATTCCCCGCTAATCTTTGTTTTTTAGTAGAGACGGGGTTTCACCATGTTTGCCTGGCTGGTCTCAAACTCCCGACCTCAGGTGATCCACCCACCTCGGCCTCACAAAGTGCTGGTATTACAGGTGTGAGCTACCTCACTCGGCCTGTGTGCTGCTATTTTAAGAAGCTTCTTTTATTTTGTGAGTCAGAAGAAAGGGATTACTGCATAAATCAAATTTAAGATAGATGGGCAAAAAGAAATTTAGTGTTTTCTGATTTTTGTATGCATCAAAAAAGGAGAAATAATAAGAACTAAGACAAGAGGCCAGGTGCAGTGGGTCACGCCTGTGATCCTAGCACTTTGGGAAGCTGAGACAGGCAGTTCACCTAAGGTCAGGGGTTCGAGACCAGCCTGGCCAACATGGTGAAACCCCATCACTACTAAAAATACAAAAATTAGCCGGGCGTGATAGCAGGCACCTGTGATCCCAGCTACTTGGGAGGCTGAGGCAGGAGAACCACTTGAACCTGGGAGCCAAAGGTTGCAATGAGCCAAGATTGTGCCATTGCACTCCAGCCTGGGCAACAAAACAAGACTCAGTCTCAAAAAAAAAGGAGAGACAAGAGATGTAGCCCTCCCAAGAACTGGGATTTGTCCACTGTGTTGGGTTGTGTCCACCAACAAGAAGGATTTCTATGCATGCAGCATATTTACAATGGGAGGGAAGGAGGAAAGTGAGGCAGAGAACAGAGGTTGAAGGTTAAAGTCACCTCAACAAGCCACCTAACTCTTAGGATAACTGAAGCTCAACCCCATTTGGAAACACGGGGAAAATGTCCCTGGGCTATTCTAGCTGAGAGGGGAGGGAGCTGGGGTATGTATACATATCCTTCTGTCATCACCAATTGAGGGCTGTCTGTCTAAGTCTGTTTTGTGCTGCTATAACAGAATACCTGAGACTGGGTAATCAGTAAAGAACATTCTGTCACATTTCTGGAGGATGGGAAGTCAAAGATTGAGTAACTAGCAGCTTGGGATCCAATTTCTGTGCTTTCAAGATGGAATTTGAATGCTGAGTCCTTCAGAGAGAAGGAAGGCCATGCCCTGGCCTGACAATAGCAGAAGTGAGAGACTGGGAGCTCGCTCTCATAATTGAGATAGTTCAGGGATCTGACCCCTTCTTAGGGGTCTTTGAAGCTTCCCCAGACATGGAAATAAAGGAAAATCTTGGGTCTTTTCAAGGGAAATGTTAGGTGTCCAGCTAAGCCTTGAGAAGTAAACAAGCAACATGAGAAGCAAGGAGATGATAATAGACTAAAACAATAGTCAAAGAAGCTAAAAATCACATTATGTTTTATTCCTCTACAGAAACTAAAGAGAACATCTCAGCATATGTCTCTGAGTTGTTTTTCAGAAACCCAGATCTCCAACAAATGGATCCGCCAGCACATAGACTTCACATAAGGGGAAACAGGGGACTGAAATTTGACCATGGTTCTTTGTTCTGAATTTCCACCTGAGGGGCCTGGAGAAAGTCACACCCACAGGCCAGAGCCAACATTCCTTTGTGCTGACCCCAATTTTTAAACAAAGCTTTTCTTCCTTAATCAATTGCACATCAGAAAATTTTTCAATCTACTCATGACCTGTAAGATATTCTGCTGCTTCATGATATCCTGCCCTCTTAGGCCAAAGCCAATGTGTAACCTCCATGTATTGATTTACAATTTTGCCTGTAACTTTTGATTCCCTGAAACTTACCTGGGCTTTTAAAAGCCATTATTTGTAAGCCATTAGAGAGATCAAGATTTAAGCATTAGCTGTCTGGTCCTCTTTGCTTGACGTCCTGCAAATAAATGTCTTTTTTCTCCTACTGCAAACTCAGTTTGGATAACTGGTTTTACTGCACTGAGCAAGCTGAATCCAGTTTGGTTCCATAATAAAAGCCCTTTTTATAGTAGCATTAATCTATTCATAAGGGCAGAACCTTCAGTATTTAAACACTTCTCATTAGGCCCCACCTCTCAATTCTGTTGCATTATGGATTAAATTAACAGTGGATGAAATTGAGGGGATACAGTGAAACCATAGCACTGTCTGAGGAAAGACTCATTCCAAGCCCTGTGGTCTGCCATGCGTGTAGGCGGAGCTGCCTTTCTCAGAGAGGGCAGAGATGGCCATGGGGAATCAGCAGAAGTACGGTGAAAGGGAAAGTCCTCAGTGCAGACAGGGACTGCTCCAACCGTTTAGAAAAAAGCACCTGTATTTTCCACCTGGAGCTGCAACCTTCTGGAATGGTGTTTCCTGGCAGGTCAGTTGCAAATGAAGGAATCTGGGAAGTAACATCTCAAGATATGCTACATTGGTATTGTGATTGCTTCAAACTGAAGGTGTTTAGAAAACAACAAATATATAAAGGGGCTTTTCCTAAATCTCCCTTACCTGTCTAAGGGCAGTTTCTCCAGAAGGAAGCCAATTGTCATGAAAACCCTCCCTGGGAATGTTTATCTACCAGGGAATATTAACATGCACTAGAAGTTAAATCCAGAAAAGATTGAATGTTGACTTTATCCAGACAGGCTACTACCTATCCTTTTCAGGACCCTTTTCTTTTATTTTAGGTTATTTACTCTCCCTTAGTTGTCTATACTCTCTACTTCCCTCTTCCCTATAAAGGATGTAGAAGCACCTGGACCTCACTGGGTTATTTGGGTAATCCCTCTCGTGTGTTATCCCCACACCCCCACCCCACATGTTAAATACATTTGTTTGCCTTTTTTTCTATTAATTTGTCTTTTGTCTATTCATTTTCAGCAAACCTTTAGAAGGTTTGCTTTTCTCTTTCCCCTTTTCCCTCTACAAAAGCAAGTTCCCTTAACATTCAGGTCCCTGAATAGACAGAAGGAGGGTGTGTGCAGAGCTTACACCACAGTGATTTGACCACTCCTAGTCAGGCATGAGTAATACTTTCCAGAACCCAGGCTACAGCCCACAGACGCTGATGTAGTTGAATGCTGCTGCTGAAGCAGGCTGAGATGTCTTGGGCCCTGTTAGAGATGTGAGATATGATTGGGTGCAAATCCATTACCAGTTTTATTAGGATCCAATTAATTTCTCCATATGTATGGAAATTTGCTTGATAAGAGGTGGAGACTCTGTTCTGGATGTGAGACAGGAGGCTGGTATGTGGATCAGAATGATGTTCCCACTCACTGCTAAAAAGTAAAAGAGGAAAGTGGCATTCATCGTGCAAGGCAGGGACATGCACTGAGCAGCAGCTGCCCTCACTGGGAGGGAGGACTTACTGTCCTGATCTTTTCCAAAGTCTCTCCATCACCTGCTCTCCAGAAATCCAGGATTCAGAGGAGCTGTACCTGAGCACCCAGGAACATGCTGGTGGGGAGTTCAGCATTACTCAGGGGATGCAATCTTGGTCTTCCTACTTGTGGAGACAACTGAACCCTGGATAATTTCAAGTTTATCCTAATCCAGACTCTGATAAATGCAGGAAGAAACTAGTTATTTAAGTCAATCAGATCTGGCATCACTAGTCAGCTCTTCATGCTGAGAACCCCTGGGAAATAATACTTAATGGCAGAAGAGAGGGTAAAATATAGAGATCACCAAACCAAAAATAAGATGCAGCTTATATAATCTCTGGGTATTAAGGTGGCTTACAGGTTTAAATAATGGTGAATCTGTGAGTGATACCGGCCTTGAGGACTTGTGGTTTCATTTTTATGCATCTGTAGTGAATTGCGTGACCATACAGTCATGTAAGAATGGCTTAAGGTCATTACAAAATACTTTCAAATATATTTAGCATTATCTTGTAAAATTGTCTCTTTTTTTTAAGAAGGAACCATTTCACTCTCACAGAAATGTTATAAGTATGGAACAAAGTATCCTCTCCTTTGCAGAGTATATTCAAGACTTGATGTTCCCACCCTCTAAAACTTTACTGAGTTTCCTACAAATAAAAATATTCCCCTGGCTGGACGTGGTGGCTCATGCCTGTAATCCCAGCACTTTGGGAGGCTGAGGCGAGGGGGTCATCTGAGGTTAGGAGTTCGAGACCAGCTTGGCCAACATGGTGAAACCCCATTTCTACTACTAAAAATACAAAATTAGCCTGGCATGGTGGTGCGCACCTGTAGTCCCACCTACCCTGGAGGCTGAGGCAGGAGAAATCGATGGTACCTGGCAGGTGGAGGTTGCAGTGAGGTGAGATCGTGCCACTGCACTCCAGCCTAGGTGACAGAACGAGACTCTGTCTCAAAAAAAAAAAACCTTAATTAATCCCCATATACAAATAGAAAACATTACTTCATCGAGTACTCAAGAGTATTTCAAATATTAACAATTATTAAAAAAAAAAGTTCTTTGTTACAAAACGGCCCCAAGAGGAAACATGTTCTTACAGACAAATCTGTGCTACCCTCCTCTGACTTGGGACACTGGGGACACGAGGGACTGGCTCAGAGATGAGCCAGCCCCGCAGCTGTGCCCAGCCTGCCCCAACCCCTGCTGATTTGCATGTTCCCAGAGCACAGCCCCCTGCCCTGAAGTCTTCTTAACAGGCTGGTCACACCCCGTGCAGCAGTCAGTCCCAGTCAGGACACAGCATGGACATGAGGGTCCCCGCTCAGCTCCTGGGGCTCCTACTGCTCTGGGTCCCAGGTAAGGAAGGAGAACACTAGGAATTTACTCAGCTGGTGCGCTCAGTATAGCCTGGCTCTTCAGGGAGGTCTTCTTATAACATGATGGATTGAATGGATGTTTGTTTTTATATTTCCAATCTCAGGTGCCAGATGTGACATCCAGTTGACCCAGTCTCCATCCTCCCTGTCTGCATCTGTAGGAGACAGAGTCACCATCACTTGCCGGGTGAGTCAGGGCATTAGCAGTTATTTAAATTGGTATCGGCAGAAACCAGGGAAAGTTCCTAAGCTCCTGATCTATAGTGCATCCAATTTGCAATCTGGAGTCCCATCTCGGTTCAGTGGCAGTGGATCTGGGACAGATTTCACTCTCACTATCAGCAGCCTGCAGCCTGAAGATGTTGCAACTTATTACGGTCAACGGACTTACAATGCCCCTCCCACAGTGTTACAAGGCATAACATAAACCCCCCAAGGAAGCAGATGTATGGGGCTGGCCTGCCCCAGATACTCCTCCTACTGCCTCCAGCTGCTCAGAGCGTTTCTCATATTCCAGTCAAGCTTTGAAAGTCACTGAAAAGTTTTGATGGAAGGGGCCATGAAGACTCTGAAACTGCCTTTGCAAAAATCATAACTGAGAAAATTATGACGGTGGAAGATATTACACAGCCAGCTCTGTGTGAATTACTCTTTCACTACTGCTATTGCCGTGTCTTGATAAATCGACTCTGTCTAAGCAGCAGGCAAGGTGAACCCCTTGGGCGATTACAACTCCTCTATACCTTAACTGTTTTTCCTTCTCATCCCCTGCAGCACAAACATGGTAATACTGTTCCTGATTTCATTAAGAAAAGAGACGATTACACCTGAGTCTTGGCTATGGTGTGAGTTGGAATCAATACCACAAAGGAAAACCTACTCTTGGAATTCCAAGTCTATTTTTTTTTTTCTAAATACACGCAATGAGAGTCTAAACTACAGCCTCTGGGAGGCTTGGGAGCATGGTACTCAAAGATGCAAATAATTAGAAAACGATTCTCTGGATCTCCCCAAGAATCCAGAGAGCATCTGGTGCAGAAGGTATAATTGCCAATCATGTGGTCCTCAGACATGTCTGGGAAGCCCATGTTCGGGGCTGTTGATGCGCTGCCTGGAGGACCTTCCTGATTTTCTATGGCATCTGCTTACAATTGACCAGCCCCCTATTCAAAGCTTGCCGTGTTGCATCTCAACTCTTGTCCGTGGGACCCCAAGTCTCTAGCCACATCCAATTCTTCACAGAAGCTGGATGTATGTGCCAGGGCAAGGAGAACTGGGTGGGAGGTGAGTCTGTGGGCTCCACAGCTTCACGTGTTTATGAGGTAGGAGTTATTAAGATATTATTTTAGGCAGATAGAGAGGAAAAAAGGGATCCTTGGGAGACTTTTCACAGCTGTTGTCTAGCATGAAAGCCCTGGGTCTTAGCCCCGGGCAGGCAACCTTTTATATGCAAATGCAAGCCGTTAGAAACTGGGTCCATCCAACATGCACCCAACATGGTGATTTCCACCGTTGTCCTCTTGCCCTTGCCCCAACATGCGCCTGGCAGCATGGTTGCCCCTACATATCCCCACGTGTGTGGAACATCATGGCGCCCTGTATTTGCATATTAAAAGGCTAGGGTGGGAGGGCCAGTTCTTTCGAGGGCTACCGTGAATGACATGTCTGGTCAAACCAATACCCTGAGCCCTGTGCAAATCAGACACCGCCTCCTCCAGCCATCAAATATAGCTGGCTGATATTACCTGAAAGAGTGGTTCGTCCCTCGGCTTTGGAGCCCCCCTCCCTCTGTCTTTGTACAGGGGAGCTTCATCCTTCTTTCTTCCCCCTTCTTTCTTGCCTATTAAACTCCCTGCTCCTTAAAACTATTCTAAGTGTGTCAGTGTCATTTTTTCTCATTTGACTCGAGACAAAGAACCTGGTGTCCTCTACTCATCAGAGCAGTATCATTTATTCCAACATGATAGAGTCACATGGTCTATGCCCAGGGAAAAGAATTCATATTTTTGTCTTATGAATAATCAAGGTTCACCTCCAGGGAACAATGAACAGTACTCTGATTAAGATCTTGAAAAAAAAAAAGAGTTCCCTTCTGGCTGGTAAATAATGGGTTTATTTTAGAAAGTCTACTTTCATGACATGAATCAAAACTTGAAAAATGTAACTATAAATCAATATCATAAAAGAAATCATGAAAGTTGTTCATAATGGAAAGCCAGCCTTTATCTCCTGCAGGTCTAGTTAGAGCCTCCTGTATAATAATGGAAACACCTATTTGTATTGGTACCTGCAGAAGCCAGGCCAGTCTCCACAGCTCCTGATTTATGAGGTTTCCAACCAGGCCTCCGAATTCTCAGACAGGTTCAGGGGTAATGGGTCAGGTACTGAGTTTACACTGAAAGTCAGTAGGACGGAGACTAAGGATGTTGGAGTTTATTAGAAAACTTGAACTTCCATCAATGATAAATATTCCTTTTGCCTCAAGCACATATTTGAGGAATTTTCCATTGAGTAGATCTACCGATAAGGTCACATTTTTCTGTCTGTTTTAATCTGAATATGTATTTATATGATTCTCAGAAATGTTTTTTGACTATGAAATTATATTTGTGAGACCTTTTTTCAAGTTGTTGTTTACCATTTGATAATTACTGCTGAAACGTCATCTATTAAAAAAAATCGGTCATCCGTTCTCTAACTCTCATTGAAAGGAATTTGCCTTTTTAAACCCCTCAGACTCTTTTTAAGCTTTTCAATTGGCCTTATCTTTTTTTTACAGATTCAATGTATTAAGTCAATTTATTATTTATGATAAATTTATTTATTTATTTATTTTTACTATCACAAAATTTAAAAATCCTGTAAGTTGCTATGTCAAACCTGCCTCTAGATTGCAAACAAACCCCACAAAAAAGAGAGTACCATTATCTTAGAAATACTAGAAAAGCAAGAGTGATAGTGTCCCATTGTTAACAGGGACCCCATAAGGCTAGAATAATGTCCCACATGTTACCTGGGGCACCTGGGAGGAGCTGCCACTGTGCTGAATGGTGGGAAAAAGCCATCTGTGCTCTGAGACTGGAAGCCTGGCCCTATTCCCCTATGTGGATGTAGGAGATAATTGGGGTTATAAAGGGGTAATTACGGTTAAATGAAGTCATAAGGGTGGGGCTCTGATCCAATAGGATTAGTGTCCTTATAAGGACAGAAACCAGAGAACTCTTCTCTTTTCCTTTATTTCTCTAACTCACTGCTTCCCTATGGAAAGGCCATGAGAAGACATGGTGAGAAGGTGACTACCTGTAAACTAGGAAGAAGGTTCTAACCAGAAAGTGAACCTTGCTGGAACTTGATCTTGGACTTTCCAGGCTTGTGAACTATGAGAATAAATTTCTCTGGTTTAATCTACCCAGCCCAGGGTATTTTGGTGTAGCAGTGCAAGAAGGCCCATCCACTGTCCCCACCCTCTCTGAGCAGGATCAGCCTCAGGAGGCCCTCATGGACATGGGTGCCCAGCTTTGCCCCTCTTCCTCCTGCTTTTCTGACTCTCTGATGAGGAAGAAGAACTCAGACTTCGGCTTCAGATAGTTTGTATTAAACATGAACATTTCCTTGATAATGAAGTTATAGTTTGTTTATCTTTCTGTCACCTGCAGGGCCAGGTGATACAATTTCAACAAAAGTATATCAATTTCTATACAATTGTACATATTATTTTAATGTGAAATGTAGAAACATAGCGTATACATCTATCTCAATATATAATTAATATTCAAAATATTATATGTATTTAATAAAGTTTACATAATATGTATGCATATATTATTTGTTGAGCATGTGCTCTATTTCTTTGTCATCAGAACAGAATCTGGCTCAGCAAGAGCCCTGGGGACATTTGCTCACCCTCTCCCTTTGCTTCCAAGAAGGTCCTGACTGCTTATATACAATGAGAACAGAGCTGAGAGCAGCCTACTCCAGGAGCCCAGGCCCAGCTCTAAGGTCCTGGTTTCTGAGGCTTTCACCATGGCCCCAGGCTCGGGCTTGGTGCCGCGCCCATGAGTGTGTGAGCAGCTTTCTTTCTTGAATCCTTTGCCAGGCAGCCCCATGGACAGGGCCTGTGGTTCCTCCCAGGTCCTCAGCCTCATAGTTCAAGAAAGCAGCTGTTTCTTTCACAGCCCAGGGCCAGAGCCCAGCAGCTCTCGGTCAGTGCAGGCCTGACCTTAGCCCTGGTTTGAGGACTTTATTTCTAATCTCTTCTCTTTTATTCCAGTACCTGAAAGTCTGTCCTGATCTTAATTGCATAAGCCACATTTCCAAAACTGCTGAAGCTAACATTGCCATCTAGAATATTAAAAATTTGACTTCACTGTCATCCTCAGGGCCTGGCTTGTTCCAACTCCACCAGACCAAGAGGCTCTTGAGATCTCTCCTCCCCACACAACTTAATTTAGAAGCATAGTGAGGTTTAAATGTTGCCAAGCTCTTGACACTCTCTGAGCAGCCATCCCCCTTCTCCTTTGGTGTAGAGGGCACCAGCTCCTTTCTGCCATGCCTGGTGAGGACAGTGAACCTCTCTCAATTTAGGGCTGGAGTGAGGATTAAGAGCATGTGTGGTCACCTCCACCATGAGATGGTAGGGGAGTAGGTGGGCAGGGCTTCTGGGGAGAATTTGATTCCTCATAAATAGAAGGAAGGTGAAGAATTTTGCCCCACATTTTTTCCTGGAAGAGTTTTTAGTGGATATGACACTAATGTCCTTAGCTTAGAGCTGTTGCAGTCCTCTGGAGATCATGAGGACTTGAGTCCAAGACTGAAAATCCAATGTGGGGAAGGTGAACCTGGTTTCCTCATGCTGCCCCCAAGCTGCTGCACCAACCCTAATACTCCAACCTTCAGACTTCTGATCTTTGCTTAAGCTTTTGCTATTGTTTCTTTCCATTGCTTCTAAAGTTACTTTCATTTATTTTATTTCATTTATGAGAAAAGGTACTCAAGGGAAGAAACAGAGCCTTAAATTTGCTCTTTAGGAGAAGACAGGCATTTTTATGTGTGTGTGTGTTCATGGGAGTCTGAGGCGTGAAGGGCAGGAATTGTAAGTGCAGTGCTCCCCTGAGATCTTGGTCATTCTATGCCCATGGCTAGAAAAACTCAAATCACTTTGAAGAACTTATAAATTCTGCTGTCTTTCCCTCTCCATTCCTCTTTTTATATCCTAAGCATGAAATAAATGCCTGTTCTTAATTCCTCCCTGCTCCAAGATCATACATATATAATTGTGGTTAAGAAACAAAAATAGTTGGAGAAGACATAGAAACAGGGGATTTTATGCATTTCATTAACAACAAAGTGTGTTTGCAGGTTTCTCTTTCTTCTTAGCACTTTTTGCTGGGAATGTTACTGGTTAAAGATATTCTAGTTGCTAGTGGCAAATCCGTATGAGTCTGCAGCAACCTCAATCCTTGGCCTGCGGCAACCTCAATTCTTGCCTCCTCAGAAGAAAGAATGCGACTGAGGGGCATAAGGGAGAAAAAGAGACCAAGGTAAATTTCAGAGCAGAAGTGAAAGTTTATTGAAAAGCTTTAGAACAGGGGAGAAAGGAAAGTACACTTGAAAGAGACCAAAGTGGGCGACTTGAAGAAGAAGTCCGGTGTTTAACCTTGATTCTAGTACTTTATAGGCAGGTCTCTTTCCCATGATTCTTCTCTTAGGGTGGGCTGCCCGCATGCGCAGTGCCCTTCTTACCCTTGGGAGGTGAGCATGCTCAGTGTGTTCAGAAAGTTGTACACATGCCTATCTGAGGCTTCCTTCCCTTTTCTGGTGGTGTGCCCCTGGAAGGTCATACTTCACTGTTTTGTATTTATATTTATGTATAAATATAAATTTATGTATATATAAATTATATTTATACATAAATATAAATATGAATACATACATATAAATATACAAATATATAAATATAAATATACATAAAGTATAAATGTGAATACAAAATATAAATTTATTTATAAATATAAACATTTTATTTTTATTTTTGTATTTATATTTATTGTATTATTTATTTTAACATGCCTGGGAAGTTGCATTTCCCTGGTGCTTGCATTCAATTAACACCTTAGTGCAAAAGGTGTGGACCATCAGGAAATGGCCTCCCTCTAGTGCCAGCTGCCAACTTATCACTTTTAGAGAGGCAATGTGATCATTGCTGAACCATCACCCCACATTCCTAGTGGGTGGGGAAAGAGACCTCTCCTGCCCATCTCATGCCTGTCTAACTGCCCGTAACAGGAAGATGCTGACTGCTCCAGCCAGGTTCCTGTTAGAGGTTGCATTTGGAGGGTTTACAAAGAAAAGCTACTGGCAATTAGTGCCTGATTCCAGGGAGGGTGGCAGGACATTGGGTCTGGATTCTCAAAATGGAGGAGGCCAGAGTGAGAAAGGCTGTGGGTGTGAGAAGAAAGACCTTAGAACTCAGACCTGTGGCCACAGCCTTAGGACCCTGAGAGTGGGGACCACTTATCAAGGAACAAGGAGCAAAGAAGAAGTTGGGTAATATTTGAGGGATTATCTTGCAGGTGGAAGATAATGGAGGTTTGCATTGGGGTGAAGTGGTGGGGTAGAAGTCGGGGGAGTGGTCAGGTTTGGGACACATTTGGGGTCTATGATTATTGTCTGCACTTCGTTCATTACAAGGCACTTGGTGCAATGAGCAGTGCATGCAGCGCTTATAACTATTCTCGATTTTTTCATTATTATTTATTTATTTTTCATTATGATTTATTTTTATTGAGAATTTCTCTGATTGCTGGTGCTCAGGAAGAAGGTGTCTCCTTTCTTCTGAGGCTTTGTCTGAGTAAGCAAGATTTTTGCCTCTACTGCACGCTTTCTTTCCTGATTGTCCCTCTCTTCTGAAAGGCGATGGCCCAGGTGCTCCACTACTGAGAGTCTCAAGCTCTTACCCAAAGCCCTCAGTCTAGAGTTTTTGTTTTTTGCCGTCATGTTATCTTCTTCTTTATCAGCTTAGCAATTTAAAAAATTACTTTTTTTCTTCTGATTTGTAACTATTAAAAATTCTGTCTTAGTTAATCCTACCTATTACCTTCAGAGCAAGTAATGGACTAGCAAAATAGTATTAGGAGATCCAAATATGTGTGTTCAGGAAGAAATATGAGGAGGCAGGCTGTTCCAGAGTGCTCTGTGCAGCTGGCCCTGCAGAGTCCCTCTGTGTGGCCCTATCACTGACTGCCTTCTGTGAATCAGATATTCTGATGAAAGTCCTGGTGAATCCTGTAGCCAGGGGCCACCTACACCCTCCATGAAGACCAAATCCTATAGTCAGGGGCCACCCACACCCTCCATGAGGGCCAAAAGCCTCTGAAGACAATAAGAGGTCGAGAGAGTCATAGCTCATGACTGTCCTCTGTAGAGACAGCTTCTTCCCAGATGGCTGAGGGCTGTCTGTGGCTATGTCTTTTCTTGTACATGATAGCGGGGACTGGGCAGATCTCTATGCAAACCCGAGCAAGACCTTCCTGTGTGTTCCTCTCTGAACTCTGAACCTAGGTGGCAGTGGATACACTTAGGGAAGTGGAATGATTTGTGATCATAAGAAAGGGAGGGAAGAAGGGGGAGAGAGTGAGCGAAAGACATAGAGAGAGAATGTAACGTGTGTACAGTACCGACACTGAAACTGGGTCCTGTAATGGTTTAGCACTGAGTATCACCCCCACATTATCAGGTTCTTTTCCATGGAGCCAATTAATGTAACTGGTATGGGAAAAAGACCTTTGCAGGTATAAATTAAGAATCTAGAAACAGGGAGATTATCCTGGATTGACCAAGTGGACCCTAAATGCAATCACAAGTATCCTCCTAAGAGTGAGATAGATTGAGATTTAACACAGACAGAAGAGAAGGCAATGTGGCCACAGAGACAAAGACTGGAGGGGTATGGCCACAGTCAAGGAAAGATGCAGCCATTAGGAGCTGGGGGAGGCAAGAATAGACTCCCTCCTGGAGCCTCTGAAGGAGCCTGGCCGCCAAGGCCATGATCTTGGCCCAGAGATACTGATTCTAGATTTCTGGCCTACAAAAGTATGAGAGAGTAAACTGTTTTAAGCCATCAGATTTTTGGAACTGTGTTACAGCAGCCCAAGGACACTAATAAGAATGAAGTGCAGGGAAAGTGCAGATGAAACGTGCTCTGGTGGTTTTCAGTCTTCTTGTTCAACTTTCTACTGCTACACATAAATAGATTGATGGGAGAGGATATGGTGGGAAAACATTTACGTGAAACTTCACTGTATAGAGAGAGAGAGATCTATTAGTTAGAATAAATATTGATAATTTTTAGTTGAAAGTGACATCTGACTAGTAATATCTTACATAACGTCTTCATTCTAAGACAGTCAAGGATGCATGAAATGGACACCGGGTACTCTCTCTCTCTCTCTTTCTCTCTTCATGGGTCATGATCTGGTGAAGCCCTCAAGACACTGCTTGATATCCACAGTACTTCATTTTACAGGTAAGAAAACTGCCCATCAGAGTGCAGGGGTGATTTCCCAAAGTCACATGGTCAGCAGAAGTAGGGACTGAGATTGGAACCCAGGTCTGTCAGAACTTATATATGTTCCTTCCACATGGCCACATGTATGTATACACCTCCCCTGTCCTTACCGATTGAGGGCTGTCCTAGGGGATGCTATTCCAGACACTGTGGTCTGGCATGCATGCAGGCAGAGCTGCCTTCCCCAGCTCAGAGAGAGCAGCAGCATGACCATGGAGTCTGCCCATCTCAGAGAGAGCAGCAGCATGACCATGGAGTCTGCCCAGCTCAGAGACAGCAGCATGACCATGGAGTCAGCAGAAGTACAGTGAAGGGGAAAGGCCAAGGGTAGCAAGAGAGACGGCTACATTCAGAAAAAAAAGATGTGTATTTCAATCTAGAGCCCTATGTCTTGAACCTGGATATTAGTAGGCTGTTTACTGGCCAGTTCTCTTGAAATCCAAGCCCCCGGAAAAGCAGCAGAAGGTTTGTGCACAGACTGCACCACTGTGGTGGGACCATGCGTGATCATGAATGAGTAATACTGCCTGGAGTACCCGGGCTCCAGCCCACTGATGCTGATGTAGTTGGTTCCAATTCCCCTGCTGCTGAATCAGGTTGGGATGCCCTCAGCATAGGCAGAGGTATGAGGTACAGAGGTTCAAATTTGTTTCCAAGTTTTATCCATTTTCAGATATATCTCTGTATACATCAGCAATGACTTGGCCAGGGATGGAGACCCTGTGTCCTGGCTGTGAGACAGTGAGGCTGACATCTGGGTCAGGGTGATGTCCCCACTCACTGCAAAAGAGTAAAAGAAGCAAATGACATTGATGGTTCAAGGCAAGGGCATGTACCGAGCAGCAGCCACCCTCACCAGAAGAGAGAGTTCACTGACTTTGTCTTTCCCCAGGTCCTCCCCTTCACCTGCCCTTCAGAAAGCCAGGCTTCGGGGGAGCTGCACCTGAGACACTAGGAACATGCTGGTAGGGAGCACAGCTTGGAGCATTACCCAGGGGATATGATCTTTGTCTTCCTACTTTGGACACATTTGATTATAAGAGTCTGGATTGATACAGGGTTTCAAGTTTATCCTAATCAAGGCTCCTATAGTTCAATGAAGAAACAGAGAATCTTGTTGAACTAATCAGATCTGGCATCACTAGCCAGCCCTTTATGCGATGATCTGTAAGAAATATTACACAGTGACAGAAAAGGTGGTAGAATATTCTCCCCAAGGCAAGAATAAGGTGCTATCCATTTAATCCTTGGGTATTAAAGTGACCGATAGCTCTGGAAAATGGAGGGTCTGTGCGTGGTACATGCATGAGAAATCATGGTATTATCTTTGTGAAACTGCAGTCAATTCCTTGTCCTTATACCAGTAACAACAATGGCTTAAAGTTATGACAAACTATTTTTGAATATTGTTAAAAATGCTTCTGATAAAGTCTTATTTTCATTTTAAAAAAGACAATTCCTCACTGACAGAAATATTGTTAACACAACACAAAATATTTTTACACTCACCAAATACATTTGCCAGTAACTTGAAGACCCAAGAGCTCTACTTTCTAAGATTTTATTATGCATTCCCTGCAAACAAGGATAGTCTCCTACATACTGCCAATACAACTATAAAATGCATTACTCAATGTAGTCCTTAGGTTCGTTTAAAATTTTGGAAATTGTCCCAAAAATACGTTTTGTAATAGTATGGCCACCAAAGAGAAATGTATTATCTGCAGGTAAGTTGATGCTACCCTGCTCTGATCTGGGACCCTGGGGACACTGCCCCTGTGCTGAGTTACTGAGATGAGCCAGCCTTGCAGCTGTGCCCAGCCTTCCCCATCCTCTGCTGATTTGCATGTCCCAGAGCACAGCTCCCTTCCTGAAGACTTATTAATTGGCTGGTCACACCCCGTGCAGGAGTCAGTTTTTGTCTGGACACAGCATGGACATGAAGACCCTCATTCAGCTCCCGGGACTTCTGCCATCCTGGTTTCCAGTTAAGAAAAGAAATTACTAGCCTCTTACTCAGCCAGTGTGCTAGGTACTGCCTGGCCATTCAGGGAAGTCTTCTTATAACATGATTAATTGTGTGGATATTTGTTTTTCTGTTTGCAATTTCAGGGACCAGAAGTGACATCCAGTCACCCAGTCTCCATCCACACTGTCTGCATCTGTAAGGAGACAGCGTCACCATCACTTGCCGGGCGAGTCAGAGCATTGGTAGTAATTTAGACTGGTATCAGCAGAAACCAGGGAAGGCCCCTAAGGGCCTGATCTATGCTGCATCCAGTTTGCAATCTGGGGCTCCTTCGCGGTTCGGTGGCAGTGGATCTGGGACAGATTTTACTCTCACCATCAGAATCCTGCAGCCTAAAGATGTTGCAACTTATTACTGTCAACAGTATAAAAATTACCCTATCACAGTGTTACAAACCATAACAAACCCCCCCCAGGAAAGCAGACATGTGACGCTGGGCTGCCCCACCTGCTCTTCTTTGTGCAGCCATCTGGTGACAACACTTCTCAGACTCAGCCTGAGTTTTGAGGGTTATTGGGAGATTACGGAAGAGGGGGCCATGAAGGTGTCTCTCCACCCTAAGTCTCTTTCCTCTCATGGCAATGTCTCTTCGAATTTAGTAAAGAAAGGAGATTAGTCTACCTGAGGAGTCTGTGTTATGGGGTAATTGAAATTCTTACAGTAAAATGGAAGCCACACATTCCAAGCAGGAATTGTTTTAACTGAGTGAATTAGAATCTAAACTATAGCCTTCGAAAACCTGGCATATGTTATTCATGAAGCAGATACTAGAGATGGGGTTCTCTGATGCAAAAATATAAATATTTATTGATCTGTTTTTAAAGATACTAAGATAAAACTTAAAAATGTTGTCACTGTATCAAATATATTGCATCATATATCTATAAAAACAGTAAAATTTGTGTCATTTATGGAAAATGCACATATTTGAGTGTATATAACATACATATTAATCCATATATATTTATTTGATAACTTGTTAGCTATAAATACTATGTACACATATTCATGTGTAGATAAGATTATTTAAATATGTTTATATATATATATATATATAAGCAACACATGCATACGTATGAAATTATTGTATAAATTAAATCTGTTAAGATAATTCCAGTTACTCCCATGAAAAAAACTGATGTCCAGGACTATATATGTTACCTGCTCTGGCTACAGGGATTTCCTTTGTAATCTTTATTTCTAACACTCACCAAATGGGTATGTGCACCTGAAAATATCTTTTAGTGGAGGGGTAAAGGATATGAAGAAAGGTAATTTTGCCTAATGTTAAAATTAGGCAAAATGTTAAAATTTCACAATGATGCCTGCTGGGCAGAGTTCTAAATTGGGTGCTGGACCAAAGCCACACCCCTGCCATCATCAAGGATGCCCTGGAAGACTAGAAATCACAATAGTGGGTTAACTACAAGGGTATATCATTGGCTACTTTGCAAAGAGAGGCTGGTAATGCAATGACATTGATTATTAATTTGCACAGGTCATTAGGTCTCAGAAGAAACAAAACTTAAGGACAAAATTGGTTTAGAAGAGCTGTGACTGGATCTTTCAAAATGGGCCAAGATCAAAAATAAATGCTACCCAAGTGAATACTCATCTAAATGCCATTGCCTAGCAGGGAACTCTTAATAATTAAGGTGATCCAACACATGGACTTCAGTCAGTCACCTTTCCCAGGGAGTCTCATGAACTTAAGCCATGGAGATTTATGCATCTGAATTTCATTTAATGAGGCTCACAAGGCTAATGGCACATCTGAGTATCTGACTTGCCAAAAACCATGACCCTTCCTGAAACCCTAACATTGTACTACACATCTGAGATCAGACTAACAGCTGGTATCAGGTGAGTACATTGGACCTAACCCAACACATTGGGGTGGGGGTGGTTATTTTCCTATATGTACATTTGCCTTTCTTATCAGCCATGTTTCTGCTAGAATAATTACTTGAAAGTTTTTCAAGTGCTTTCAAGTCAAGAAACCCTTACATAATTTATCATTGGAAAAAGTAACTTTATTATAGCAAAAAAAAAGTAAGGCAAAGTAGGTTCATGATGCTGTCATGTGTACAGAGGCAGCTATCCCTACAGACAGGAGAAACCCCATTACTAGGCAGGTGAAGTGAGCACACAAACCCTTGTAATGTCAAATCACTGTCTTGCCAGATGTGGCGGAGGCCCCAAAACACCAAGGTGTATGGTATTGTTACTCCCATCAAGAGAATAGTGGTATCTGAGACATGGGGGGTGAGCCCATCACTATTTATTATGCCTACAGAGCAGATTGAAAAGTTCTCTTTCTGTTCACTCAGGTCCGGGGTTTTCTGGTTGACAGTTCTTGATCCAATGGGTTAGCATGATAAATCATTAATAAATTGGAAGAAACAATGAACATGCGGCCATTTAGTTCTCATTATGATGTAAGATAAACTGTCAATAAAGGGTCTTATGGTGTGGGCTGGAGTCATAGGTATAGGTTTCCTTCTACATATTTTAGAGAGGAAGTAGAGAATATGTGGAACCCAGAGGAACTTCAGGATTTTTTTTTTTTTTTTTTTTTTTTTAGACAGAGTTTCACATTTGGAACTTCAGGATTTTTTTTTTTTTTTTTTTTAGACAGAGTTTCACATTTGTTGTCCAGACTGGAGTGCAATGGCACGATCTCAGCTCACTGAAACCTCCACCTCCCGGGTTCAAGCAATTCTCCTGCCTCAGCCTCCTGAGTAGCTGGGATTAGGGTTACAGGCACCTGCCACCACGTCTGGCTAATTTTTTTTTTTTTTGTATTTTTAGTAGAGACAGGGTTTTACCATGTTGCCCAGGCTGGCCTCAAACTCCTGACCTCAGGTGATCCACCTGGCTTGGCTTCCCAAAGTGCTGGGATTACAGGCATGAGCCATTGTGCCCAGCTGGGAATGTTTCCATTTACCACCATTTCCACTGGTAAAAGTGAAGAGAAACTTCTACAGACACCAGAGTGAAGCTTTAAGTAACACAGCTGAAGCATCACATGTACTTAGACACTAGTGCAGCAGAGGGGAGATGAAACGCACAGTGAACTTAGGAGATGTGAACACCAGCTACAGCCTCTAGGTCAGCTTCATAGTAGAGAAGTACAGGAGCCAGTCCACTCATTCCTTCTTCCTTCTTCTGTCATCGAAGCAGTCAGATACAAGAGAAGCCATTATGGCTGGTGAAGCAAACTCGCGTTTATTGTCATGGATTAGGTGAACTAAGCCAGATGGAAAGAGCAGAGGAGTGGGCTCAGGCATTCATTTCACTTCCCTGTTTCTTCCTGCGTTTCTATGCAGAAAAATCCTCTGATTGTGACAGGAAACTTGTGAGGCAGGATGCTGTGCCCACAGGACAGTGCTGCCTGGCCAGGACCCAGACCAGGAGAATGAGCCCCTCTGGAAGGCATCTCCCCTTCCCTTATTAACTTCTGAAAACCACTCTGCAGGGGCATATCTCATGTGCAGAGCCTTAGTCACATCTGGGACCCTGAATGCCAGAGACATGAAGGTTAGCCTCACCAGAAACGACCATAAAGATCGTGCTGGAGGCCAGGGGATAAAAAGAATACAGAGAAAACCAACTCATGAAATCTGAATGAGTCACGCACACATTTACATATGTTAAATATTTTTTTCTCAACTGTCCCTTTATTAAAATTCTTTTAATACAAAGTGCTGTTTTGGTCACCTATATAATTTATACCACAGATTAAATGATATCCAGATTGACTTGTGACTCATGAGGGAAGGTCAGTTTTTCCTAGATGGTGTTGGACTGAACAGATTTGAGTTTTTTCACCTTTTGGGTAGAGGTGAGCATGCTGCTATATGCAAAGGGAATGTCTGCATTCTGTTAGGTGTTATCACATTGCTGTTGATATCATGAATACCAGAGGGTTCAAGTGTAAGAAGATATGTACTCATGACAGAAAGCCACAGGGTGGATGGGAGCAGAAATAGCACCTGGAGTCATGTAAACAGAGGGGTCTGCATGAGACTGAAATGGGGATGCAACCAGCACAGGGAGGGCTGCACTCAGGTGGGCAGGTGGCACCACCAACCTTAGCACACAGCTTTCCTCCTTCTTCCATAGCCACTGCTCCCCCATGTCCCTATTGCAGATCTCTCCCTCATTTATTCCAGTACTTGGAAGTATGTCCCGGCCTTAAATTCCCAGGCTACATTTCCTCAACTGCTGAAGCTAACATTGTCATGTGGAAAATTAGAAATTTGACTTCATTGTCATCCTCAAGGCCTGGCTTGTTCCAACCCCACCAGATTCAGAGAATGTTGGGATCTTTCTGCTTCATCCAGGTTGGCTTAGACACAAGGTGAAATTTAAATGTGTCGAGGCTTTGGCCTCCTGCCTAGCAGCCATCTTCCTCCTTTGGTTTCTTGGGCACCAACTCTGTCCTGCTGTGCATGGGGAGGACAGAAAGTTTCTCTCAGCCCAGGACAGGAACAGAAATTAGGGGGACATGAGTTTGGTTCCACAATAAGATGTCAGGGAGTGAGGGATGAGCAGAGATTCTGGGAAGAATTTTCATCCCTTATAAAAAGAAGAAGGTGGGGCCGGGCGCGGTGACTTATGCTTGTAATCCCAGCACTTTGGGAGGCTGAGGCGGGTGGATCACGAGGTCAGGAGATCGAGACCATCCTGGCTAACACGGTGAAACCCCGTCTCTACTTAAAATACAAAAAATTAGCCGGGCGAGGTGGCGGGCGCCTGTAGTCCCAGCTACTCAGGAGGCTGAGGCAGGAGAATGGCGTGAACTCGGGAGGCGGAGCTTGCAGTGAGCCGAGATTGTGCCACTGCACTCCAGCCTGGGCGACAGAGTGAGACTCCATCTCAAAAAAAAAAAAAAAGAAGAAGGTGGTGAAGAATTTTGGCCTGCATTCTTTCCAGTAATCATGATGAGAGGAACTGATTCTTAGAGCCGCTGCAGCCATCTTAAGACCATGAGGCAGTGAGCCTACGTCTGCAAAGCCAATGTGGTGGGGTGCAAAGTAGAAATAGAGAAAGAACCTGGGGCCTTTCTGCTGTTGCCAAGATGCTTCACCAACTCGAAAAGCTCCAACCTTTGGACCTCTTTGCTTAAGCCATTGCTATCATTTGTTTCCACTACTTCCAAAATTATTTTCATTTAGACAGAAAAGATACTCAGTGAAAGACCACGGCTGGGCCTTAGACCTGCTCTTTAGAAGAAGACAGGCATTATCATATGTGTGCATTTGTGGGAGTCTGAAGCATGAAGGGCAGGAACCAAAATAAGTGATATCCTCTCCTGGCATCTTGGTCCTGCTGTGTCCCTGGCTAGAGAAACCCAAACCGCTTCGAAGAGTTTATAAATTCCATTCTCCTGCTGTCGTCATTTCTATTTTCATATTCTAAATATAAAAGAACCCTTCTTATCTTCAATTCTTCCCTCTGCAAGATTGTGAAAATAGAACCATGGTTAAGAAACAGACAAAAAAGTTTGAAAACACATAAAATCTAAGGATTACATGCATCTCCTCCACACCACCGTGGTGTTTGCAGGTTTCCCCTCCTTCTCAGTGTTTTTTGATGGGAGGATGCTGACTGCTCCAGCCATGTTGCCGGCAGAGGTTGCATTTGGAGGGTTTACAAATAAAAGCTTCCAGACAGTTACTGTTGGATGCTGGG
Organism: Homo sapiens; assembly: GCF_000001405.40. Classification (NCBI taxonomy): domain Eukaryota; kingdom Metazoa; phylum Chordata; class Mammalia; order Primates; family Hominidae; genus Homo; species Homo sapiens. The sequence goes on from NC_000002.12 coordinate 89,901,107, forward strand.
GAAGGTAGCAGGAGGGTTGGGTCTAGATTCCCAGCATGGAGGAGGCCAGGGTGATTCCTGGGAAAGGCTGTTGGTGTGGAAAGAAAAGACTTAGAACTCAGACCTGTGGCCTCCACCTTAAGATCCAAGCATGGGAACCATTTATCAAAGAGCCAAGAAACCTGAGTTGATTCTTAGATAGGAAGCCCCATCTCATCAGTGGCCACCACCATCTGTCATTCAAGTTGAGATTCACCTTCAGTGATGGCTCCACATAACCCTCAAAGCAATGGCTGTCAGGCCCTGAACCAGTCTACATGAAGCAAGCTTCATCACAAGAAGTATGAGGGTAGCCTCAAAAGTGAGACACCAGAGTCCATGGCCTGAAGGAAAAAACAGTAATTACTGAAGTTTATACCAATTTTACTAACATCCTTCCTAATGTCAAGGATTCCCCAACTTCCTGACAGTCAGTCTCCTCTGCATGTTGAACTAATGCCTTGTCTGATTCTAGGCTGACCATGAACTTAAGTATCACAAGAGATGTGCTTCTTCTTGCCTTTCCCTCCAGGTAGAGGCATCATTTTCCTTCTGGTCATTGTCAAAAGAGGAAAGTTTTCCACTAAATATTGCTCATTTCCATACAAGCGTACTGGCCCCAGTCTTAGGTCAAAACCCAGCAACTGCATAGGTCTAGTAAGTCCTTCCCTCGGTGCCTCTTTTTAGTGTGCACCTGCCTTATGCCTTTCCCTGAACCTAAGTCTCTATAAAGTCTGATGCCTCAAGCGCTACCCAGGCTCTGAGCACTCCTCACCAGCATGTTCCTGGTGGCTCAGAAGCAGCTCCCCTGGGGCCTGGCTTTTTGGAGAGCAGTTGAGGGGGAGTACCTGGGGAAAGGCTAAGTGAGTGAACCCTCTCTCCTCAGTGAGGGCAGCTAAAACTGGGTGCATATTCCTGCTGTTCACCATCAATGCCACTTTCTTCTTTTACTCTTTGCAGTGAGTGGGGAAATCATCCCAACACAGGAGACTGCTTGCTTGTCAGTACATTCAGGAAAGAGAGTTTTTGTCTCCTGCTAAGCCAGCAACAATGTACATGGAGAAATATCTTGAATCAGTAAAAAACTTGGACAAAGACTTGAACCCCTTACATCTCATGTCACTACCTTGGTCCTAGGCATCCCAGCCCAGTATAGTGGCAGCAGAACTGGAACCAGCTATGCCTTCACTATCAATGCCCTGGAGCCTGGGGACTACGGGGAGTATAACTGCATGCTTGACTATGGGTAGCCAAGCAATGGTGGTGCAGTGTGGGCACAGAATCCCTGCTGCCTGTCATGCAGCCTGAATTTCTAGGGCACATTCTTGCATTCCAGAGAGATGTGGCCCACATGGACCCTCCAGATTTCACATACACATCTTTTTTGAGTGGATGTAGCAGTAGTTGTCCTAATTCTTTTCTGCATTTCTGCTGACTTCTCATGGTGATATCTGCCCCTCGCTGCTCTCCCTGAAACTACAGAAGGCACCTCTGACTTCATGCATGGTAGACCTCAGAGCCTGGAATGAGCATCCCCTAGGACAGCCCTCAATCTGTGGTGACTAAAGGAGGTGTATACATACCACAGCTCCCTCATCTCTCAGGTAGAATAGCCCAGAGGTTCTTGTGTTTTTACATTGGCATGAGCTTTAGTGGTCCTCATGGTCCTCATGAGCAGCTGCTTATTGATGAGCTTTTCACTGGCCATGTCTTCCCTGCCTCACTTTCCCCCTTCTCTCCCAGGGTTTTCTGTGCTTTGTAAATATGTTGTCAGCATGGGAATTCTTGTCATTGTAAGACCCACCTTAAGACAATAGGCAAATTCTCATGTGTAGAGGTATCTTTATCTAAATTCTAGGGATTTCTTTTTTTACGGGTAGAAAAATTCAGAAAGTTAGGGAAACATTTAATTTTCCTTTACCAATCTCTCTTAGATTGCAATTAAGTAGCAATTCTTTTCTTCTGGGTCCCAAAATCAGAATAGTCTCTAACAAATAGCTACACATGTGAGGTCCACATTGGAGCAGCAGCAGCAGCAGCAGCAGCAGAATCCTCCAGCCCAGGGAAACCCCAGACCAGAGGACCCTGACTCAGATCTCTCCAGCTCTCTTGCTTTATAAAGATGTTGGTTGCCCACATTCTATCCTTCTTCCAGCTATGTGATTTTGGATTCTTGTTTAGAGAAGGACAGTTTGGGGCCAATAAGAATGATTGGTAGTGTGAGTAAAGCACTCCCCATCTCTTCTCAAAAAAAAAAAAAAAAAAAAAAAAAAAAGATGTTTGTGCCTAATCTGTGGAACCTATGAATGTTGCCTTATATGGCAAAAGAAACTTGGCAGATGTGATTAAGCTAAAGATCTTGAGATGAGAAGATTATCTAGATGGGTCACATGTAATCACCAGTGTCCTTACAAAACTGAGGCAGGAGGATCAGATTTGGGGAGGAGATTTGGCAAGGAAGAAAGACGCTGAGTGATGTAAGAGAAAGGCCAGGGGCCTGGAAAGACAGCAGCTTCTAAAAGCTGGAAAAGGCCAGAGAAAAAGTTCTTTCCCCCAGCATCCATAGGGAAGCTTACTTTTAGCCCAGTGAGAGCTTCATTTATCCCAGTGAGACCTGTGTGAGATTTCTCCCTTCCAGAACTGTAAAAGAATAAACTGATGCTGTTTGAAGCCAGCAAGGATGTGGAGATTTGATAGAGGAGCTACAGGAAACACACACAGGGAGAGAATGGCATTTGCCTCTCTGTTCTTGCCTCTTTCAGCTTCTGGTGGCTGCAGCTTTCCTTGGCTGCGGTCACATCACTCCCGTCTCTTTCTCTGTGGTCACACTGCCTTCTCTTCTGTCTGTGTTAAACTTCTCACATCCTCTCTTACAAGGACATTTGTGATTGCATTTAGAGCCATTATGGTTAATCCAGATAGTCTCCCCATCTTAATATTATTAATTGACATCTGTGAAGTCTTTTTGCTCAATTTAGGTAACACTCACAGGTATCAAGGAACTAACTTATTAAAGTATCCAATCTTTCTGTGCATACATACACAATTTATCTCTCTCTTTCTCCCCATTCTCTCTCCTTTCCTCATGATCAAAAATCACTTCCTTAAGTAAATCCAGTTCCACCTATGGCCAGGTCAGAGCAGCACACAGGGGAAGGCCTTGCTCAGGGTTTGCTTAGAGACCTGCTCTGCCCCCATTATCATGCGGAAGGAAGGACACAGCCACAGACAGCCCTCAACCATCTGGGAGAATCTGTCTCTACAGAGGAAAGTCATGGGCTAAGACCCTCCAGACCTGTGATTGTCTTCAGGGGCCTGTGGTCCTCAGCCCTCCCTCTGGATGTCTGATTGTCCTCGGGGATCTGTGGTCCTCAGCCCTCATGGAGGGTTTGTCTGGCCCCCGGTGGTCCACCTTGGCCTCTCATTTTACTCTTTGCACTCACCAAGGAAGTATATTTGCTGTGGGCTGAGTGAGGTGACAAAATAGGCCAAAGTATACAAATAGCTGTATTTTATAATTTTGTTTGTATTTTTCTCAATTAAATTTATGGGATATTTTGAAATGTTTTGCAAGGTGTCATATGAAAATCATTTTTTAGTCATATCTTGACTCAGTAGGTGGGATAAACCCTAATTCAGGGTTAATCTCTAACTGTCTTCACAATTTGGGACAAAAAAATCAAGTGTTGGCTCATCTGCCCCTCCCCTGGCCTCAGCTCCCACCCACTTCTTCCATCTGTCTTTTTTTTTTTTTTAATTATACTTTAAGTTCTAGGGTACATGTGCACAACGTGCAGGTTTGTTACATTTGTATACATGCGCCATGTTGTGTGCTGCACCCGTTAACTCGTCATTTACATTAGGTATATCTCCTAATGCTATCCCTCCTCCCTCCCCCGCCCCCACGACAGACCCCAGTGTGTGATGTTCCCCACCCTGTGTCCAAGTGTTCTCATTGTTCTATTCCCACCTATGAATGAGAACATGTGGTCTTTAGTTTTCTGTCCTTGTGATAGTTTGCTCAGAATGGTGGTTTCCAGCTTCATCCATGTCGCTACAAAGGACATAAACTCATCCTTTTTTATGACTGCATAGTATTCCATGGTGTATATGTGCCACATTTTCTTAATCCAGTCTATCATTGATGGACATTTGGGTTGGGTCCAAGTCTTTGCTATTGTGAATAGTGCCACAATAAACATATGTGTGCATGTGTCTTTATAGCAGCATGATTTATAATCCTTTGGGTATATGCCCAGTAATGGGATGGCTGGGTCAAATGGTATTTCTAGTTCTAGATCCTTGAGGAATTGCCACACTGTCTTCCACAATGGTTGAACTAAGTAGTGGATTAAGCAGCTTGTTTTATTGACAACGTTCTCTTTTCTTTTATTCCTGTTTCATCCTCAGCCTTCAGAAAATAAAATAAAAATCATAATTCTCAGAGCTTTGTTTTTGTACTTTGTCTCGAGTTATAATTTGGTAGTATTTCCCAAGAGCATATAATAATTATTGTATTCTAATTTATCAAATTTTATATAGAATATGATATATAATAACACATATTAATCACAACTATAGTAAATTTATTGACTCTTTAGTTAAAAGACAGTATTATCAGATTATCTCAGGAGTCAGATAATAAATATTTAGGTTTGGTGAGGCAAGATGCAAAATTGAATATATTATGTGAGTACTTAGAGAAGAGAGAAAACAAATTTCTGCAATGTCTATTAATGAACTCAGATGGAATGTAACCCAAAGAGCTTCTCAGCCTGTCCAGTGAACTGTCACTTACCACCAAATGCTCACAATTTTAAGGAACACAAGGAAACCCCAAATTGAATTATTGTTTAGATCAGAAACATGAGCAGAGGTTTCCAAAATTATTAAAGTGAGAAAGGCCTGAGTCTGATTGAATGGATGTGTTGTGCAGGATGGGGTGGCATAGAAAGTAGGGCATCACCCAAGGAATTGTTCCTGGCCTGCTGGACAGCATTGTCGTCTGTTTGCAGGGAATGGAATTACACACACTGAAGGGTCTGAGCCCGGGGCCTGCTCATCTGTGCAGCCGTGATGATCATCACACCCACAGTGCTGGGCCTAATTGCGTGTTGCCCTTTAATAGTTTTTACAAAGAATGAGGAGGCTTCAGGGCTCATAGGAAAGATGGCTAAGCTGCAAAGGAAAAGTGTGTGTGGAAGATGAACTTCTGATGAACTAGTTTTCAGCCAGGTACATTCATGCACCAATGGAGATGACTCGGTTCTTTGGAGAAATAAGGAGAGGAAAAGAACCACAGGCTTCTATTTTATTCCCAACAGGTTTGTACTAAATACCATCTGGCTGGGTCTAGGTGACTAGTGAGACGGGAAGAAACAGGGGCTATAGTCTGTGACCACAGGGAAGAAGTTCTACCATCAGGCTGAGCCAATGGACTTTTCTGGCCTGACCACCTGGGCAGGGGCTGCTGAGTGCAGAGAGGAGGAGGCAGGGGGTCTCTGCAGCTGGAAGCCCAGCACCCACTCCAACTACTTTGCATATCCTTCCAGCCACTCTGCTGTCCAGAGCCCATATCAATGCCTGGGTCAGAGCTCTCGGGAAGAGCTGCTCGGTTAGGACCCAGAGGGAACCATGGAAGTTCCAGCTCAGCTCCTCTCCTTTCTGGTACTCTGGCTCCCAGGTGAGGGGAACACGGGATGATTCTGCATGCCAGTGAAACTCTGTCAATGTTATTGGGTCCTGTGACCTGCTCAGCAAGAACAATAATTAATATTCAATGTACATCAATGATCCCAGCTGTACTGGGAAGACAGTGGATTTGATCTAGATTGCACAATTGACTTTCCTGTTTTATTCCAATCTCAGATACCACTGGAGAAGTTGTGCTGACATGGTCCCCAATCACCCTGTGTTTGTCCCCAGGGGAAGGAGCCACCCTCACCTGAAAGGCCAGTCAGATCATTGACAACTATTCAGCCTGGGACCAGTAGAAACCTGTTCTGGTTCCCAGGCTCCTTATTTATAGGGCATCTACCAAGGCTACCAGCATCCCAGCCCGGTTCAGTGGTGGTGGGCCTGAGGCAGACTTTACCCCAACCATCAACAGCCTAGACCCTGAAGATGTCACAATTTTATTACCCTCATCAGTACAGCAGTGGGTGTCCCACAGTAATTCAACATGAAACAAAAACTTTCACAAAACCATTGATTTTTTTTTTCTAAAACCAGCAGCTTTATGGGCTGCAGCTATGATGGCTGCTCAGTTTTAGCAACTGTGCCTCTATTTGGAAATTTTGAAATTCTGAAAAGTAACTCGTTGTCAAGATGGTGACTCCAATGTCTGTATTTTTCTCAGACTTATTTACAGAGTTAGGTTTTGAATCAATTTTACTGCAAGGCCTTCAGACAGACTCACCTGCATGGATGCCTTTAAAGACACAGGTGCCGCTGGGCACAGTGGCTCACTCTTTTTTTTTCCAATAGAGTAGAACAAACATAGCTTTTCATTTAATAAATTTTCACTTAATGGCAGCATTTTCAGGAACAAGTAAAGGCCACCGAGTGAAGGTTAGGTGCACGTGAGTAAATAAGACAATTTTGGGTCCCAATTCAGTAGGGGAAAGAGCCATGAAGGAAGAATAACCACACAATAAAAGTGCGTAGAATAATTTCTGTAGTTGACAAATTGTGTAAAAAGCAGGAATGGTCTGTGGTATCTGGAGGCTGAGGCCATATATTTGTGCTGATCAGGGAAGGCCCCAGGGTCATACTGAAGATTCATCTGAGTGGTGAGGAGGCAGCCAGGTGACCACAAAAACAGCAAAGACCACGGGATCATTATGGGAAGGGCAGGGACCAGTGTGTACTGAAAAAGTCAGCAAGTGCTAAACTAATCAGATGCCTTCTCTGATTTTTATTCCCGTAAAGATAAAACTTACTGTAATATCTTACATCATACACCTTGGTCTGGGTCACTCCCATGGCATAGAATGTTCCCTGGTTCAGAAGTTGGAAGCCCAGGTCTTTCCTTTGTTGACAGTTTGCAGGCTCCCCAGAGCCCTTCCCTGCCACTCAAGCCCTTATCACTGGGTCAGTCTCTGTCTTTGAGTTGGGATCACCATAGGCAGGGGCAGCACTAGACACTGGACATGGGGCTCTGGCCCTCTGGGTTCTAGTTCCCTGGTTTCAGCTAAGGGGGCTCCACATGACAGAGTTCATATGTCCCATAGGACAATGGCTCAGATTGAGGCCATTGTTCAGGGAGCCCAGCATTCACCTCCCACTTGATCAGCCAGCAGGACTCTGCTGGGAAGCCTATGGAGAGGGACATCATTAACTGGGGAAGATCTGTGTTTTGTTTCCACCTCAGATTCTACAGGCAACTATGTGGGCCCCAGTCTCCAGCTTCCCAATCAGTGTCTCCAAGAGGGACAGTTTCCATCACCAGCCTGGAAGCATCCAGGGAAGGTTCCTGAGATCCACCCATGTGCTCTGTCTACCTTGGCCATGGTCCACCCCAGCTTGGTACAGTGGTCCTGGGACACACCTTTGCTTAACAGTTAGAAGCTTGGGTGTCCCAGTGACATTACTGGTTATTACTGTCTACAACTGTGCTGTTCCACGTGGGAAACACTAGCAGTGATAGCCACAGATGTGTCAATTAGAAATACTTAAAATTAGAAAAGTAGCTTCACAGTTACATCAGGTACATTTCATGTACTCAGCAGCCACAAAGGACTAATGACTAGCCTATTGCACTTCATACATACAGACATTTTCATCATCTTAGAAAATGACTTTGCTTAGCACAGATGTAAATGATAACATCTGATTACTCGCAGTGCTATAGCTGAGAGCACAAACCTCAGCAGTTGTTCTTTTAGAAGATCAGGTGTCCCCGGATGCTTCCTCAGCTCGGAAAGCTACTGTGGTTCTCAGAGCTGCTCTGGAAGTGTTTCTGGGATGGGAGGAATGAGGCTGGGTTGACAGATCCAAACCAGGGGCCGTCAGCTTCTCACCCCAGTCCCTGCCATTATGCCCTACAGGGTCCTTTACAGCCCTCTCTTTTTTCCAAAACCACATCTTTGGCATGTCACATGGATCCCAGAATCTAGCCACCCTAATTGTTTTGTGACAAATATTTTTCCTGCATACCGTTTGTCCTCAACTAGATGACTGGTTTATTGAGGGGAGGGGCCATTTCGTGTTTTCTACAAAATCTGTCCTAGTGATGGATGTCATAAGATCAACTCCATGAATACCCATGAAAAGATTTCATCCATAGTCAACGCTCACTGGACCCTAGTATCTAACATCCTGTAAGATGCTATGTTAGAAACTGGCCAATAGATGGCAGACAAACACCGTAATAAACAAAAGATAGACGTCTGATCTTAGAAGTAATGAGGAAGTAAAAGTGATCATGTCCCCTTATGGACAGGGAGGCCCTAAGGCGGGACTGGGGTCTCCTGTCTGACATGGTTCGCCTGGGAGGAGCTGCCAGTGTGCTTAGTGATGGGAAAATCCCCTGTGCTCTGAGACCGGAAGCCTCATCTTGCCCCTCCCTACTGCCTTGGCTGTGTCCCCAAAGCCCTCTTCTTACGGAAGGAACTATGTTTCACAAATTCCTATTTGGAATCTCTTACCTCCAATATGGCTGCAGATGGAGAGAGAGCCTGCTAGGAGGTAACTAGGGTTAAAGAGGTGATCAGGGCAGGATCCTGACACCACGGGATTACTGTCCTTATAAAGAGAGACACTATAGAGCTTTCTCCCTCCCCTACCCTCCCTGCGTGCCCTGAGGGATGGTCATGTGGGGACATGGCCAAAAGGTAACATCTGCAAATTAAAAAGAGAGTCCTCACCAGCAAGAAAACCTTTCTGGACCTTGAGCTTTGCCTTTCTAGGCTCCTAAACTGTTAGAAATAACATTTCTGTGGTTTAAGCCATCCAGTCACATCCATTTTGGTGTCACAATCCCTGCAAACACTCCACCCTACCTACCCTCTCTGAGTAGGATCAGTATCAGGAAGCCCTCGTGGACATGGGGCCCGCCTTTGCTCCTCTTCCTGCTGCTGTTCTGACTCTGATGAGGAGGGAGGACTGCGGCTTCATCCTCAGTTCGTTTGCATTAAGCAGAAAGATTTACTTGTTTTCAGCCTGTTTTGCTTTCTGATTGAAACTTAATCAAACTGAATGAACTACTTCTTTGGTATTAATATTTGGGAATGTTCATGTTTGTTTCCCACTTAGATGCCAGTGGCAACATCGTGTGGACCCTGTATCCAGCCCCTATCCCGGCGTCCCAAGTGAGAGGGTCACTTTCACCAGCAGGGCTGACCAGAGTATGAACAGCATCCTAGCTCAGTTCCAACGGAACCCAGGCCTGGCTCTGAGCTCCTGCTATCCCCTGGACACCATGCCTGCCCTGGTTAAGGGCCATGGGCTTGGACAGATGTCATTCTGACTATCAGCATCCAAGCTGCCTTCAGGGGCACATGCCCCCACCTCCCGTCATTACTGGTGCACAAACCTCGCCCCAGCTCCTGCTCTGCCTGGAGTGCTGCTGAAGATCTGGGGCCTTCTCAGTGGAGCAGAATGGGAGGCAGCTCTGAAATCTTAAACCCCCTTCTCCTCCCACTAGCTTCCCACCTTCCGTATGGGCACCTCCTGAGCATCTGATGAGCATCACAGAGTAGAGAATGTCAATGTGTTTTCTCCCACATCCTGCTCTGAATTTATAAGGCCAATTTATCCTCGCCTCACACATGAGCTGCCCTTGTCTTCAGGGATGTGATCCTTGTTTCTCTCACATCCTGTCACAGTGTTGACAACCTAGTTTTGACTTCACTCCATGAATCCTTTTGGAAATATTATGGTCAACAAGTTGTCGTCCTTGAATAACACACAATAAAAATAACAAATATTCAGAAGGTTTTGCATGGGGGAGAAATGTTTCATTGTGAACAGAGTTCCAGCAGCTGTGTGTGCCATAGAAGCTGGGCAGAGAGATCCCATATGGCTCCAGTTAGAGGGGAGGCTGCCAACGAGCCATGGAGGGCTTTTGTCTTGTGACCACACCTGTAAGCCTTTCTTATAAGCCACATGTAGCCTAATTCTATGAGCCACATGTGCTGCTCTGTCCTACAGGGACCCCCAGGGGACAAAATGCCCATGCTGAGCTCTGGGTACAAAACATCCTTCTACCAGGAGCCGAGGCCCACTCCCTGCCTCCTCGGCACCTGCTGCTTTGTGTTCCCCAGACCCTTAGCAATCTTAGCAATCCTCAGCAATCCTCAGCATCCTTAGCAATCTATGAGTCAGGGCTTGACCCAGAAAGGAAATGAAGTGAGTCCTGAGCCTCTGACCCTTGGGCTCTGTAGTGGGAAAGTGGCCATGGGGTGGGGCACTATTGCTGGATTTTCTTGTTCATGCTCAATTTACCAAAGTTTAAAACCATGCCTTATAACAACAATTCATATTATATTTATTTACATGAAAAGTGCATATTATATGTATTATATATGTATAAGATATACAAATATATTAATACAAATTACATCTGAAATAGCATAGAAATATATTTAATTTGTAAAGTGTGTTACAATTACATATATGCATATACAAATAATTTATGTTTATTTATTTAGCATGTGCTTCTTTTTCTTCTAACTATAACAGAGTCTGGCTGAGTAAAGACTCTGGAGACATTTGATGACCCTCCCTCTTTGGCACTAGTAGGGTCCTGGCCACTCAGGACCAGTGAGGACAGAACTGAGGAAAGTCGACCTAGGATCCCAGGCCCTGCGCTACGGCTTTGGTCTCTCAGACTTTTACCCTGGCTGAAGGGTTCCTGAAGGATTTGTTCCACATTGAACTGGGCTGACCAGCAAGAAGGAACTATGTGCATGCAGCCTATTTACACTGGGAGGGAAGAAGGAAAGTGTAGCAGGAAATAGAAGATGGGTGGCAAAAGTCTCCCCTAAAAGCCACTTAACTCTTAGGATGACTGAAGCTTCATCCCATGTGGAAATATCGGGACAATGCCTCTGGGCTATTCCATCTGAGGGGAGAGAGCTGGGGTATGTTATCATACTCCTGTTATCATCTACTGATAGTGTCTCTCTTAGTCTGCTGTGTCTTGGTATAACAGAATGCCTGAAATTGTAACTGATAAAGAGCAGACAATTATTCTCTCACACTTCTGGAGGATGGGAAGTCTAAGATCAAGGAACTGTCAGATTAGGAATCAGTTTATCTACTTTCAAGATGGCACTATGACTCCCGAGTCCTCCAGAAGGAAGGAAGTCCATGTCCTAGCATGACTGAAGAGCAGAAAAGAGAGAGAGAGAAACCCTACTCCCACAAATGGGAAAGAGCAAGGACTCACTCTCAGGAGCCTGCAACCCCCACACCCCAAGCATGGAAAGAATAGAAAATCTTGACTCTCTTCAAAGGAAATTCCAAGCACCTACCTAGCCTTAAGACGTAAGTAAGTAACGTGATAAGCAAGGAAGTAAAAACAGCCTAAAATGGCCAAATAAGCTAGACTCAGAAGATGGTGGGTTCCCCTATAGAAACTGAAGGTGACATTTTAGTATATGTCTCTGAGGTGTTTTTGAGGAAACAAGACCCCCTCCAAATGAATCTGCCAGCACATAGATCTCACAAAAGGGAGAACTGGGGACTGAGCTCTGACCATGGTACTTTGTTCTAAATATCTTACAGAGGGGTCTGGTAAAAGTCATATCCATAAACCTGAGCTAATTCGTCTCTTCTGCTGAACCCAAATGTTTAAACAAAGCTTTTCTTCCTTAGCCAATTGTAAATTAGAAATCTTGTAATCCACCCTTGATCTGTAAGCCCCTGTTTCAAGATATCCTGCCCTTTTAGGCCAAAACCAATATGTGACCTCCATGTATTAATTTTCAATTTGACCTGTAACTTCTGCTTTCCTGAAATTTACTCCTGCCTTAAAAAACCCTTACCTGCAAGCCATCAGTGAGGCCAGGATTTGAATCTTAGCTGCCTGATTCTCTTTACCTGATGCCCTACAAAAAAACAAACAAACAAACAAACAAACCTTTACTTTCTCCTGCTGCAAACTCAATGTGAATATCTGATCTGACTGAGCTGAGTGAGTGGACTCCAGTTCGGTTCCACAGCACAAGCTCTGTTTATAGTGGCATTTATCCACTCATGAGGGCAGAGCTCTCATGACTTCAACACTTCCCATTAGGCCCCACCTCCCAATTCTGTTGCTTTGAGATAAATTTAAAAACAGATGGGTTTTGAAGGACACAGTGAAACCATAACACTGCCCAAAGAGAGGGCCATTCGAGCCCCTGTGGTCTGCTATGCATGCAGGCAGAGCTGCCTTCTCCAGGTTCAGAAAGAGCAATGAGGGGCATAGATGGCCATTGGAAGTCAGCAGCAGTACAGCGAAAGGGAAAGGCATAGCCTGTAGACAGGGATTGCAATCTTGATATATTTTCTATTTAGTTTCCTTTCTAAAAACAGAATAATTTCATGCTAACAGAAGTGTTGTAAGTACAGCACAAAGTGCTTTCTTCCAATTAAGTGCATATTGTATTTTTTAAAAAATAATCTCCATCTCCATACACGAATAAAATACATTACTCCATCTAGTCCTCAGGAATATTTCAAATTTTGACAATTAACTCAAAAAAGTTCTTTGTAACCAAACAGCCTCCAGGAAGAAACACTTATTTACGGACAAATCTGTGATGCCCTGGTCCGACCTGGGACACTGGGGACATTGCTCCTATGCTGAGTTACTGAGAAGAGCCAGCCCTGCAGCTGTGCCCAGCCTGCCCTATCCCCTGCTGATTTGCATGTTCGCAGAGCACAGCCCCCTGCCCTGAAGACTTATTAATAGGCTGGTCGCACCCTGTGCAGGAGTCAGTCCCAACCAGGACACAGCATGGACATGAGGGTCCCTGCTCAGCTCCTGGGGCTCCTGCTGCTCTGGCTCTCAGGTAAGGAAGGATAACACTATGAATTTTCTCAGCCAGTGGGCTCAGTACAGCCTGGCTCTTGATGGAAGCCTTCCTATAATATGACTAATAGTATGAATATTTGTGTTTATGTTTCTAATCGCAGGTGCCAGATGTGACATCCAGATGACCCAGTCTCCATCCTCCCTGTCTGCATCTGTAGGAGACAGAGTCACCATCACTTGCCAGGCGAGTCAGGACATTAGCAACTATTTAAATTGGTATCAGCAGAAACCAGGGAAAGCCCCTAAGCTCCTGATCTACGATGCATCCAATTTGGAAACAGGGGTCCCATCAAGGTTCAGTGGAAGTGGATCTGGGACAGATTTTACTTTCACCATCAGCAGCCTGCAGCCTGAAGATATTGCAACATATTACTGTCAACAGTATGATAATCTCCCTCCCACAGTGTAACAAGTCATAACATAAATCACCCAGGGGAGCAGATGCGTGAGGCTCAGCTGTCCCAGATGCCCCTTCTGGTGCCTTCGCCTGCTGAGAATGTTTCTCAAATTGCAGTCACACTTTGAAGTTCACTGGAGAGTTTTTGTAAAAGGGCCATGAAGGCCCACTTCATCGTAGCTGTCTTTCCTTGTCCTAATCCCCAGTATCATAGACAGGGCAATGCCTCTCCTGATTTCATTGAGAAGAAATGGTTACACCTGAGGGGTCTGAGTTGTAGCATCAGTTGGAATTCATGTAGCAATAGTGAGCCACTCTAGGTATTCCAAGTAGGATTTTTTTTAAATACAAGATGTGAGAATCTAAACTACAGCCTTTTAAAGGTTTGCAAGTATAGTAGTCAAAGACGCAAATACTAGAGAAGAGGAATTCTCTTCTGGAATCCAGAATGCATCTGATAGAGAAGGTACAACTGCCAATCATGTGGTCCTCAGACCTTTCTGAGAAGCCCATGGGTGGGGGTGCAGATGCTCTCAGCTGCCTAGAGGACTTCATCAGGTGCTTCTGCAGTCCTCACCTCGGTCCATATGTCTTGCTGCAGGTGTTGATGGATAGTATTGAATCCTCCTCTTCTTACTTCTCAATCTCAGGGCAGGCCCCACACTGGGCAACTCCACCAAAAACCAGAGAAGGCATAGGGTTTCTGGCAAATGTGCTTCCAGAATAATAGTGATGATGGGGAAGTGACAGCTGACATCGTAGTGTGGTCATGTATCTCGACTCTCAGGATTTTTTCAGTGAAGTGATGGCCTCAGAATACACTTGGATGTACTTCCATATACTATGAGTAAGTTTGAAATCATAGCATGAAAATGATATTTAGTCATATGATAAATAGAACTACATGGCTACATTAATCAAAATAGCATAGTGCTGGTACAAAAAGATACACAGACAAATGGAACAGAATAGGGAACTCAGAAATAATGCTGGAGACCTACAACCATCTGATCTTCAACAACCCTGACAAAAACAAGCAATGGGGAAAGTACTCCCTATTTAATAGATAATGCTGGGAGAACTGGCTAGTCATATGCCAAAAATTGAAACTGGACCCCTTCCTTACACCTTACACAAAAATGAACTCAAGATGGATTGAAGACTTAAGTGTAAAACCCCAAACTATAAAAACCCTAGAAGAAAATCTAGGCAATACCATTTAGGACATAGACACGGGCAGAGATTTCATGACAAGAATGCCCAAAGCATTGCAACAAAAGCAAAAATTGACAAATGTGATCTAATTAAACTAAAAAGCCTCTGCACAGCTGAAGAAACTATCATCAGAGTGAACAGACAACATTAAGAATGGGAGAAAATTTTTGCAATTTATTCATCTGACAAAGGTCTAATATCCGGAGTCTATAAGGAACTTAAACAAATTTACAAGAAAAAAAAACAACCCCATTAAAAGGTTGGCAAAGGACATGAACAGACACTTAAAAGAGGACATACATGAGGCCAATAATCATATGAAAAAAAGATCAACATTACTAATCATTGAAGAAATGCAAATCAGAAACACAATGAGATACTATCTCACACCAGTGAGAATGGCGATTATTAAAAAGTCAAAAAACAATAAGTTAGGCAACGTGACTCACACCTGTAATCCTAGCCCTTTGGGAAGCCGAGGTAAGTGGATCACTTGAGGTCAGGAGTTCAAGACTAGCCTGGCCAATATGGCGAAATCTCATCTCTACTAAAAATGCAAAAATTAGCTGGAGGTGGTGGTGGATGCCTGAAATCCCTGTTCCTTGAGGGGCTGAGGCACAAGAATCGCTTGAACCTGGAAGACAGAGGTTGCAGTGAGCTGAGATCATGCCACTGCACTCAAGCCTGGGTGACAGAATGATATTCCTTCTCAGATTAAAAAAAAAAATCAAAAAACGACAGATGCTGCGGAGGTTGTGGAGAAATAGGAAAACTTCTACACTGTTAATGAGAATGTAAATTACTTCAACCATTCTGGAAGACAGTGTGGTGATTCTTCAAAGATTTAGAACTGGAAATACCATTTGATTCAGCAGTCCCATTACTGGATATATACCCAAAGGAATATAAATCATTCTACTATAAAGATACATGCATGAGTATGTTCATTGCAGCACTATTTACAATAGCAAAGACATGGAATCAACTCAAATGCCCATCAATGATAGAACAGATAAAGAAAATATGGTACATATGCACCACGGAATACTATGCAGCCATAAAAAGGAATGAGATCATGCCCTTTTCAGGGACATGGATGGAGCTGGAAGCCATTATCCTCAGTAAACTAAGGCAGGAACAGAAAACCAAACACTGCATGTTCTCACATATAAGTGGGAGCCTAACAATGAGAGTACATGGACACGGGAGGAAACGACACACTGAGGTCTGTGGTGGAGGGAGAAGGAGGAAGAGAGGGAGCGTATTAGGAAGAATAGCTAATGGATGCTGGGCTTAATACTGAAGTGATGGGATGATCTGTGCAGCGAACCACCACAGCACACGTCTACCTATGTAACAAACCTGCACATGTGCCCTGGACCTTAAAGTAAAAGTTGAGGAAGAAAAACCATTACATATATATATAAACATTATATATATACACATTATATATATAAACATTATATATATACACATTATATATATAAACATTATATATATACACATTATATATATAAACATTATATATATACACATTATATATATAAACATTATATATACACATTATATATATAAACATTATATATACACATTATATATATAAACATTATATATACAAATTATATATATAAACATTATATATACAAATTATATATATAAACATTATATATATACATTATATATATAAACATTATATATATACATTATATATATAAACATTATATATATACATTATATATATAAACATTATATATATACATTATATATATAAACATTATATATATACATTATATATATAAACGTTATATATATACATTATATATATAAACATTATATGTATACATTATATATATAAACATTATATATATATGTGTATGGTTGACTCATATACATATATATATATGTATATGGTTGACTCATATATATATATGTATATGTATATGACTTAGCCATAAAAATAAATTTAATAATATCTTTCCCGGCAACTTGCATGGAGGTGGAGGCGGTTATTCAAAGTGAAGTAACTCAGGAATGGAAAACCAAATACCTTATGTCCACACTTATAAGTGAGAGCTAAGCTACAAGTACACAGAGGCATACAGAGTGGTCTAATGAACATTGGAGACAGAAGTGGAGAGGGTGGGGGGGGTGAGGAATAAAAAGCTGCATATTAAAAAAAAAAATAGAAATTGCACTAAATAATATAGCAATCATTGGACCAAAAAAAACCTTTGTTGAATACCTGTATGTGTATGTGTGTGTGTATATATACGTACACATATATATATAATCTGATTACCTATATATATGCATACAAACACAGACACACACCTATATATACACAAACACCCACACATAAATATTTTATATATAATATATAATATATATACTATATTATATGTTATATATACTATTATAATATATATAATATATATATTAATAAAATTATATTAATATATAATATATAATAGTATATTATATACATATATAATATATACAATATATAATATCATAATATATAATATGTATTATATATATAAAATATGTGTGTGTGTGTCTGTGTGTGTATGCATATATATAGGTAATCAGAACAGGATTTTATAGTATAATATAGATTTATTGAAAATCATTAAGTTCACATTCCATAAATAAAATGTGTTCATACATATATATGTGTACATTTGCTTATATGTGTTTGTATATATATATGTGTGTGTGTGTGTATACACACAGATGTAACATTCTTATTCTTTTTTTTAATATAAAAACCTTGCTACTCAAAATTTGTCCAGAACCCAGTAGCAACACTAAGAGCATGTTACCAATTCAAAACAGCAAAACCACCTTAGATCAATTGAATGGGAATCTGTATTTTCATAAGATAACAGATGATCCATTGAAGGTTTAAGAAGCTATGTTTTAGGGAATGTTTACTTCAGCTAAGAAATTTTTGTTGTTTTTATCCAACATGTCAATTTAAGAAAATCTGATTAAAGTCACATGTTGAAAACACATCCAATTTTTTTTACTCAATTTGATTTAACTTTAATTAATTTAAGAATAAATTTACTTTTTTAATGCTGAAGGTTGAAATACTTAATTATTTGTCAGTGACATGATCACATACCTTGAAACTTAATTGGAGAAAAGGTTTTAGAACCTTGAGTAATTGCTAAAGCAAAAGAAGAAACCCACATATTGTATACGTGTGTTGCAGCTGATGGGACTTAAATTTGCTTGTGTAGCTTGACCTCAGGATGTTGTTAACTGCCCTGGCTGATCACTGCTCCTTCAGTCTTGACCCCAATTAAAAAAAAATCCATATATTAGAGATAAGCTCAGCGACCTACAGCACAACCACGCAGCTGAGCCCTGTCTAGATCAGCTAAATTATTGTTAATATGAACATCCGTAAACATGAAAATAAATACTAGTATTGTAAGCCTCTGCATTTTGAGTGGTTTGTTACAAACTATTATTGTTGAAAAGCTAATACATTATTAAACATCCACATATATAGACGCATTTAATGAAAATTGACTGCATAAATATGAATACTTAGAAAATCATAAAGAAACAAAAACATAGAAGAAATAATACTTAAATCAGAAGAAATAAAATACAACTTAGCTCATTTATGGAAACATCTAACAGGAATAGTTAGTATTGAGGATACACATATGTAGCAATACTCAACAGAATAATCAGAATGGAACTTTACATATACACTACAGATTGTTGAAAATCATTAGGTTGACATTCCAGGAATAAAACATATGTTTATACATATATGTGTGCATATGTGCATTTATCTTTTTATATATGATATATACATTTGCATATATATTTAGACATTGCTTTCTGCATAAACTTATATAAACAGTTATGTTTTAACAAAGTTGTATGACCACATATGTGTGTATATACTCACATACACACAAGCTACAAGCACATATACAAAATTATCACAGTGCCAAGGAAATGTATTTTGGCCCTTCTAGACCCTAGGTTACAGACAGTACTCAGAGGATGGAAGAATTTTAATAAAACAGATATCAAAACATCATGTGAGGCATGCATACATTTTGTTGAAAAATTTTCTTTTTACAGTCACCATTTTCTTTAAAGTTTTATAAAGTGTTGTTGTCTGGTCTCCTTTGTAATTTAGACCTTAGGTTAAATTTGTGACCCATGAGGAATGCTGGATTCTGGACTGAAGGTTTTTGGATTTTGCCATTCATTTTATTTTATGTTCCAGGATACATGTGCAGGATGTGCAGGTTTGTTACATTGGTAAACAGGTGCTATGGTGATTTGCTGCACCTATCAACCCATCACCTAGGTATTAAGCCCAGCATCCATTAGCTATTTTTCCTGGTGCTCTTCTCCTACCCACCCTCCCCTGAAAGGCCCCAGTGTGTGTCGTTCCCCTCCTTGTGTCCATGTGTGCTCACTGTTCAGCTCCACCTCTAAGTGAGAACATCTGGTGTCTGGTTTCCTGTTCCTGTGTTAGTTTTCTGAGGATAGTGGTTTCTAGTTTCAACCACGTCCCTGCAAAGGACATGATCTCATTCCTTTTTATGGCTGCATAGTATTCCATGGTGTATATATAAAACATTTTATTTATCCATTCTATCATTGATGGGCATATGGGTTGATTCCATGTCTTTGCTATTGTGAATAGTGCTGCAATGAACATACACATGCATGTATCTTTATAGTAGAATGATTTATATTCCTTTGGGTATATACCCAGTAATGTGACTGCTGAGTCAAATGGTATTTCCAGTTCTAAATCTTTGAGTAATCGCCACACTGTCTTCCAGAATGGTTGAACTAATTTACATTCCCACCAACAGTTTAGAAGTGTTTCTATTTCCCTGCAACCTCGACAGCATCTGTTGTTTCTTCATTTTTTAATAATCACCATTCTGACTGGAGTGATATGGTGTCTCATTGTGATTTTGGTTTGCATTTCCCTGATGATCATTGATGTTGAGCTTTTTTCATGTTTCTTGGCCGCATGTATGTCTTCTTTTGAGAAGCGCCTGTTCATGTCCTTTGCCCACCTTTTAATTTTTTTTATTTTTATTTTTGTAAATTTGTTTAAATTTCTTGTAAATTCTGGATATTATAACTTTGTCAGATGAATAAATTGCAAAAATTTTCTCCCATTCTGTAGGTCGTCTGTTCACTATGATGATAGTTTCTTTTGCTGTTCAGAGGCTCTTTAGTTTAATTAGATCTCATTTGCCAATTTTTGCTTTGTTGCAAATGCTGTAGGCATTTTTGTCATAAAATCTCTTCCTGTGTCTATGTCCTAAATGGTATTGCCTAGATTTTTGTAGTTTGGTGGGTTTTCTTTGTTTTTTTTTTTTAATTATACTTTAAGTAGTTTGGGTTTTAATAGTTTGGGGTTTTATATTAAGTCTTTAATCCATCTTGCCTTCATTTTTGTATAAGGCATAAGGAAGGGGTCCAGTTTCAATTTTCTGCATATGGCTAGCCAATTCTCCCTGCACCATTTATTAAATAGGGAGTGCTTCCCTCATTGCTTGTGTTTTTGTTTTTGTTTTTGTTTTTGTTCTTTTTATCAGGTTTGTTGAAGATCAGATGGCTGTAGATGTGTGGTTTTATTTCTGAATTCTCTATTCTGTTCCGTTGGTCTCTGTGTCTGTTTTTGTACCGGTAGCATGTTGTTTTGCTTAGTGTATCCTTGTAGCATAGTTTGAAGTTGAGTAGTATGATGTCTCCAGTTTTGTTCTTTTTGCTTAGGCTTGTCCTGGCTACACAACCTTTGTTGGTTCTATATGAATTTTTAATTTTTTTTTTTTTTTTTTGACGGAGTCTCGCCTTGTCACCCAGGCTGGAGTGCAGTGGTGCCATCTCGGCCCACTGCAAGCTCCGCCTCCTGGGTTCACGCCATTCTCCTGCCTCAGCCTCCCGGGTAGCTGGAAATATAGGTGCCTGCCACCACTCCTGGCTCATTTTTTGTATTTTTAGTAGAGATGGGCTTTCACCGTATTAGCCAGGATGGTCTCGATCTCCTGATCTCGTGATCCGCCCGCCTTGGCCTCCCAAAGTGCTGGGACTACAGACGTGAGCCACCACGCCCGGCCAAATTGTTTCTTCTAATTCTGTGACGAATGTCATGGTAGTTTATTGGGAATAGGATTGAATCTATAAATTGCTTTGGGGAGTGTGGCCATTTTTGCGATATTGATTCTTCCTATCCACCAGCATGGAATGTTTTTCTATCTGTTTGTGTCCTCTCTGATTTTCTTGAACAGTGGTTTGTAATTCTCCTTGAAGAGGTCTTTCACTTTCCTCGTTAGCTGTTATCCTAGGTATTTTATTCTCTTTGTTGCAATTGTGAATAGGAGTTCATTCTTAATTTGGCTATTTGTCTGTCGTTGGTGTGTAGATGCTTGTCAATTGTGCACATTGATTTTGTATTCAGAGGCTTTGCTGAAGTTATCAGCTTAAGAAGCTTTTGGGCTGAGTCAATGGCATTTTCTAGATACAGAATCATGTCATCTGCAAACAAAGATAATTTGAATTTCTCTCTTCCTATTCGAATACCCTTTATTTCTTTCTCTTCCCTGATTGCCCTGGTCAGAACTTCCAATACTATGTTGAATAAGAGTGGTGACAGAGGGGTATCCTTGTCTTGTAATGGTTTTCAAGGGGAATGCTTCCAGCTTTTGTCCATTCAGTATGATATTGACTGTGGGTTTGTCATAAATGGCTCTTATTATTTTGAAGTATATTTCTTCAATACGTAGTTTATTGAAATGAAGTGATGTTGAATTTTATCGAAGACCTTTTCTCCATCTACTGAGATAATCATGTGGGTTTTGTCTCTAGTTCCCTTTATGTGATGAATTATGTGTATATTGAACCAGCCTTGCATCCGGGGATGAAGCCAACTTCATCGTGGTGGATAAACCTTTTGATGTGTGGCTGGATATGGTTTGCCAGTATTTTATTGAGGATTTTTGCATCAATGTTCATTAGGGATATTGGCCTGAAGGTTTTCTCCTTTTTTTTTTTTTTTTTTTAATCTCTGCCAGGTTTTGGTATCAAGATGATTCTGGCCTCTTAAAATAAGTTAGACAGGAGTCTCTCCTTTTCAAGTGTTTGGAATTGTTTCAGAAGGAGTGGTACCAGCTCCTCTTTGTACCTCTGGTAGAATTGAACTGTAAATCCATCTGGTCCTGGGCTTTTTTTTAGTTGATAGGCTTTTTATTACTGCCTCGATTTCAGAACTTGTTATTGGTCTATTCAGGGATTCAACTTCTTCCTGGTTCAGTCTTGGGTGTCCCCATTCTTTAGGTAGAAGTGATCCTGATGTTACTTGTAAAGACAACGTTTGCAATATGTTAGGTGTTAATACATTGCTTTTAATGTGTGAAAAAGGAATTCAAGTGTGGGAAAGTGTGTATTGGTGATGTCAAGCCACAAGGGTGGATGGAGATAGAAAAAGATATGTAGTCATGAAAAACGATGAATGTGAACGGGACTGAATTTAGGGATATTATCAACACAGGGAGAGCTGCAGGATAGGAGTCAGATCTCTGGTAGCTGCTGGCAGGGATGCTGTCCTTCTGTGGGCCGTAGTGAGAGGAACAGCTGTCTTCTCTGCAGGAGGCAGTCTGAATATGGGGTCTCAGGCAGTAAGGACTCCTCCGCAGCCTGAATCGGCAGTACAGTTTGTGAGATTGTTCCAGAGGTTTTGCCTGGAGCCTGTTGTTAAGGCTTTCCAACAATTTTTGAGCTATTTAATATCCCATAATGAATCCCTTTATGCTTAGTGCAGTTCACATTTGTAACCAATACTAATGACCACTCCACATTGAGGGCATGGTTGCCCCCTTTTTTCCTGCTAAATTTAATGCTTTCCAGGTGAATCTACTAGAGAAGGCCAACATGAATAACCTTCATGTCATCAAAAGTGCATGACAAATAAGCTCAGGGGAGCCACCGGGTTCTCAGTCATCTGCAGTGTCTCATGACATGAAAAGAGGAGACTGAGGAATCTTCCTGTAATCCTTCAGCCAGTCTTTCTGCAGCCTTAGGTAGGGTCTCCACGTGCATGTACTCATCAGTGCTCTGTGGAATACTGAGGGAGGCATCTGGGGATAGCCTGGGCTCTCTCTGAACTCCCTCCTCTGTTTCTCTGTCTTTCTGGACCTCCAATTCTTTTTCCTCTCTTCAGGGACACTCCCAGGCACCTCATGGATTTCCTTTCACTACACAATGCTCTGGCAACTCTCCTCAGGGTCTCAGATGGATCGTTCCAAATTTCATCTCCTTTGGTTTAAAATCTTCTGGGCTCAATATCCTTAATTTCTAATGTCCAATTTCTTGAAAACATTTGCCTCATGTATTGTGTCCTGTGTTTTAGTTAATCCAGAGAGGAGTGTAAACCTAGTCCATTCTAATCTCTTTTGGCTACAGGTTGAATATCTGGAAGCCTACGTCTGAATTTAAATATTTTTCGCTCCTCAAGGTTCTTCACCAGCACCTGGTAGTGTGAGGATAGCAGGTCGTGCTTTAGGGTTGCAATTGGGACTTTACTGCCATTACCCCATCTCTTGCTTTTTCCACACCACACAAGTTCTCCTGAACACATATACAGACACTTCACACACATTCACATGCCATCCCGCCTCCCAGCAGCAGAAACCTGGCCTCACTTTGTGTCTGAGCGGGGAACGCCTACTGCGTAGCTACTCTCAGAGGAACGAGCCCAGAGAAGGGGCCAAGTCCCTGGAAGTTAGGGTTAGAACATTTGAATTGGTAGTTTCAGGACCCCAAGTATCAGGGTGTGATGTAGAAGAAAATTGGCTCTATATTAGCACAGTCTCAGTCTCTCTCTGTGAAAGACTGGAGGGGAGGAGAGCCTGGTGAGGGCCCTTCACTTCTGGGGCCCAGAGCAAGAGGTCCCTCATGTTGAGTGTGCATGTAGCTTTGATTGATGCATTATTACTGAGACACTCAATAGCTCCATTGAAATACAAGATTGGAGACCTCCAACCAAGATGCTCTGTCAGTGTTGACAGGGCTCCTTTATGATCCAGCAGGCTGTTGAGGGCTCCCTGGCCTTGATGAGTTCGCAGCAGAGCTAGCTTTGTCTCCAGCCTCATCCTCCCTTCCTCTGTGTCTTCCGTGAAACTCGGAGCAATTCCCCAGGTGATGTGATCTTGTCTTCATCCTACTTTGAAGAGAATTGATCCTGAGTGGTTCTGGGGTATTTAAGGTTGTACATTTATCCTAATTCAGGCTTCAGTTTCACAGCTATCCTATTTGGTTGATGAAAGAAACTGTATTTGATTTGATTTTTGTTTTTTTGATAATCAGGTTTGGCATCCTCAGTCAGAACTTTCATGCTGATGAGCTGAGAGAAATAAAGTTACATGGGTCTAGGCACAGTGGCTCACACCTATAATGCCAGCATTTGAAAGGCTGAGACTGGAGGATTACTTGAGCCCAGGAATTTGAGACTAACCTAGGCAACATAGTGAGACCCCATCTCCACAAGAAATGAAAAAATTAGCCAGATGCCGTGGCACACGCCTGTGGTTCTAGCTACTGGGGAGGCTGAGACAAGAGGATTGTTTAAGCCCAAGGGGTTGAGGTTGGAGTAAGCTGTGATCTTGCCACTGCAC
Source organism: Homo sapiens (assembly GCF_000001405.40). Lineage (NCBI taxonomy): Eukaryota > Metazoa > Chordata > Mammalia > Primates > Hominidae > Homo > Homo sapiens. The sequence continues at coordinate 89,925,432 of NC_000002.12, forward strand.
TCCAGTGTAGGGGACAGAGCAGGACCCAGTCTCAAACAAAACAAAACAAACAAGTTACATTTGTCGTGAGGGGTAGACTATGTAGGTCCCCAAACCAAGAATAGGATGCCCATTTAGTTGATGGATACTAAAGAGACCTGTGTCTTCAGATAATAATTTGTCTGTGAACTACACACCTTTGAGAAAGCACAGTGTTATCTTTGTGCGTCTACAGTAAATTTCCATGTCTTATGGTTGTAACAGGTGTGGCTCAGTGCCATCACAAAATACCTTAGAATAGCTTGGGTATGCTCTTAAGAGCTGCCATTTTTATTTTTAAAATATTGAAACAATTTCACATTTACAGAAAGTTTGTAAGTAGAGTACAAAGTAACACATTTCCCCCTAAACCATTGAGAGTAACTTGATGACCTCATAGTTCCACCCTTTAAGACTTTGCTATGTATTTCCTTCAGACAAGACATTTTCCTACATAACCCAATACATCTGTGGAACCAGGGAATCATCACTGGTGCATCACTCCATCTAATCCTCAAGTGTATTTCAACTTTTGTTAATTGTTCCAATAATGTCTTTTGTAACAAAATGATTCACGGGTTGCCTTTGCTGGCCTGTACCTCCGTAGTTTTCTTCCATCTAGAACAGTTCCAGTGTCCTTGTTTGGACTTTATGAACACATTGCTTTTGAAGATTACACACCAGTTACCATGTAGATTGTCAATTTAAATTTGTTTGAATTTTCTTCAGGATTGAACTCTGTTAGTGTAACTGTTGCGGGAATATCCAGAAGCGATACTGTGCTCTCACTGAATCCTATTGGGATGTGTGTGATTTCCATCTGCCACATGACTGACGAGGTTCAGTCTGACTCCTGCTGAAGGGGGTGTCTGCCAGGCTTCTCCCTGCACCTTCACTGTTGTTCTGTTTGAAAGAGATAAGAATTTGTGGAGATGTTCTTGATACTTCATGAATATCCCTCTCCTAATCGAAATATAGACATGGATCCATATTTTCTTCAATGGGTTATACTCTGCTACCATCATCATTTATTTTCATAGTCAACCCTCCTCTGATTTGTCCAATGGGAGCCTCATTCACACTGCCTCTGAATACCTGCTGTTTTTATCCCATCATTCTCTGAGCACTTTTTTAGTTTCTGGCACTAGATGGTACAAGCTCATCTTCCATCTCCCCTATTTTAGACCTGACATCAGCCATTTCTCCAAAGATTACTGATTCCTTTTAGTAGAAATCGGCATTCAGAAAAATAAGATCTACACACTAAATGTGTTCAGTGGGACTGATGTGTCATCGCTTCTAGAGAAAATGAGCTATCTATTATCTATCATTTGTCTATCTATCATCATCATCTATTCATCTATCTTTTTACCTATATCTACATAAACCATGAATTGGCACTGATATAGCTATAATCCAGAGTCATAGAGTTTATTCTAGTACGCGCTTTTAAAATATTTCTAACATTTCTCCCTGGGTACCTTGGCTCTAATTATCCTTACTACACTGACTTATGGGATCAACATCTCTTTGTGACACTAATCTCCTGCTGTCATTGCCACCTACACGCTCCTTTTAGACAACTTCCCTCTTCTGCCTCACAACCTGCATTAGCCCTGATATGCTTTGCCAGCTCACTGTTAACTTTGACTCCTGCATGGGTGACCTTCTCAATCTACATGGGCCGTTTTGCTAGTACCACTGGCTTTACCCCTTTTGAAGGGCCCTGCTCATCCTGCTTCAGCTGTGACATATGTGCTAGTGGGAGGATGTTGCCCCACATCCTGCGCCTATGTGGGGATACCCTCCTCCCTCCACTATAGCTTCAACACCTCTGGTGGTCTTCCCTCTCTACTGCACATCAACTGCCCTTTCCATGCCATGTGGGTTTCACACTCTGTGCAATATTTTGGTTTCCCCTTCATTTTGGTGCATGGTTTTCTTTCTGAACCTACTTTGGTCAAATGCCCTAAACCCAGTCATTAAGAACTGCTTTCTCTTAAAAACTGGAAGAGATTGGTAATATAGAGATATACAGTTTATGGAACAGAGTAGATTCAAGAGTAGATGTGAGCACTGGGTCTAGATAACATCTCAGTTTCCGGAAGATATTAGCTTAAGAATGACGTAAGGCACACATATTAATCCAAGGAGCTCAGGAAACATCTAGCATAGGAATGCATGATGGCACACAGAGGTAGAGAGTAGCTGACACTTTTCAGAAGTGGAGGGAGAAGATTTCTGATGTTGGCCTAGATGTAAGAAGTAGGAAAGAAAATGTAGAAATACAGGAAGATGATCACATGTCTGAGATAAGAGATTTGCCATGTCGTTTACCCAGTGTACAAGGATTACCCAATCCTTGCAAAGCATTACACTACTTTCACATATTTTGTGTTAACATTTTCCTTTTTCTTATTTTTAATAAATAAATCTGTCCTTCTATCCATCCATCTATGTATCCATCCATCTTTCTTATACCTCATCATTGCATCTCTGGCTGATAGTGCTGATGATTTACAACATCAAGGGCTCTAGAGGATCAGAGCAAAGAAGAAGTCTCTGTGGCCTCAATAATATTCATCAGTACCAAACGCAGGACACTTCTAAAATTTATTGCAGATTCTGGAGATGTGCTTCTCCAACAAGCCAGGTCTTAGACGGGAAGCTAGCAAGAAAAGTAGGTCATGACCTACTTCTGCAGAGCAGAAAAGCAATCTCCTTGCAGGACAGTAGACAGATTCTGTTCTGTGGCCCCCAGAGAGAAACTTGTTCTCTGCTAACAAGTGTATGCAGGCCTGATCAATCTTAGGACCCCTGGGGGACACTAGGCCTGTGCAATATTATGCAGATAAAGTCATTCTTGCATCTGTTGAAATTTTCATTTTCAAAAAAACACAGCCAACTTCCTGAAGACTTGTACACAGGCTGGTCATACCACTTGCAAGAGTCAGTCCCAGTCAAGACACAGCATGGACATGAGGGTCCCTGCTCAGCTCCTGGGGCTCCTGCTGCTCTGACTCTCAGGCAAGGAAGGAGAACACTAGGAATTTACTGAGCCAGTGTGGTCAGTACTACCTGGCTATTCAGGAAAGTCCTCTCATAACATGGTTAATAGTGTTAATAGTTTTGTTTCCCATCTCAGGTGCCAGATATGACATGCAGATGACCCAGTCTCCATCCTCGCTGTCTTCCTGTCTAGGTGAGAGTCACCATCACATGCCAGGAAAGTCAGGTAGGGCATTAGCCATGTTTTAGCCTGATACAAAGAGAAGCCAGGGAAAGCTTCTGAGCTCCTGATCTACGATGCATCCAATTTGCAAACCTGGGTCCCATTGCAGTTATGTGGCATTGGATCCAGGACAGATTTGATTCTCACCATTAGCATCCTCCAGTCTGAAGTTGCTGCAACTTCTTATTATTGGTCAACAGTATAAAAGTGACCCTCTCACAGTGTTACAAACCCAATAAGCTCCCCAAGGAAGCAGATATGTGAGGGTGGGCTGCCCCAGCTGCTTCTCCTGTTTCCTCCATCTGCTGAGAGTGTTTCTCAGACTCAGCCACACTCTGAAGGTCACTGAGCAGTTTTCATAGAAGCGGTAAGGGAAGTGTCTCTACACCCTTAGTTTCTTTTATCCTCCTCAGCCCCAGCAGCAGACATGGCAATGCCTCTCCTAATTTCATAGAAGAGTCATTACCTATGAGGACTCTGGGTTACAGCACTGGTCCAGGTTCATACAACAAAAGAGAAGCTATTGTAGGTAACCCAAATAGAAAGTTTTTCCTAATATGGGAAATCCATGTCTAAATTACAACTTTTCAAAGACCAGAGGATATAATGGTTAGGAAACCAGAAAGGCAAAAGGAGTGCTGGGAAATCTACTTCAAGAAGCAATGGTGGCCGCGCACGGTGGTTCAGGCCTGTAATCCCAGCACTTTGGGAGGCCGAGGCAGGCGGATCACCTGAGATCAGGAGTTCAAGACCAGCCTGGCCAACATGGTGAAACCCCGTCTCTACTAAAAATACAAAAATTAGCCGGGCATAGTGGTGGGTGCCTGTAATCCTAGCTACTCAGAAGGCTGAGGCAGGAGAATCATTTGAACCAGGCAGGTGGTCTCTGCAGTTTCGAAGCCCAGCGCCATCTGTGGCTGTTATGCATGTCTCTCCCAGCCACCCTGCTGTCCAGAGCCCATATCAATCCATGGGGGTAGGTCTGTGAAAGAGCAGCTCAGTTAGGACCCAGAGGGAACCATGGAAGCTGCAGCTCAGCTGCTCTGATTCTTGTTACTCTGGCTCCCAGGTGCAGGAAACATCGGATGGTTCTGCATGTCAGTGAAACTTTCTCAACCTTGTTGAGTCCTGTTACCTGGCACACCTGCTGGGAAGGCACAATGATTAAAGCTCAATGTAGATCAATGGTCCTGGATGCACTGGGAAGACAATAGGTATGATGTAGTGTACATGTGTGACATTTCTGTTTTTATTCCAATTTCAGATACCACCAGAGAACTTGTGATGACAGTCTCCAGCCTCCCTGTCTTTATCTCTAGGGGAAAAAGCCACCCTCACCTACAGAGCCAAGTAGACTATTAGCAGCTCCTTAGCAGGGTATCAGTGGAAACCTGGACAGGCTCTCAGGCTCCTCATCCATGGTGCATCCACCAGGACCACCAATGTCCCAGCCTGGTGGAGTGGCAGTGGGTTCGGGGAAAACTTCAGTCTCATTATCAGCAGGCTGGAGCATGAAGATTTTGCACTTTAACACTGTTATCAGCATAGTGGTGGGTATTCCACAGTGATTCCACAGGAAACCAAACCTCCACAAGACAGCTGGTGTTTTTTCCTCAAGCCTTCTGTTTACTTATGGGAAGCTACTATGGTGGCTGCTTAGTTATTGAGAGAAAACAATGGAGACTTCAATAAATAGAAGTTTATACCACATTCATGCATTATAAAACTTAATATTGTGAGTAACATAATTCTCCCTTAATTAATTCAATACAGTGACAATTAAAATCCCAGAGGACTTTTGTGAAATTGAAATGATGTTTCATATATATATAGTATATATATATATATATATATATATATATATATATATATGTACTCACATACCACACACTATATATATATATATATACACACACACTATATATGGTGTATGTATATATATAGTGATATGTATGTGTATAATATATATATAGAGAGTGTGTGTGTATATATATAGATACATACATATCACACATGCATTTAAAAAGGACAAAAATAGCCATTGGAATCTTGCATAAGAATAACAGGTCAGGCTGGGCGTGGTGGATCACTCCTGTAATCCCAGTAATTTGGGAGGCTGAGGTGGGCAGGTCACCTGAGGTCAGGAGGTTGAGACTAGCCTGACCAACATGGAGAAACCCCATCTCTACTAAAAATACAAAATTAGTCAGGTGTGGTGGCACATGCCTGTAATCCCAGCTACTCAGGAGGCTGAGGCAGGAGAATCATTTGAACCTGGGTGGTGGAGGTTGCAGTGAGCTGAGATCGCACCATTGCACTCCAGCCTGGGGAACAGAGCCAGAATCTATCTCAAAAAAACAAAAACAAAAAACAACAACAAAACAAAACAAAAAAAGAATAACAGGGCAGGCATGGTGTCTCACGCCTATAATCCCAGTACTTTGAGAGGCTGAGGCAAGTGTATCGCTTGAGGTCAGGAGTTAGACCACCCTGGCCAACATGGTGAAACCTTGACTCTACTAAAAAAATACAAAAAATTAGCCAGGCATGGTTGCACATTCCTGTAGTCCCAGCTGCTTAGGAGGCTGAGACAGGAGAATCGCTTGAACCCAGGGGGCAGAGGTTGCAAATGAGCCAAGATCATAGCACTGAACTCCAGTCTGGGTGACAGAGCAAGACTGTCTCAAAAAAAAAAAAAAAAAAAAAAGAACAAAATTGAAGGAATAACACCAGGCAATATCAAACCCTGTTACAAATAACACTAATTAATAATGTAACTACAGATCCGCACATATGTAATCACCCAATTTATGATAAAAGTGTTACCACGGGCCAGGCACAGTGACTCATGCCTGTAATCCCAGCACTTTGGGAGGCTGAGGTGGGCAGATAACGAGGTCAGGAGTTCGAGACCAGTCTGACCAGCGTGGTGAAACCCCGTCTCTACTAAAAGCACAAAAATTAGCCAGGCATGGTGGCACATGCCTGTAATCCCAGCTACTCAGGAGGCTGAGGCAGAAGAATCACTTTAACCTGGGAGGCAGAGATTGCAGTGAGCCAAGATCGCACCACTGCACTCTAGCCTGGGTGACAGAGACTCCGTCTCAAAAAAAAAAAAAAAAAAAAAAGAAAAAAACACTGTTACCATAGATGATGCATACTGAAAGAGAAAAATATCTTGGTCAGGTAATTTAAAACAAGAGACATGTACTTTCTCACAGTTCTGAAGGCTGGGAAGTCCAAGGTCAAGGCACTGGCAATCTTTTTGTACCATGAGGGCTGCTCCAGCTTCCAAGATGGTGGCTTGTGGCTGTGTCCTCACGTTGTGGAGGTGGAAGGGCAAAAGAGACAAATTCTGTGTGAAGCCACTTTTATTGGGCGTTCATCCCATTCACCGGGGTGGAATCCTCATGAATAATCAGCTCCCAAAGGCCCCACTTTGTAATCCTGTTGCATGGGGTAAACAGGAATCTTGGATGAGATGCAGACATTCAGACCAGAGCAGTGATCAGTAGAAAAATATATAATAAGTGAACTGTATTGGATCAATAAGATATCTATATTACATCAAAATGAATCCTGACCTCTACATTTCACCTCTATATTATATAAATATCAACTCTAAATGAATCATAAAATGAAATATGAAGGCAAAATAATAAAGCTTTTAGTAAAGAGCATAAAAACATATATCATAAACAGGTGCAGAAATAAATTTCTTAAAGAGAACACACAAAGCACTAGGCACAAAGACAAAGATTCATGAATTAGGTTTTATTTGTATGAATTCCTTCTTATAGGGTTTTAAACAAATAAATTAAAAATATTATTTGATGAATACATATAGAAGAAATTAACAGAGAGGAAAGTCAAATTATAAAGAATATGAGATTCAGAATTCTGATTAACTGTGGGGGGAGATAGGCATATGGCATCGTGGAAACCCCACCCAGAGATCACACTTTTAGAGGAACCTGTAGAATGGTAGGCCTTGTGACAGCCATCTTGAAGGATATAACTGGCATCAGTCAACCCTGTGGCCCAAACAATTCATATCCCTCTTACATGTTAAATGCTCTAATTCTCACCCCATCAAGTCTAAGTATTATTCCATAATAGTGTCAGGGCAAAATTCAAAATATCATCACCAAAATGATGTCCTGGGGACTGATGTTAGCAAGATAGCAGAGTAAGAGATACCAGGCTTCAGCCCTCACAAAACCCAGCAATTAGTCAGTTATCCAAGAAGGCCAATACCCTGGGAGGGCTGAAGAGTTCAATTACAAACATGCAGCAACATGATAGAGTAAAAAGCCAAGAATAAGCACATGCAAAGGATGGCTGGAAGCTGATGGCACACCTGAGAGCCCTGATACCTCTAGGAACAAAGAAAGGGGAAGCAATTGTTATCAGCCAGAGGTGGTGCCACTGTGGGCCCCATAGCCTGCTCTGTGGCAGGACCCTGCAGCCTTTGCTGCTGATAACCTCAGCAGCCACCCAGGCAATCCCCCACCATTCAGCTTTCCCAGTGGAGGCCCTTTAATATTTCTTGTCGAGGATCACAGCAGCCTGCTCCACAGGGGCCACTGGTGCTTTTGCCTGGACGGTTACCTGCAGCCATAGTCGCACACTCCCCAGAGAGGGAGATGCTGCTATACGCACTCCGCAGTGAGGAGCCATTGTTTTCTCTCCTGTGACAGGGCTACCTCCCAGCCCCTTGGCATCAACCTTACCCTCTGCACTGCCCCAGACCCAGGCCTCCAGGTCTCACCCTGCCCTGGCAACTCAGACAGTAAGCCACCTTTATGTGGACTAGCCCATGCCCAGCCCCAGACCCACTGTCACTGCAAGTGCACCCTCGCTCCAGACCTCGTCACTGTGGCTGTTCTGGAAATTGCCAAAGACATCAAAGAAATTGAGACATGTTTATAGGCATACCTCAGAGATATTGCTGGTCTAGTTTCCAATCACTGCAATAAAATGAATATTATCATAAAGGGAGTCACACTCATTTTTTGGTTTTCCAGTGCATATAAAAGTTATGTTGACACAATCTTGTATTCGGTTAAATGTACAATAGTATTATGCCTAAAAAATGTACATACCTTAATTTTTTAAAACTATTGCTGAGCAATACTGACATAGAGACAGGAAGTAAGAACCTACCACTGGAAAAACGGCACCAAAATAGTTACCTGAGGCAGAGTTGCCACAAACCTTCAATTGGTAAAAATCTCAGTATCTATAAAGCACAGTAAAGCAAAACACAATAAAAGGAGATATGGCTGTATCTTGAAAAGGATGAGAGCTTTGGGTAAGGACAGTGTTAGGTTTTGAAGGGAAGGGAAGGGTTAAAGAAAGACAGAGAGAGAGTTGGCGGCTCTACAGCAAAGCAGGTTTTATGTCCAGCACAAGACTGTGGAGGTGGGGGACTAGCTTAATACCAGAACCCGCTGCCGCTTACAGGCTGGGGTACTTATAGGTATGGGCGGGAGGGGTCTAGACGGTATTACTTGCTGCCCGGCAGGACGTTGATAACATGTTCCTGTGGTCAGGCGGTTTTGCCAAGGATGTTCCTTGGGCCTTTTGCCCAGCGGGGTGTGATAAGAATGTTTCTTGGGCCCACTGTCCAGCAGAAGACGATAGGGATGTTCCTGTATTCACGTGGTTAGGCAGGATGTTTCTCACAGTTCTAACCCCCGTGGAATGCTTCACTTTGACCAAGGTCTACAAAATGGAAGGGGGGCTTACAAAATGGTGCACCTTGGACTAACAGATAGGAAAAGTCTATGGCCTTTTGCCTGGAACTGCTTTTTCTCACCCAAGCTTCGTCAACAAGAATTTTAGAACTGTAGTTTTACCAGCTGAAATGGCAGCAACAACTGGAAGCTTGTTGCCAAACGGGATTGACTTGAGCTGGGATGGAGAGTAGAACAAGATCCTTCAGTGTTTTCAGCTAATGGTGCTGAACTCTGCAGGAAATGCCCAGAAAAGGCCCAGAGTTTTGCAAGTCCAAGGTGATGACCCTGGGAGACTGGTACACCAGCTAAAACTTGATAATGGATTACTGGAAACCATGGAGTCATAGAATTATAGAGATCATCCCTGCACACATTCTTAGAATGAGCAGATGTGACTTAGAAATTGCGTATTTGAGTGACAGAGACCCAAGTGGGCCCAGTGAATAAAAGTGAAGGAGGTGTCTTTTATGGGCACGCTTCAAGCCACACACATATACATTGGCAGAAAGTAGATTATTGAGGTCAAGGAGTTTGAGCAACACAAATGCCTAAGTTACTGGTGATTACCAAACTGTGCAGACACAGGTAGGGCTTCTGGCTAAAACTTAAAATGAAAAAAATCAGAAATATCAATTGCCAAACAGCTAGTAAGGGATAGATTCTGCAGCATAAGACCAGTCAAGCTATTAAGAGGAAATTCAACAATCTTAGAAAAATAAAACAGAATGCAGAATTATATATTATTTGTGAGACGTAAAAAATATATTATCAACCGGCATTTTTCCATTAAAATTCCTGAAAAGAAAGAGAAAATCATAAACCATATTGAGATAAATCAGTCAGTGGAAGCTGACTCTTGACTGTTCCTAAATACTGGATTTTGCTAAGAGTTTTAAGTGGTTGTCACATAAATGCTTCAAAGAATATTCAAAACTATGAGCAAGGACTGAAAAAGGAAAATATAAAGACAATTACTCAAAGAATGAGAACTCTCAACAGAGAAAGGGAAACTATGGGAAAGGAACAAATAGGAATTCTAGATGAAAACTATAAAAAGCAGTATGGAAAATTCACTAGATAGGGCAACAGGAGTTTAAGTTGGCAGAAGCATCAATGAGCCTGAAGACAATTTAGTAGAAATGATCTAATCTGAAAAAGAAAGAAAACGACTAAAGAAAAATAATCATGACCTTAGAGGTTTACAAGTCAATGTGAAGAAGACCAGAAATATGCAATGAGTCAGAAACGAGAAGTCAGAAAAAGTGGCCAAAAAAATTTTGGAGGGATGACAAAAGCTTTCAAGAAGCAATGAAACTCATTCATCTATAGAGAAAAGAAATTGAAAGAACTTATTCAGGACAAACACAATGATACACATAACTATACATATTATAATTAAAATGCTGAACCAATGACAAGGAGGAAATCGCAAATGTACAAAAATAAAATGACTCTCTATATACAGAAATACAGTGATAAAGCCATCAGCTAACTTTTCATCATGACCAAAGGAGGCTAGAAAACAGTGGAATGACATATGTAAATGCTGGGAAACAAAAGAAAACAAAACCTAGGATTCAATATCCAGTGAAAGTATGCATTCAAAATAAAAGTAAAGTAAAAACATTTCTTGATAAACAAAAATGAAGAGAAATAATTACTTAAAGACATGCTGTATAACAAATTCTCTAGGAAGTTCTTCAGATTCACAAAAAATGACAGCAGACAGTAACTTGAATCTGTAGGGAGGAAGGAAGGCCTCAAAAGTGCTAAGGGAACAAAAAAAGAGCTAGACCAAACCAACATGTTTACTTCCGTTTATATGAGGTTTCATGTAGGGAAAGCCAATCTATTTGGACAGATGTCAGAATGCCAGTTTCCTTGATTGGGATGGGGGGAACAGCTGTTTCCTGAAAGGTAGGTACATGAGGGAAGAATCTGGAGATTCTGCAGTATTCTACAGTTTAATCTCGGTGGAGAATATATGTAAAACTTTATTCGGTTGCACTTTTTAACATTTCTGTCTTTTACTTTGTGTGTGTTTTATTTAAATTTTTAAAAAATTGAAAGGGCCAAATCTGAACTCTTTTAAACAAAAATGAACAAAAACATAAGAATTAGTAAATATTTGTGGAAACATGGCCTTATTAACAAGAAGTATAAAATGTGCCTGGGAAAGTGCTATGAAACAAGAAATCTGTTAGGGAAGACAGAAGGAAATACTTAAATTTCTCCCACATAGACAGCATAGATTATATGCCTACTCATTTCCCTCCAAACAGAGAAGATATTTAAGTCATTTTGCTCACAACAGAGGCTCCTACCCTCCCCTTGGCTCTTTCCACCCCACTACACCCACCAGGTGATTTGCATATTATCCCTTGGTGAAGACTTTCCTTGTGAGTCTGAGATAAAAGCTCAGCTCTAACCTTGCCTTGACTGATCAGGACTCCTCAGTTCACCTTCTCACAATGAGGCTCCCTGCTCAGCTCCTGGGGCTGCTAATGCTCTGGGTCCCAGGTAAGGGTAGAAGGGAGATGAGGGAGGAGAATGGCATGGAACGGTGAGTTCTGGGGCCCCACTGCCTCTAACAACAGTGATCTCTGGGGGTCTCACTACACTCCTATGTGTGTTCCTTTCCTGTATTGGACATGCACATGTTGTCCTCCAGAATGGGGCATGTGATGATCAGATCTGTGAGAGTCAGGAAGATTCAAGAAGAAACAAGGATCTGTGCTCTGGGGAAGACTGACACAGAAAGGGGATGGTGTGGGGTCTTCTGGAGACCCCTTTGAGCCTTGGATCCCTTGAGTTCCATTTTGAAACTGTATATTTTTGAAATATGAACAAATACATATATAGCCTGAGATAAACAACAAATCAAAATTTATGAAAATTACACATAAACTTTATACATAACCTTGCTCTTCTTTCTATTTATTTCAGGATCCAGTGGGGATGTTGTGATGACTCAGTCTCCACTCTCCCTGCCCGTCACCCTTGGACAGCCGGCCTCCATCTCCTGCAGGTCTAGTCAAAGCCTCGTATACAGTGATGGAAACACCTACTTGAATTGGTTTCAGCAGAGGCCAGGCCAATCTCCAAGGCGCCTAATTTATAAGGTTTCTAACTGGGACTCTGGGGTCCCAGACAGATTCAGCGGCAGTGGGTCAGGCACTGATTTCACACTGAAAATCAGCAGGGTGGAGGCTGAGGATGTTGGGGTTTATTACTGCATGCAAGGTACACACTGGCCTCCCACAGTGGTACAGCCCTGAACAAAAACCTCCCTGTGGGGTGGCCCAGCTGCCCACATGTGGTGCTTGTCTGGGGAGCAGCTCAGCAGGGTCTCAGAATCTGTGTAAGAGGAAGATGCTGGAGAACCAGGGAACAATTCACAGCTGAGGACTCTGGACTTTGAGAGCCCAGTCACACCTCAGGCACCACTCCTTTATGCCCTGCCAGTTGCCACCACCTTGACTGTCATAAGCAGCAGGAGAATGAGGGGTCCAAGTGCCCTGTGAGTAAACAAGCAAGATGGAAGGGAGAGGAGAATGAAAGCTCACCCTAACTCTCCCTACCTTGTGTCCATTTGTTAATTAAATGTAATCAGCAGAGCAGCCAGGCCATTGACACAGATTGTGACTATCCATGTGGGATACATCTTTGGGTTTAGCAGTTTTTGGCATATTGTTCAGAGGACATTTGATAATATTTGATGTTGGTATTTTGCCAGTTTTCTAACTTCCTGCTTCTCCTTTTCTCCCACTCCCAAAATAGAGTAGAGACAGCATTCTATACCAGTTATCCTAAGCGGAAGCTGGCTGAGGACAGTCAGTAAAAATCTTGATTTTGGAGTATCAAATAGATTTTTGTAAATTCATAGAAGATACAAGATCCTAATGCTAAAACTGTTTAGTTAGCCTTAGTTACCTCTTAATGATAGAAAAAAGGAGTACCTGAAATTCCAGAAGTTGTTTTCAAAAATAAAAAGCATATACTGGAAAATGTAGAGTATATAATTTTCCCCATAGAAAACTGGAAAAGTACAGAATGATGTGAATGTTTTTATTTCCAAATGTTAAGAATTTAAGATTGGGCAGACATTAGGGATGAAAGCATGAAGGAAACCCAGGAGAGGTCAGCTTCAATTAAACTACCCTTGGCCTTTGGTAGGTAGGGATGTGGATGGTGGTGGAGTTGGCAGTTCATGATGTGGACCCAGGAGGCCTGATGTGTTTCTTGTGAAGAATCACAGAGTTGAAGGCACCACTACCTGGTTTCCTGGGTGGAGCCTGCATCACTGCGAATTTTCTGGGAAAATAATGCTTTGGGAAGGGTTTTAGATCTGTAATCACCAAAGGCTTAGTGAAATCCCTGTGCAAGGAGACCTGAGGTCATGTCACTCATATCTTGTCAACCCCACACAGCCAAGCAGAGCATCTGAAACTCATTCTGTCCCTAGAGACTGCTGGTTGGGTCTGGAGATGTCACAAGCACTGACATGCTGAGCAGAAGGCCCAGCAGGGTCTACACCAGCAGGGGGCGCAGTGGGGATGGAGACCAGTGTCCATGATTCAGACATGTATTCGGGATGCTCTGTGTAGCCTTGGGGATTGGGGGAGCACGCTGAATCTGTGGAAGTTTTATGTCCTTGTAGCCCAGCACCTCCATCCCTGCCTGCTGACTCAGACCTCAACATGTGTCCCATGGAAAGCACGGGCCACGTATAGAGGCTGCCCTGTGCAACCCCCAAGGCTCAGCTGGATTCTCCTTTCCCAGGAGAGCTCCTCTGCCTGCACCAAGTCAGAGCTTGTTTCCACAGGCAAACTTGGCGGCTATGGCAGAAGGACAAAAAGTCAGGTGAGCATCAGCTCAACAATGAAAGGTTCTTTTTACTATGGCATTTTACATCATTCATTCCTTATTCCTTCCACTACTTTCCAAAGTCATTTAATTCTAACTTTGGTATTCTATTATTTTAAATGGTTTGTACCTTTTGCAGTGGTTGTTTTGGCCTTTCCACTTCTATCTACATTGCTGTACCTGGGAATGAAGATTCCTTTCATTTTTTTTTTAAACACAAATAAAGTTTTAGAAGTGACTATGTTGGTACTATTTGGTCAAAAAAAGTAAAACATTTTTAAACAATAAATTAATGTATTATTTTCACTGTACCTCGTCAGTACTTGGACATAAACCTGATTCCCACATTCTAACAATAGTGATATAAAAAATGTATGCTTTCCATAGAGTCAATTTAAAATAGTTCTCTATGAATATTTGTGAATTAGTAATGAGCCTGTGATTTACGTGCTATAGCGTGGTATGACTAAAGTAAAACAATGTTGCAATCAACAGGATAAAGTAATCCAGATTTAGATTAAAGAAATATGTTACATTCGAGATAATTTTCTATTAAAGATAATGTATTCCATGACAAGCATAATTAAATCTGTAGTTTTAACCAGACAGACAACATATACAGTAAAAATTTGGTTTATAGCAAGTGGTGTATAAGACAAAATTAATAACAAGTCTCCAGAGTATATTTTTACACATACCAAAAAGTAAGGACACACATACAATCAAAATTTTATTCATTTCTTCATCACAGGCACCAGTTTGGAGCCTGGAGATGCTGCACGTTCTCCTGTGAGCAGAAAACTCACCAGGACCCTGCACAGCCCGAGGGCCTCAAACGCAGCCTCCCTAGGAGGCTCAGCCTCTCAGTGCAGCACCAGCAACTGCAGCGCCCAGAGATGGAGTCCACAGCAGATGGGCTCAGGTGAAGATGGCTGGAGAGCCTTTGAAGAGGAGGTCATGAGTCCTCACTTACAGGCATGGGCTCTACTTCTGTGCGAACAGGGCCAGGGCCCCCAGGAAGCCTCCCAGAGCCTCTTCCTTCCTCCCAACTTAGGGTGTTCAGGCCCCACAGACTCTCCAGGGAGTGGCTGCCATGTCCTCTCTGGAGCAACCATGAAGTTCCCTGCTGCCCTCATGGCTTCAGGGATGCTCGTTCACGTCACTGGGAGGGGATCCTTGTGGGTCGTGACCTCACCTGCTGCCTCTGATGAACTTCGGGGCACTTTTTCCTCCCTTTGCCAAATGACCTCACTCTCACCAACACTCTGAGGATTGAAAGTTGTCTGCACTGCATGATTTTTGCTTTTGAGCAAGTCAAAGCTCACAGGAGTCTCACACATGCATAGCCTGTATTAATATTACACACAATTCCTATTTTCACTTTTCCTATCTTCTTCCAATTTTCTCTGCACACTTACTTACCCTGCCCATCCACTTTCTCCTGTGAAGCTGCTAATGTGGGTTTTTATTTCCAGGCTGACGTGATTTCCTTGCTGCAATAATAGACATGTGCTCATCACATGCCCACATTTTTAAGAATAAAATATTTTGAGCACAAATTGCTCTTCTCATACTCGTATGTCAGGGTGGCAGCTCAGGGGATCGGTTTGAAAATTTATTTGCTAAAATGCATGAATATTTCTAGAAATTCGGTGTTATAAATTAAATGTCTTCTTGCATCCCACAAATTTTGATGTGTGTTTTCTTTCACTTCAGATTGCTTTGAAATGTCCATCTCTTGGTTTCATCTTTGTCCCAGGCTTTGTTTAGTAGTATGTTACATAGTTTTAAAATATTGAGATTTTTTTCTGATAGCTTTCTGTCATTGATTCCTAATAAATTTCCCTTGGCTTCTGAAACTTTATTTTATATGATTTAAATCCATTTAATTTCTTTGAAATAGCTTGTGGCTCAAAGCATGATCTCTCTTAGCTAATGTTTTAAAATGGCTATGGAGTCTGCTGTTGTGGCAGAGTGTTCTCTCAGTGTCAATCCTACCCACATGGTTGACGGCTTTGGCAAGTCATCTGTATCTGCATGGGCCCAAGAGACACTGTTGCCTACAGTGCAGGCTGGAGCTGCTGCAGAGCCCTTTTCTGCCCTGGGTCTCCACTAAAGGCTGGGAAGACTTCCATGTCACCTGGATGGTGACATGACCAGTATTCCACGGTGTAGAATCTGTTGCCTCTAGATTCCAAAAAGGCCGCTGTGAGCTTCCTTCATTTTTTTAAATAAAGACTCTCATGAAACAGAATGGAACGGAATACATATACCTATCATCAGGAACTCTGATTCTCTCCAAGTTTATGAAGCACATACTATCATAACCTTATTGATTTGGGTAAACCATTTAATGCCATTTGATGGCAGCTATAGAGCTGAGTACCCAGAAATATGAGCTGCAGTGCAATACCAGCTGGGAGAGGTCAGCCTCCCAACCATAGCCAGAGTATGACCAGGCAGTCACAAAGAGTTCTCCAGGAATTTTCTGATAATTTTCCTTGTGTCAGGGCAGTTTCTGGCCTGGCTTTCTAATGAGGAAGGGGTAAAAGTTGACACTGTGATGTCCTGACTTCTAGTGCACCAACTCTTACCCAGTCCTGTCAATAACTCAGTAGGCTACACAAGTCAAATTCTCGATAGGTATATTAACCCTGGTCTAAAGTTTTTATTTCTTTTATGGATTTGCCTATTCCATTAAACATTTTAATATCTTGAATACGGTTGTGCAAATCATGCCTCTCAGTCTCTCTGCAAATATTAATATTGGGGCAAATTTAATAACAGTTTTCTCATGATGTCATATTTTCTTACCAGTTCTGAATAGGCTGAACTGTATGTAATGACAAATATTATAAGCTAGTTTGAGCTCAAGACAAATTACTTTTACTGAAATTTAATACCTTAGCATCAACCTGGAAACAAAAGATGTTGCTCAAGTTTAAAAGTCTATTCATGAGTATCATAAACTTGCACATATTTGCTACAGTATTCCACAGGATCAATAGGTTTTCTGTTTTAATGTGCTAAATATAGACACTTTTTGTGCAATCAGATTTTCTGGGATAAGCGGATAACAGAGATTCTCATATTAGGCTTTAAATTCTACCTAGGACTGCTAGGATTTCACAATACAAAAAGTCATTTTCTGGGTTGACGATATTCTTCATTTTCTAGGGTAAGAACATTAAATAGGAGTAAGAGCTGGTAAAGTAAGTCTCTAAGACACGGTCATATCTATAGTCCTTTGTTACACTTTATAATTTCATGCCCTGACTGCTTCTAGGAGGTTAAAATTTATTTTATTTAATTTTATTTTATTACTGATCTTGCATTCTTTTCTTGCTAGGATATATTTTAGAAAAACAAATTTGGAGAAGTACTGAAATTTGAGCACAGTTAATGCTTCATAGCACATGTGAACTTTGGGTGATCGTTGACTCCTGGCCAAGAAAGGACCAGTAAAAGTGAAATTTACCACTATGACATGAAGCTGCTGCTTCCATAAGGCAGAGTCACCATTTCCAGGTGTCCATGTAGAGGCTGTGCAGTTATTGTTATTATTACCATTATTGTTGTTATAACAAGGAATGAACACCAGGTAATTTGTTCAGCCCCTGCCTCTTTCTTATTCTGAACTTTAGATTTTTATGAACAGGAGTTGACAGGAAGAGGCTAAAAGAGAATTTCTGTTGATTTTATAAATTAAGTGATTTGATTTTGTCTCTGATTTTTTCCTGAAGGTCTTAACATTTCTGCATTCAAAATTTATATGAGTATTTTGTTGATCTTAAAATTAATATAAAATGAGGAGTAATAAATGTCAAAATTCTCAAATTATAATTTTAATTTTTCTGTAGGTGAACCATGCTCTCTAAATTAAAAAGTAAGAAACAAATTTATTTGTCTTCTTGGTATATTCATACAAATTTTTACATCACAGGCAGTTTCCACTGCAGTTTAAAAGGCTCAAATTCCCGATTCCGTCCCCAGAATCTTCTTGGGGTCTCCACCCTCCACCTCTCAATTAAACCAAGCTTTAATATAAAGTCAAAAAGACAACTTTCATGTTCACATGGTGGAAAAAATTAATAACCTTCCAGGCAAGTTGTGATTTTCTAGAAACCTACTTTTGAGGAGTGGTTTTATAGAGACCTACTTTCTATAAGGGTGAGAATTTCGAGGGAACTTATAAGATGCAGAAGGCCCAGGGAGGCAATGGAATTATTGTTTCGCTTTTTGTATTGATGTTTGGTGAGGTGGGCTCTGCAGAAAGATTAACATGCATGAAGGAAAACTCCAGCACTGAATCTCACAGCTCAGTCTGTTGTTTTATAGGACTTTTTTCCATTTTTTTTTAAGCAAAAGGAAAGACAAATAATCCAAACGTTTAGAAACAGTTTCAGATTTGGCAGGTTAGAAGAGGGTCTGAAGACTCAGAAACATGTTACATGTTGCCTTCCAGGTCAAACATGTAAACAACTCTGTTTTCTCCAGTTTTTAGAGAGAGAAATTCTCAGAAGCACAAGATATAGACGTACAAGAAGCCTTCATTCCCTGAGCTCTCTGTGTACCAGAATATTTATCCATGAATCTATGCCCCAGTGGTGACAATTTTCAGTTAGTGAGATAATGCAGACAGCTTCAATCTCAGGTGTCTGGAGCCAGGAATCTAGTCACAGGACCTGCAGCGTCAGAGACTGAAGCTCCCTTTGTAGGTGACTTGGTCTTTTTTTTTTTTTTTTTTTTTTTTTTTGAGACGGAGTCTCGCTCTGTCGCCCAGTCTGGAGTATGGTGGCGCCATCTCCGCTCACTGTAATCTCCGCCTCCCAGGTTCAAGCCATTCTCTTGCCTCAGCCTCCAGAGTAGCTGGGACTACAGGCGCCCGCCACCACGCCTGGCTAATCTTTTGTATTTGTAGTAGAGACAGGGTTTCACCGTGTTAGCCAGGATGGTCTCCATCTCCTGACCTCGTGATCCGCCCGCCTCTTACACAGGGGCAAACTCTCACTTTTAGTCAGGAAAAACCTCCATTGAGGTCCAGGTGGAGAACAGGCCTCTGTATGTCTCAATCTCCTCCAGAACAGTGTGAGTTTCCCTGTTTGGACAAGTACAGTCGGCAGAAAAAAGTTTACAGAATGTGTGACAGTGTTGTAGAAATGAGCTAAAGATGGCCAGTGCAAACTGCCCCTATGTGGTGTGTTTCTAAACTGCAGGCTATTTCTAAATGGCCTGTGCCACACTCAAGTTTTCCAATCCAATCATTTCAAAAACAGCCCAAAGATTATTTTTTTTTTTTTGAGACCGAGTCTTGCTCTGTTGCCCAGGCTAGAGTGCAGTTGCACGATCTCTGCTCACTGCCACCTCTGCCTCCCGGGTTCAAGCGATTACCCTGCCTCAGCCTCCTGAGTATCTGGGACTACAGGCGCCTGCCACCACACCTGGCTAATTTTTTTGTATATTTAGTAGATATGGGGTTTCACCATGTTAGCCAGGATGGTCTCCATCTCCTGACCTCATGATCTGCCCACCTTGGCCTCCCAAAGTGCTGGGATTACAGGCGTGAGCCACTGCGCCCAGCCCGAAAGAAGATTTTTAGCCATTCAGAGAATGCTTGCTTTTCATATCACAGGAAACCTCACCCACATCTGTTAGCAGTAGGTAAGATAAGCCCCAGGAGATGAAAATTGCAAATCACTCCTGCCCTCTGGATATCTCAGACCCAGATTAAGCTGTTGTCTGGCTACCCCTAGACAGAGAATGCCTTTCTCCAGTGTTCCTTTACCTTAGGATTTCCCTTGTTCTCCACCTTTTCTGAGTAGCAGCCCCAACATCTTTCATTCTAGACAGTCTCCTGCTGTGAGGGACTCCTTTGGGCAAATCTGTCAAAGCTTCACCCAACAACAGTCATGTGTGCTACTGCCACCCTATGGACATCTCTTTCTGTTTGATCAGAACCTCAATTTTTCAAACTCTCTATAAACAGGACCACACTATCCACCCCACAAACACTGACTCCAGCATAATGGACACAATTCCACCTCCGAGGCTGTCTTCTCAAGTCATACAAATAATACACTTGCCTTCAATTTTATGGACTGCAAACTAACAGCATCTGGCAAGTGAGATGCAATAAACCCCACCCGGATGAGTCCTTCCTCATTCGACTGATCATGGTCCAGATTCGAGAAATACAGAGGCCGCTCCACAATTGAATCAAATAGAGGCTGTTCTTCTACCTTTTTAACTGTGTCCAGCATGGAGCGACCAGCTTTGTCTGCTGTTGTGAAGCCTCTGTGTACTCTATTTAAACCTTCAGGAGAGAGGGGTTCCTCTTTAGAATTAAGAATATTATTCTCTAAGTTTAATAATGTAGGGTAATTTCAAGGCCTTTAGTATAGGGTAATTTCAGAGCCTTTTTATGATTGAAACAATTTTTTACAAGGTTTTACATTTTCAGATATGTAATGACAAGAGATTATGAGATAAAACAACCAATCCCAATCGTAAACTTTTTAAAGCTCTGTCATTAATTTTCAAAGGAAACAGCAGTACTCTCTGAAATTCAGCACCTTAAAGAATACTTTGTAAAACTAAGATTTTGAAGAATTGACTAATAGTAAAAGCAAGCTTGACAGATTTATTACTGTTATTCGTTTTCCCACAATGCAAGTTTCTATATAGGATAGTGGGTGGAACTGATTATTCAGTTAACACCTTTTCAGACTAATCCGTTTATACCAGTGATAAGATGTACCTTAATGTTCTCTTTTAGATTGTGTCTTTACTTTTATTTTTCTTTTCAGCATCTGATGTTTCTGACTCTTTTAACTATTATGATGAATTAGGAGTTTGACATTTCCAAGGCTAAGAACCATATTTGACCTGCTCAGCATCACAAGAAAAAAGAAGTCAATGCCAGGCACCGTGGCTCACTCCTGTAATCCCAGCACTTTCAGAGGCCAAGGCAGGTGGATCGCTTGAGGCCAGGAGTTCGAGACAAGCCTGGCCGACATGTGGAAACCTCGTCTCTACTAAAAATACAGAAATTAGTTGGGCATGGTGGAGAATGCCTGTAGTCCCATCTACTCCAAAGACATGAGAACTGCTTGAACCCAGGAGGCAGAGGTTGCTGTGAGCAGAGATTGCACCACTACACTCCAGCCTGAGTAACAGACAGAGACTGTCTCAAGAAAAAAAAAAAGTGAAACACATAAGATTTACAAAAAGTGATGAAAGAATAGAATAAATAAAAATTTAAATAGTGAAATATGATACATTTATTCTAATCCTACTTCCACACTACAATTTGATATTCTCAATTTAGGTTACTGCCATGACGTTCAACGTTTTAAGGTCAATATCATTTTTACTCAATTTTTTTCACCAACTTTGTTAAAACATCATATGCCAGTGCATTTCCCGGAAGATAATCAGGACAAGCTTTGTGTGCAAAACACCTAGAGCTCTGTTTTGCTTTTCTGGGTGTGTGTTCTTTACCAAGTAAATCAGATGTTGTATTAAATCACTGAAGATTACATAGCACTAGAAACTATTCTTTTAATTGCTCCCAGGATTTTTGTTGTTTTTTTCAGGACAGTGGCAGTCTCTGTGAAGTGATTTGATGTACGCACCGTTATTCAGGAGCAGCTAAATTCAATATTAAGCACATCACTGACAAATGAAGAATACTCAAGTTGTTTTCCTATTGTAACGATGAGTTGTGTGGTAGATTCATATGCCTGACCTGTGATCATCTTTCAATAAAAACCTAGGAAAATGTCGTCCATAGTACTGCTGACCCTGAGACTTAAAACCAGGGATCCAGTTCTTGCTCTTCCTACATAGAGAATCTCATTTTGAACTGTGGTGTCATGGCTGTGGCTGTGCCACATACAGGCCAGGGGGAGACACGGGTTCACCCTCAGAGTTGACAAGAATTTGGAAGCCCTGACATCCTATAAAACGTTACTTGCCCAAGATTGAAACTTTCAAATTCAGGTCCTTCTTCCTCCTCTATGATGAATTAGGTTTTATTAGTTTCCTCCAAGGGACACTTTATATCACATTGCTCACAGAGAAGACATATCTACCCCCTTCACCCCCCACCCAATGGCTCTTTCCACACCACTGCACCCACCAGGTGATTTGCATATTGTCCCCTAGGGAGGACCTTCCCTTGTGAGCCTGAGATAAAAGCTCAGCTCTAACCTTGCCTTGACTGATCAGGACTTCTCAGTTCATCTTCTCACCATGAGGCTCCCTGCTCAGCTCCTGGGGCTGCTAATGCTCTGGATACCTGGTAAGGATGGAAGGAGATGAGGGAGGAGGAGGGGGTGGGAAGCTGAGCTCTGGCGGCCCCACTGATTCCCGTGTTTATTCTAACCATGTGTTAAAGGAATATGGCCTATGCTCCAGGGAGAGGAATTCATATTTTGCCCTGATGATGATTTGAAAACTCCTAAAAGCAGTGCTCTGAATAATATCTTGAGAAATGAAAGAACTCTTGTGCCTATTTAATAAAGGGTTCATTTAAAGAGTTTGTTTTTATGATATGAATACAAATTTGTAAAAATAAAAGATTAGCCATAAATCAATACCATAAGGCAAATCTCAAAAGTTGTTCATTATGCTTTCACATAACCTTGCACTTCTCTCTCATAATTTCAGGATCCAGTGCAGATATTGTGATGACCCAGACTCCACTCTCTCTGTCCGTCACCCCTGGACAGCCGGCCTCCATCTCCTGCAAGTCTAGTCAGAGCCTCCTGCATAGTGATGGAAAGACCTATTTGTATTGGTACCTGCAGAAGCCAGGCCAGCCTCCACAGCTCCTGATCTATGAAGTTTCCAACCGGTTCTCTGGAGTGCCAGATAGGTTCAGTGGCAGCGGGTCAGGGACAGATTTCACACTGAAAATCAGCCGGGTGGAGGCTGAGGATGTTGGGGTTTATTACTGCATGCAAAGTATACAGCTTCCTCCCACAGTGGTACAGACCAATACAGAAACCTCCCTGCTGGGGTGTCCCAGCTGCTCACTTGCACTGCTTGTCTGGGGAGTAGCTCAGCAGGGACTCTGAGTCTGCAGAAGAGGAGGCTGTTGGAGAACTCAGTGGCAGGGCTTGCTGTTGAGGACTCTGGCCCATGAGAGTCTCAGCAGCACCTCAGTCCCACATGGTCAAAGCTTTATCAGTTGCCAGGCTCATCCTCACCCTGCCTGTCTTGCCCACGTTTGCCGAGTACACTCAATCAGCATAACAGCCAGAACATAGATGCAGTTTAGTGACAACACAGGTGGAATACATGTGGCAAATGACCAGCTTGGGGTTTATTTTACACAAATTAATACTTGGTGATAATATTTGGAATTATTGCGAATTTGGTATTTTCCCACTTTCCTTACTTTCTATTTCACTTTACTACTCACACTAAACTGCACTTTCCAGTGTCATGTGGGAGAACGTGTTCTATACAAGCTGTCCTCAAGGGGAGTATGGAAAAGAATAATTAGAAAAAAATGTTTGATTTCTGACTATTCTTAGACTTTGTAAATCCATGGCAGATATAAGATCTTAATGCCAAAAGATTTTGATTTGCCTCAATTACGTTTTTCCCAGTGAAGAGGGAGTTCTTGCAACTCCAAAAGTGAGCTTCAGAAATAAGCAGCACTGGCCGGGTACAGTGGCTCACGCCTGTCATCCCAGCACTTTGGGAGGCCGAGGTGGATGGATCACCTGAGGTCAGGAGTTCGAGACCAGCCTGACCAACATGGTGAAACCCGGTCTCTACTGAAAATACAAAATTAGCCAGGGTGTGGTGGCACACACCTGTAATCCTGGCTAGTTGGGAGGCCGATGCAGGAAAATCACTTGAACCTGGGAGGTGGAGGTTGCAGTGAGCTGGAGATAGTGCCACTGCACTCCAGCCTGGGCTACAAGGCGAAACTCTGTCAAAAAAAAAAAAAGCAGCATAAACTGAAAGATGAAAAACACAGAGTTTACTAAATATGCCACAGGAAAAATGCAGAATTATATGAGAGGTTTTTTTTTCCTCAACCAAATTCTAATTGTAAAAGTATTTATTCTAAGTACTATTTTAGGGATGATAAATTTAGTACTATGTCATCATAATAAAAGGTTTCAAATGTTACAAAAATGTATTATTTACTTATGATATCATCATTACCAGAAAATGAATCTGGATCATATGTTTTAGTTGTAAAAACATAGAAAATTTATTATTTCAATAGATTCCATGTAAAATAGTGTTCTAGTGTTATAATATTCTATCAAGCTCAATGATGAGCTATGTCAGTTACATATTACAATATTGTGTGATAGACACAAAATGATTGAAGCAACAGAACAAGAAGCTCCTGCTTCAGATTTAAGGTTTAAAGTATATTTGAGATGATTTTCTACTCTAAGATAATGGATTTCATGGCAAGTGCAATTAAAATTCCGAAGCGCCATTTCTGTTGGGTTTAGTAGACATTGCAATATTTATATAGAAATCAAGCAGACTGAAACTGTGAAAATAAGAAACATAAGACACTTAATACACTGTTTAAAATGCTAATTAATTCATCATGGAGCTTAAAAGTTATTACAGAATGCAGGGAGAGAAGACAAGCATAAGTAGCAAGGGCAGGAACTAACCACTGTCATCACCATCTTTGGCCATCAAGTGATTGACAGCACCTAGTGACCTAAGATTCTGCTTTGATGTGAGACAGGGGAAAAGGCCCAAACCACTCAAGGTGGTTGGACACCTTTAAAAACCAAACAAACATACAGCCTACATGGTGCTGATACCTCAAGGGGCGATACTCTCAAGTCAAAATGGTGAAAAATAAGTGATTCCAAATACGGAAAGGGATACAAAGAGAATCAGAGCATAATCAAATGTATTACAAAGAAGCTTCAAAATATGGTGGACTGAATGTGACAAGGTTTCTCTGTCTGTGCCATGGCAGTGTAGAGGCAGGCAGGTGGCCTTGGTGGTGTCGGTGGCTCTGCTCCATGAGGTCACTCAGGTGGGCAGGAACCACGACCACCCTCAGCGCACAGCCTTCCTCCTTCCTCACAGTCTCTGCCCCCACGGCCATCCTCAGCAGCATGAGGTGGAGCAGAGTGAAGGGAAAGCTGTTTTCTTCTAAAGGCCAAAGAAAACTCCAGTTTTCCACCAGGGATAGATGTTCTTTTGTGTAAAGCACAGGTTTGTGAAATTTTTCACCAAGTGAATCTTGTGAAAAACTCACACTTTTTGTTGTTTTTAATCTGAAAATGTATTTACACGATTCCTGGTAATAATTTTTTTGAATATGTGATTATATTGTGGCAGTCTACCTGAAGTTGTCATTTACCATTGAGAATTACTGCTAAAAAGTCATTTGATAAAAAAAGACTCATCTGTGACAGACAGTCCTCCTTTGGAAGGACTCTGTCTTTTTATCCCTTTATACCCATTTTAAGCCCTTCGATGGCCTTTGGGTTTTTCTTAAACAATCAATGTATTAAGTTTAATTCATTATTTATGTTTAATAATTAATTTTCAATGTGCACATGTACCCTAAAACTTAAAGTATAATAATAAAAAAAAGAAAAAATATTAATTTTCACTAGCACAAAGTCAAAAATCCTGAACGTTGCTATGTCAAAGACCTGCCTCTAGATGGCAAACAAACCCCACAATAAACCAAAGAGATTGCCATGATCTAAAAATATTACTTGCATTGTAAGGGTGATGATGTCTGCTTATCAACATGGAGCCCCTAAGGCTGAAATGGGGTCTCATGTGTGACCTGGAGCACCCAGGAGGAGCTTCCAGCGTGCTGTCTTGTGGGGAAACCCCTCTTTGCTCTGTGATCTGAGAATGCAAGCCTGGCCCTATTCCCCTTATGCAGCTGTAGGAGATGATTGAGGTAATTGAGGCTAAATGAGGTCAAAAGGATGGGACCATGATCCAATAGAATTAATGTTCTTATAAGAATAGAAACCAGAGAGCTCTCCTTTTCTCTCTCTCTCTCTCCTCCCTCTTGCCCCTAACTCAACTTTCTACCCACGGTGGCTATCTCCAAACCAGGAAGAAGGTCCTTACCAGAAAGTGAACCTTGTTGGACTTTGATCTTGCAATTTCCAGCCACCAGAAATATAAAAATTAATTTCTGCAGTTTAAGTTGTCCAGCCATATCCATTTTGGTGTGGGAGTCCCAGTGGACTACTACACCATCCTTGCCAGCTCCAAGCAGAATCGGCCTCCGGAGGCTCCCCATGGACATGGGCACCCAGCTTTGTTCCTGTTCCTCCTGCTGTTCTGATTCTCTAGTGAGGAAGGAAGATGCAGGCTTCATCCTATTTGTCTGCATTTTCTACTAGAATGTCTCCTTGAAGATGAAGTGGTTAGCCTGTTTTGCTTTCTGATCAGAACTTCATCAAACTGAATGAACTACTTGTTTGGTATTAATACTTGGGGATGTTCATGTTTGTTCCCAACATAGATGCCAGTGGGTATGTTGTGTGCACTCCATCTCTTACCCCTTTTCCTATGTCCCCAGAGAGAAGGCCACTGTCATCTGTAGGGCCGGCCAGAGTGTTAAGAGCGTTCTATTTTAGCTTGGCTCCAGCAGAAAACAGGCCCAGCTCTGAGCTCCTGTTGGCTCCTGGTTCTCTGTGGATGCAACACCTGCCCGGGTCAGGGTTCAACTGCCTGGACAGATATCACTCTGGCCATCAGCAGTGAAGCTGATCAAGGAACCCCATTGTGAACAGGGTTCCAGCAGCTGTGTGAGTCGTGAAAGCTGGGCCGATAGGTCCCACATGGCTCCAGTCAGAGGGGAGGCTGCCAATAGGCTGTGGAGGGCTTTCATCCTGTGACCACACAGCCACTGACCTCAGGTGCTGCTCTGTCTGACAGGATCCCCTATGGGAAGGACCTGCCCACAGGAAGCTCTGGGCACCAAATGTTCCTCCACTGTGGCCTAGCTCCACCGCCTGTCTCCCTGGCACCTGCTGCTCTGTGTTCCTCAGACCCACTCTGGTCACTCAAAGTTCTCAGCAATGAGCAGGTCAGTGCTCAGCCCTGCAGGGACATGGAGGTAGAGCCTGAGTTTCCTCACTCTCGGGCTCTGCAGTGGGGAAGGAGCCATGGAGTGGTGCACCCATTGCTGGTTTTAAATGTTCCTGCTCAATTTATCACAATTTAAAGTCATGCATTATAACAACAAAGTTATATTTATTTCTGTATAAATACATATATTACATTGATTTATAATATAGATGCAAAATTTAAGAAGATACTTACTTTCAGAATAAAAAAGTGAATAAAATGTCACACATCAGGATTGATATGCCCACCAAGGCTTTGACTTGTCTTGGTGCATGATTGAATTAGGTTCTAATAGAAGGAGGCAGAGAAGAAGGTTAGAAATGGACTGTTATTCCTTAGGTTCTCTTAAGGGGGTGGAGGCCAAATAATTCACAGGTTGTCAGAAAATACCCCAGGGCTCTTTCTCAGTTGCCTGGTAACAAACTGGCTGAAGTTTGGTGCTTCTTTTCCCTGGAAAGAGGTGCTATGATTTTCCATAGCTTCCAGGTTGCCAGGAGCTGAATGCCTGGCATATCCAGGCCTTCCTCAAAAAGCTGGTTCCTGAGCTCAGAGTGCTTGGGGCCTGCACATAATATTCCTTCCCTGTGCTGATGGACAGCTCTAGGCTAGGAGAAGCCAGGGGAGAAGGAGAGGCTGGTGTGGGGCTAGAGAAGTGAACATTTCTCTCTGCTTATTGTTTTGTATTTTTAGTATATTTTCCATTCAATGTGTTATACATATCGTATGTTCACAATTATGTTTATTTTATGTAAATATCATCCTGTGAAATATGTCATTATGCTCACTGTTTTTCTACTGAGATGTATGAGTTAAAATATTTCAGTGTTGTTAAGGGTGAAACTTGTCTATTACTTCTCGTTGCTGCCTGATGATCCAGTCAAGATGTCAACTACATTTAACCTATGTTCCTGGTAATAGATACCCAGGTTGTCTCTAACTCCTCATCTTTAGAAATAATGATACAAAAGCCTTGTGGATATCTCCTTAGTTGTCTTCTAAGAGGTGTGTGTGTTTTGGATTGTGGGGATTATTTGGAAAATTACATGGAGCAAAACTGATGGTTCATAAGAAAATATTTAGTTGACTTGAGCAGTGCCAGAATTTTCTTTGGAAGGCTTACATTGACAGATGTTAAAGCTGGAAACTTTTAAATCAAATTATACCTCTTTTACTCTCAGAAAGAGACAGCTTTAATAACAAAATTGCACAAAGATCAAAAGATTAGCATCCTGCTTTAGAAATCTTTAATCTCCTTCTTCAAGTGAATGAAGCTTTCCTGCAGAGCAAAACAAATTATCTCACATTTAACAATGGAAGAATATGTGACATATTTAAAGGCCCCTTCAGCTGCAAGAGCCTCGGCAGGGCAGAACAACAGCAGAAAGGAGGATGCAGTGGGCTCTGAGCCACATCTTGCCAGAGGAAAGGCTCAATGAAAGCTCATCTTGATTCTTTCTGCTGGTGTGCAGATGCCTAACAAATACAGGTAGCAGAACAGCCAGAAAACTCAGGCCGCTTTGTAGCAAAACAAGTTGAATACACATGCACACATTTAACCAAAATTGGATTGATTTCACTTGCATAATTGTCAGTGTGGAGCCTAGAGACAGTGCACAGACTCCTGTGAGCAGGACACTCACCGGGGCCCTGCACAGTGTGAAGGCCCCAAACACAAACCTTCCAAAAAGGCTCAGCCTCTCAGTGTGGCAGGAGCAGCTGTGGTGCCCAGAGGATGCATCCACACCAAACTCAGGTGGAGGTGGCTGGAGAGCCTTTGAGTTAAGGAGGCCATGAGGCCTCAGTAAGGGGCACGGGCTCTTCTTCTGTATGAATGGGGGCCAGGGCTTTTACAGATTTTGAATAAGGCTATTTTAAGATCCCAAGGAAGAATAAAAGACCAAACTAAATAACTTCTGTTGATTTCCAAAATTAACAAAAGTATTCTTTCAACCATTTAATTCCATACCAAGTTACCAAAAATCCAAAATTCAGAACATGAAAGAGCCACGGGCTGAATGAATTATTCAGTGGCCATTCTTAGTCTTAAATAATAACACAAGCTCTGCACTAGCAGGTGGAAATGGTGAATTGCCTCTAATGTGGTAGCAGTAGCATAGTATAAACTTCACTTTTGGAATCAGGGAAACGTGAGACTGGGTAATTTATAAAGGAAAGGTGTTCAATTGGCTTACAGTTCTGCAGGCTGTGCACACATGGTGTGGGCATCTGCTTGGCTTCTGGGGAGGCCTGAGGGAAGTTTTACTTATGACAGAAGGTGAAGCAGGAGCAGGCATATCCCATGGCTTAAGTGGGAACAAGGCAGGTGGGGAGTGGCGTGAGGTACCACATGTGTTTAAACAACCAGATCTCACAAAGTACTCATCATCATGACAGTACTAAACCATGAGGGATGCACCCCCATGACCCCCAAACCTCCCACCAGGCCCCATCTTCAACATTGGGAATTATATTTCAACATGAGATTTGAGTGGGATAAATATCCAAACCATGTCAACATCTATCTTGGCTTTTCTTGGCCGAGAGAGAATAATCCAAAGTTTAAGTGCTCCTTGAAGGACAATTGGCCTCACCTTTTAGTACTTTTAGAAATGTACATGTTAGCTCTTCTAAAATTACCCTTATGCCAACCAAAAAATGAAATATTAGTAGTAAATGACAATTAAATAGAATAGAATAAAATAAATAATTTTGTTTTCCCTAGAACAGTCGTCTGATGAAATCACAAAGTTTACAAATAGCTGGAGGCTAGGATGACTTGTTAGTTACTTATTTAGGCAGCTCTTACACATGTTTCCTATTCTTGCTTTGGAAACTAGTGAACTCCAAAACTCAAAGATTATTTGATTCTTGCGTAGGATGGAATATAGCAGCCCTAGAAGAAATTTAAACCCAATTATGGGAATTTATATTAAACAACTTACTGGGGAGCTCGACTGCACCAAAATTATCTAAGACAAAAGAAAAAGAAGAAATCTGCTGATTAACTTGTTAAATTAAAGGAAATATTTACTGGGCAATTATATTCTTGAGTATGCTTCCAAAAAAGAGCAAGCTTTTATAGCTGGCATGTGGTTTTGAGATTTAATAAAGGTAATTTGCTTGGAATAGAAATTAATTCTTAATAGTGGTCAGAATAGCAGCTCAACAATGTAAAAACCTTATAAACACCCAGGGAAGCTGTGGTTTTTTGGAGACCTTATTTCAGGGACAGAGATCCCTTTATTTAAGGGTCAGAACTGAGAAGGAATCTTAGAGGGAATAAAGAATGTAAGGGACACAGAATGCTTAGGGATGCAACAAAATCACTGCCTCACTTTGTGCAGTCTGATGGGGGTGAGATGGGCCCCACAGAAAGATGAACATGCACGGAGGAAAAGCATCCCTGGAAGCACAGGACTCCACTAGCTAATCTCATATCTCAGTGTATACTTTATATCATTTTTTTTCTGTTTTTTTCTAAGAAAGAGGACAATCAATTGAAACATTTGGAAACAGGCTCAGATTAGGCTGATCAAGAACAGGGTCTGAAGATTCAGAAAGGTCAAATATGTAAATATCCCTGTGTCTCCCAGTGTTTAGAGAGATTCTCAGAAGCAGAAGATACCTATCCACAGAGCCCTCATTCCCTGTGTTCTCTGTGTACCTGGATATTTATCCATGAATCTGTGCTCCAGTTGGTCACAATTTTCAGCTGATGAGATAATGCAGACAACTTCAATCTCACGTGCCCTGGAAGCCAGAAATCCAGCGCAGAGGACCTGCAGCTTCACAAAGTGAAGCTCCCTCTGTGGGTGGCTTGGTCTCGGTTCTCACCAAGGACAAACTTTCAACTTTAACAAAAAATTTAAAAACCTCCATTGAGGTCCAGGTGGGGAAAAGACTGCAGCGTGTCTTCAGTCTCATCCATAGCAGTGTGGATTTTGTCTATCTGCACTAATATAGTCTTTAGAACAAAGTCTACAAAATGTGCAACAATGATGTATAAGTGAGCCAAAGGTGTCTTGTGTGAACTGCCCATATGTTGTTTGTTTCCAAATTGCAGCTTATTTCTCTATGGCCTGTGCCAAACTCAAACTTTACAATCCAATCATTTCAAAAACAGCCCCCCAAAGCAGATTTTTTGCCATGTAAAGAATGCTTACATTATGTATCTCAGAGAACCTTGCTCACATCTGCTAGAAATAGGTAAGCACCAGGTTATGAAAACCCCAGACTAATATTTCCCTCTGGTTCTCTCTGACCTAGAGACTCCCCATTGTGCTGCTGTATTGGGAAAAGCTGAGTGTTGGGAGAAGCTTAAGCAGGGCTTGCATGTCTGACATAATGTAAAACAGTCTTGGAACATGTCTGGGGTCCAGGGTCTAAAACCCATTGTGGCGTTTGGAACACCAAGCTCTGTGCTATAAAGGGTGGAAGGCTACCCTGACACACCGTAATCTAAGCCCAGGGCATAAAATCCCTCATGGCTTGGATAGAATCCAGGGTTCATGGCTCTGGAATGTGTCTACACTTGCTGGCTCCTTGCTCCTTGCTCTCCCAGGTTCGATTGTATCTTGAGTTAAAGGAACCTGCTCTCCATTATCTCAAGTAGCAGAGCGAATGCTAAACCATCACAGCTATAAATCTTGTGCCTAATGCAACGCGCCCTTTTGACCTCCACATTCTCACCACCTTTTTCTTTGTTGGATAACCAATAAATAGCACTGGGCTCCCAGAGCTCGGGGCCTTCACAGCCTCCATGATCACGATGGCCCCCTGGTCCCACTTTACTTCTCAAACTGTCTTTTCTCAATCCTTTGACTCCACCAGACTTGGTCATCCCCATGACCTGGTGTTGGGTCTGATCACCCCAACACTGCTGTGTGACAACACCTAGACACATAAGCCCCTTATACAGCAAATTTCTTCCTCCTCCCCTTCTGAATAACAACCTTGGCCCCTTGGCCTATAGACAGACTCTTGCTCAGGAACTACCGGCAAACCTGTCAAAGCTTCACCCAGTAAAAGTTGTGTGCGCTACTGCCATCCTGTGGACATCTCTTTTTCTTTGCCCAGGCTCCAAAGTCCTCAAATGATCTACAAACAACAGGATCACACTCTCCATCCAACCCCACAAACACTGACTTCCAAGGACACAAACACTTCCATTTCCATGATTATCTTCCCATGTCATACAAGTAATATACTTACTTCCAATTTTATGGGCTCCGATCTCACAGCATCAGGCAAAGGAGACACAACTACAGTAAGATCCACCTGTATCAGTCCTTCCTCATTCAGATGACCATGGTTCAGATTAGAGACACACAGAGGCCTGCTTCCCACCTGGATCAAATGGAGACTGTTCTTACACCTTCTTACCTGTGTCCACTGTGGAGCCACCTGCTTCGTCCATTGTTATCAAAGCCTTGGCATAATGTGTTAATGTTTGGGAGACAGAGATTTCTATTTGGAATTAGAAATATTATTATTTAAGTACATAGATAGTATAGGGTAGTTTCAAAGCTTTTTTTTGCACCAAATAATTTTTATAAGATTTTACATTTTCTGAATACGTAAGGGCAACAGATTCTGAAGTAAATTACCAAATACAATGGCAGACTCCTTAAAGCTTTGTTGTTAATTTTCATAGCGAATAGCAATACTCTCTGAAATTCAAAAATATTAAAGAATATTTTGTAAAAATAACATATTCTTGAATTGCCTTGCAAAAGAAAGCACGACAGATTTTTATCATTTGTCATTTTCTCTCAATTCAAGCATCCATATTAGATAGTAGATAGAACTGATCCTTCATTTAACATACTTTCAGAGTAATCCTTTAAAACCAGACATAATGCATTCAATAGTGTTCTTTTTTGTTAGTATGTTAGGTTTAGTTTGCATTTATTATTTTTTCTTTCCACCTACCAATATTTCTGAATCCTTTCACTAGCATGATTAATTAAGAGTCTGAAATTTTCAAGACTAAGAACCTGCATTGAATTGGTCAACATCATGGGATAAAAAAGTTAAATACACAAAACTTACAAAATTAAATAAAAGAAAATAATAAATATTTTAAAGACTGAAATATAAGACTTTTATTGTACTCCTACCTCCTCATGATAATTTGTGGTCATCAACTCAGAATATTAACATGGAGTTCGACATTTAAGATCATTTTTACTCAATTACTTTTTCCAATCTTGTTAAAAAGTCTTATTTTGGTAGATTTCCCAAAAGATATGCAGACCAAGCTTTCTTGTGGGATCATACTTAGAACTGCATTTGTTTGTGTTTTTTACCAAGTAAGCATGACTTTGGGTTAAATTACCCGAGATTACATAGTACTGCAATCTATTACGTTGGCTCTCCCCAGATGTTTTCTCTCCAGGACAGTGAGTGTCCTTGTGAAGGGATCTGATGTAGGCACAATCTTTCAAGAGCTGTTCAACTCAATCTTGAGCATATCATTGACAAACAAATAGTTGGATTGTTTCCCTGTTTTCATGATCAGCTGTGTGGTAGATTGACATCTCTGAGCTGTGATCGTCTTTACATGAAAGCTCAGGAAAATGCCAGTCATGGGTAATGGTGACCATGAGACAGTAAAGCTGTGGATCCAGTTCGTGCTCTTCTTACATAGAGAATTTCCACTCAAATTGTGAACTCATGGCTGTGGCTGCACCACTTACAGGCCCAGGGGACACTCAGATCTCACTTGGTAGTTGACGAAAAACTGGAAGTCCTGATAGGACCTCATTCCACATGATGAGGAAGACTGTGGGAAGAGCTTTTGTTAACACCATTCAGAAAAACATAGTGCAAAGTTAGTTTTTGTTCATTCTATATAATTATCCTAGAAAAGTCTTCCCTTAATAAATCCTTCAGGTTAATCTAGCATATGTGAGATGATTATGATGGAATATATACCAGATTGAACAATTGGTCACCAGGAATTTTATATTCACTGCCTGAGGAATAAATTGTTTCCCACTTTCCTCTTACCTGCACTGGGCTCTTGAATCTAAATATAGAGACCCACATTATTTTCCCTATGAGGCCCTTGGACAGAGCGCTCTTATGGGGCTCACTCACCAGGTGCCAGGGGAGGGTAGATTCCAACACTTGCTATGAACATTCTTGAACAGTTATCCTGGAAACCGCAGATACCAGACCACTCTTGAACTGGCTCAAGACTATGTTTTATTTGTAGGCTGTCTGCTCATCAGTGTTTGTAGGAAAGGGTAACGTTTCCTTTTTTAGATTAGCTGGGAGGGAGCCAAGAAGAATGGCATTCATCCATATTCATTCTAGACATATCTCTACATTGTTAGGGTTGTTATGCTTTCCTAGAGTTGCATATCCTACACAATGGGACCTACCCAAGATTCAAACTGTCACAGTCAGATCCTTCCTCCCATTTTATATCACATTGCTCACAGGAGAGACATATCCCCTGCCCGCCTGCCCCATTGACTCTTTCCACACCACTGCATGCACCAGGGGATTTGCATATTGTCCCACAGGGAGGACCTTCCCTTGTGAGTCTGAGATAAAAGCTCAGCTGTAACTGTGCCTTGACTGATCAGGACTCCTCAGTTCACCTTCTCACAATGAGGCTCCCTGCTCAGCTCCTGGGGCTGCTAATGCTCTGGGTCTCTGGTAAGAAAAGAAGGAGATGAGGAAGGAGAATAGGGTGGGAGGGTGAGCTCTAGGGCTCCACAGCATCCCATGATCCCATGTTTAGTCTAACCCTGTGTTAGAGGAGTATAATCTGTGCTGTAGAAAAGGGAACTTGATATTTTGCTCTGTGAATAATTAGAAGCCTCATAAGAAATATGACGTCTGGTGCTCCGATTAAGATTTTCAAAATATAAAGGTCTCTTATACTTTACAAAAATTGAATTCATTTTAGAATGTGTATTTTTATGGCATAAATCAGTATTTTTTAAAATTAAGTTTAAATAAATGACATAAGATAAATTATGAAAATTGCTCATTAGGTTTGTACATAACTTTGCAATTCATTATTTCAGGATCCAGTGGGGATATTGTGATGACTCAGTCTCCACTCTCCCTGCCCGTCACCCCTGGAGAGCCGGCCTCCATCTCCTGCAGGTCTAGTCAGAGCCTCCTGCATAGTAATGGATACAACTATTTGGATTGGTACCTGCAGAAGCCAGGGCAGTCTCCACAGCTCCTGATCTATTTGGGTTCTAATCGGGCCTCCGGGGTCCCTGACAGGTTCAGTGGCAGTGGATCAGGCACAGATTTTACACTGAAAATCAGCAGAGTGGAGGCTGAGGATGTTGGGGTTTATTACTGCATGCAAGCTCTACAAACTCCTCCCACAGTGGTACAACCCCTAACAGAAACCTCCTCCTGGGGTTGCCCAGTTGCTCACATGTGCTGCTTGTCTGGAGAGCAGCTCAGCAGGGTCTCTGAGTCTGCAGAAGAGGAGGCTGTTGGAGACCTCAGGGCAGAGGTTGCTGCTGAGGACTCTGGCTCATGATAGCCTCAGCTGTACTTCAGTCCCACATGTTAAGGCCCCATTAGGTGAAAAATAAATGATTCCAAAAACTGAGATGAAATACCAAGGAGAATCAGAGTACAATTAAGGCTGTTACAAAGAAGCCTCAAAATATGGTGGACTAAATGTGACATGGTTTCTGTGTCTGTTGCCTGACAGTGCAGAGGCAGGTGGGTGGCTTTGGTGGTGTCGGTGGCTCTTCTCCAAGAGGTCACTCAGATGGGCAGGAGACACGACCACCCTCAGACACAGCCTTCCTCCTTCCTCAGAGTCACTTGCCCCCATGCCCATCCTCGACAGCATGAAGTGGAACGACTAGAGAGAAAGCTGTTTTCTTCTAAAGACCAAAGAAATCTAGAGTTTCCCATCAGGGATAAATGTTCTTTTACTTTAAGCACGCATTGGAGAAATTTTCCATTTAGTGGATCTGCTGATAAACCCACTTTGTTTTGTTTGTTTGTTTTGTTGTGTTGTGTTTTCAGATGGAGTCTCTCTCTGTCACCCAGGCTAGAGCGCAGTGACATGATCTCGGCTCACTGCAAACTGCCTCCTGGGTTCAAGAGATTCTCATGCCTCAGCCTCCGGAGCAGCTGGGATTACAGGCACCCACCACCATTCCAGGCTAATTTTTGTATTTTTAGTAGAGACAGGGTTTCACCATGTTGGCCAGGGTGGTGTCGAACTCCTGATCTGAAGCGATCCACCTGCCTTAGCCTTCCAAAGTGCTGGGATTATAGGCGTGAGCCACTGCACCTGGCAGTTATTTGCTCTTATATGATAATGTAAAATTATTTTGGAAAATAATTTTTTGAGTATATAGTTATGTTTGTGGCAGCCTATTTGAATTTATCATTTGATAATTTCTACTAAAATGTCTTTGTTATAAAAGTCATATGACTTTAATTGTCCTCTTCTGAAAAGAATATGGTTTTTTATCCTCTCAGGCTCCTTTTAGGATATTCAGTTAATCTCATTTTCATACAATATATTAATTTTAGTTTATTATTTCTGATAAATTTATTAAGTAATTTTCACTATAACAAAATTAAAAATCCCATAAATTGCTATGTCAATAACCTGTCTCTGGGTGTAAACACACTCCACAATAAAGAACACCAAGGTCTTAGAAACACTGGGAAAATAAGACTGATAGTGTCCGATTATCAATGAGAAGTCCCTAAATCTAGAACGGTGTCTCATGTGTGACCTGGGACATCTGGGATGAGCTGCCAGTGTGCTGAGTTGTGGGGAACCTGCTCTGTGCTTGGAGGCTGAAAGCATATCCTTTCCCTCCCTACTGCCTTACCTGTGTCCACCTGCTGTGGTCTAAATTGTGTTCCCACATTCATGTTGAAGGTCTAATCTCCAACGTGGCTGTAGGAGATAGGACCTATAAGAATATAATGGAAGTTATAAGGGTGGGGCCCTGATCCAATAGGATTAGTGGTTCTCATAAGATCCAGAGATCTCTCTTTTTCCTCTCTCTCTAACTCCCACACTCATATGGAAAGACCATATGAAAGCATGGTGAGAAGGTAGCATCTACAAACCAGGAAGAAGGTCTTTACCAGAAATTGAACCCTGCTGGACCTTGATGTTGGACTTCCCAGCCATCAGAAATGTGAAAATAAATGTCTATGGTTCAAGCCACCCACCCAGAGTATTTTGGTGTTGCAGTGAAAGAAGGCTCATTCACTATCCCCACCCTCTCTGAGCAGGATCAGCATCAAGAAATATCTCATGGACGTGGGGACCCAGCTTTGCTCCTATTCCTCCTGCTGTTCTGACTCTCTCTTGAGGAAGAAGGGAGGGTTCAGGCTTCATCTTCAGTTTGTTTGCAATAAACAGGAATGTTTCCTTGACAATCAGTTAATTAGCCTGTTTTATTTTCTGAATAGAATTTAACCAAACTGAACAAACTACATGCTTGGTATTAATATTTGGGGTGTTCATGTTTATTCCACATTTAGATGGACAGTCTCTAGCCCCTCTTCATGTGTACTAGTAGAGAGGGTCACTGTCACCTGCAGGGCCAGCCATAGTCTCAACAATGTTCTAGCCTGGCACCAGCAGAAGCCACAGCTGGCTCTGAGCTTCTGCTGGCTCCTGCTGCCTACTCTACACAATGCCTGTTGGGTCAGGGGTGATGGGCTTGGACAGAGTTCACTCGGGCCATCAGCAGCTGAGCTGCCTTCATGGCATCTCGTTTTGTGAAGAGGATGTCAGCAGCCACATGAGCCATGATAGCTGGGCAGAGAGATCCCACATCACTCTAGTCAGAGGAGAAGCTGCCAATTGCCAAGTGGAAGGGTTTTGTCCTGTGACCCTGTGACTACACAGCCACTGAGTCACATGTGCTGCTGTGTCTGAGAAGAGCCCCCAGGGGAGGAACTGTCTACTCGGAGATCTGGGAACAAAACTTCTCTCCAATCAGGGCCCAGACCCACTGCCCATCTCCCAGCCACCTGCTGATTGTGTTCCCCACACCCCCCTTGGGTCTTGGGGGCTCTCTGTCCTGCTCAACAGGGACATGGGGAAGGGTCCTGAGCTTCCTGACCTTCAGGAAGTCAGGAAGGATCATGTTTATGGTGTGCTATTGCTGGTTTTAAATGTTCATGCTCAATTTATCAAATTTGAAATCATACCTTATACCAACAGTTATATCTATTTCTATATAAATATACATATTATGTAGATGTATAATATAGATACATATTATATACAGATACATCAATAATTTATATCCATAATATTATATCTATTTAATTTAAAAGTTTACATAGTATGTCCATATATTCATTATTTTTGTAGCATGTGTTCCTTTTATTTCTAAGCAGAACAGAGGCTCGCTGAGTAAAGTCTGTGGACATTTGCTGACTCTCCCTCTTTGGCTCCAACAGGGTCCTGGTGTCTCAGGACCAGTGAGGACAGAGCTGAGGACAGCCAGCCCCAGGAGCCCAGGCCCAGCCCTAAGGCTCTGGTCTCAGAGACTTTCATCCTCACCTCGGGCTCTGGGCTTGGTGTGGCACCCGTGGGTGTGTGAGCAGTTTCCTTCTCTGAAGCCCCATTCCATGCAGCCCCGTGGATAGGGCCTGTGGTTCCCCCCAGGTCCTCAGCCCCATGGTTCAGGAGAGAAGCTGCTACTGCCACAGACCAGGGCCAGTGACCGGCAGCTTGGGTAATGCAAACATTAGTCCTGGACTGAGGACCCTATGCCAAATAACTCCCCCATTTATTCCAGTACCTGAAAGTCTGTCCTGGTCTTAATTGCACAGGCCACATTTCCTTAACTAGTGAAGCCA
Source organism: Homo sapiens (assembly GCF_000001405.40). Classification (NCBI taxonomy): domain Eukaryota; kingdom Metazoa; phylum Chordata; class Mammalia; order Primates; family Hominidae; genus Homo; species Homo sapiens. The sequence goes on from NC_000002.12 coordinate 89,964,234, forward strand.
GCATTGGCAACTGAAAAACTAGAAATTTGACTTCATTGTCATCCTCAGGGTCTGGCCCACTCCAATCCCACCACATAAAGAGGCCCTTGAACTTTCTCTTTCCCATGCAACTTAACTTAGACACATAGTGAAATACAACATTGCAAAACTCTTGGCACCTACACAGCAGCCATCCCCTCTCCTTGGGCGTATAAGGGAGCAGCTTCGCCCTGCTGCACATGGCAAGGACAATGAAGAGGAGCAGGGAGTGGGGCACATGAGCTCCACAATGAGATGTCAGAGGTGAGCAGCACTTCAGGGAAGGACTTTGATCCCTCATAAAGGCATAGAAGGTGAAGAGCTTTGTCCTGCATTTTTTTTCCTGAAACAGGTATGCGTGCACATTGATACTTGGAGGCACTGCAGCCCTCCTAAGATCATGAGGCTTTGAACCCAAGACTGAAAAACTGAAGTGCAAAGAAGAAATGTAGCAAAAACCTGGGTCCTTTTGCTGTCACCAAGTTGCTGCACCAACCTCAAATGTTCCAAACTTCAGAATTCTTATCTCTGCTTCAGCTATTGCTATCATTTCTTGCAATTGCTTCTAAAATTATTTTAACTTATCCAGAAAAAATATTCAAGGGAAAGAGACTGACTGGGTTCTTATTTGTGTTTATGGGAGTCTAAGACACAAAAAAACAGGAAATCAGAAAAAGTGATGTCTTCTCCTAACATCTTTGTCATTCTATGCCCATGGTTAGAGAAATCCAAACCACTTTGAAGAATGTATAAATTCTGCTCTCTTCCTGTCTCCATTTCTCTTTTTATATCTTAAGCATAAAACAGCTCCTTGGCCGGGCGCGGTGGCTCACGCCTGTAATCCCAGCACTTTGGGAGGCCGAGGCGGGCGGATCACGAGGTCAGGAGATCGAGACCATCCTGGCTAACACGGTGAAACCCCGTCTCTACTAAAAATACAAAAAAATTAGCCGGGCGTGGTAGCGGGCGCCTGTAGTCCCAGCTACTCGGGAGGCTGAGGCAGGAGAATGGCGTGAACCCGGGAGGCGGAGCTTGCAGTGAGCCGAGATCGCGCCACTGCACTCCAGCCTGGGCGACAGAGCGAGACTCCGTCTCAAAAAAAAAAAAAAAAAAAAAAAAAAACAGCTCCTTGTTCTTCTTAATGTCTCCATCCTTCAAGATCATAGAAACAGAATCATGGTTAAGAAACTGGAAAAAACAGTTGGAGAAAACATGAAATCTAGGGATTGTATGCATTTCCTCTACACTAATGTGGTGTTTGCAGGGTTCCCCTGCTTCTCAGTTGTTTTTGCTGAAGATGCCGACTGTTCCAGCCAGATTCCTGTCAGAGGTTGTGTTTGGAGGGTTTAAAAGAAAAGCTTCCAGGGGCTTAGGGCTGAATTCCAAAAAGGATAGCCGGAGAGTGGCTCTGGATTCCCAGCAAGGAGAATGCCAGATTGAGTCTTGGGAAAGACTATGGACATACTGGATCCCAGGCAGAGACTTGTAGCAGGGAGAAAGCCTCCACAGAAAATCCCTGCTAGGGCAATATCTAGTAGAGCCATGAAAGTGAGGCAGCCTGGGAGACCACAGAATTGTAGGGCCAGCAGCATGCAACTCCAGCCTGGGAAAGATGCAGGCACAAGACTCCAACCCATGAAGGCTTCTGGGTGAAGTGAGCCCAGTAAAACCATAGAGGTGGGGCTGCCTGAGGCATTGGTAAACCAACTCCCACCCCAGATTGCCCCAGATATGAGATTTGAAGTCAAAGATTATTCTCCACCTTTAAGACTTAATGTTTTTCCTGTTGGGTTTTGGGCTTACTTGGGACCAGTTAAACCTTTCTTTTTACCTATCTCTCTTTTTTGGAATGAGAATGTTTATCTTATGCCTGCCCCACCATTGTACAGTTGTCCCTCAGTTTCCATGGAGAATTGGTTCCAGGGTCCTCCACAAATACCATAATTTGTGGACATTCAAGTCCTGCAGTCAGCTCTGAAGAACCTGCAAATATGAAAAGTATACCCTCTGCATCTGTGGATTCTGCATCTGCTGAATACTCTATTTTCAATCCATGGTTGTTGAATCTGTGGATGTAAAACCCATGGGTAGGGAGGGCTAATTGTATTTTGGAAGCATGTAACTTGATAATTCACAGGCTTATAGCTGGAATTAATTTGCCTGGGATAAATAGTGCCTCGAATCTCACCCATATGTGATTCAGATGAGGCTCTGGACTTTGGACTTTTGAGTTGATGCTGGACCAAATTGAGACTTTAGGTGCTATTGGGATAAAATGAATGTATTTTTCATGTGAAAAGGACATGAACTGGAGAGAGTAGGGTGGAATGCTGTGATTTGAATGTATCCTCCTCAGTTCATTTGTTAGAAATTTACTCCCCAATGCAGCCATGTTGAGAAGTGGAAACTTTAAGAGGTAATTAGGTCACTAGAGCTTTGCCCTCATGAATGGTTAATGTCATCATGATGGGGGTGAGTTTGTTATAGTGAGAGTGCGTTACTTATAAAAACAAGTTTGACCCCTTCTTGCTCTTACTCACTCTGTCTTGCCTTTCCACCATGGAGATGCAGCCAGAAGGACCTTGCCAGATAACTGCACCTTGGTATTTGACTTTCCCACCTCCAGAACTGTGAGAAATAGATTTCTAACTGAAAAGATAAATTACCCAGTTTCAAATATTCTGTTATAACAGCACATACTGAAACAAATATGTTACTATCATTATTTATTTTCAGAGTCAACATTCCCCTATTTTGTCCAAGGGGAGCCCCATTCAAGCTAGCTCCTAATAACTTTTTCTCTTACCCCATCATTTTCTGAGCACTTCCTTAGTTTCTGACACAAGAAATGCAGGCTCATCTTATATTTTTTCTGCTCTAAACCTGAGATCAGATATTTTTCCAGTAATTATTCTTTTTAATAGAGATTGATATTCAATAAAACAAGATTTGAGCACTCAAGGTGTTTATTGAGACTTGTGTGTTACTGCTTCTAGGAAAAATTACCTGTCTATCTGCATATGTTTTAATCTATATCCGTATAAAACTCTCCAAAAATTAGTGAATCTACATTAATGTCTCTAATTACAATCCACATCTACAGTTTCTCCTTTTTTATATTTGTAGCTTTTTTTCCAAACTGAGAATCTTGGCTGTAATTATTCATACCATATTTACTTAAATGATCAAACATTTTGTGTGACACCAATCTCCCACTGTCCCTGTCACCTAAACTTTCCTTGCGGACAACTTCCCTCTTATGCCTCACACACCTTCATTAGTCTTGATACTCCGTGCCAGTCCACCGTGAACTTTGCATCCCTGCATAGCTGCCCTTTCCCCCCCGGGGCTCTGACATTAGCAACAGTGTCCTCCACCCTTGTGACTGTCCTGCTCATCCTCATCCAGCTGTGATGTCCTGCATAAGTGGGATGAGGGGTCTTGCATCCTGCACACCCAGGTAGGGATACTTGTCTCTGCTAACTATAGCTTCAACGCACAGGTAGGCTTTCCTCTACACCCCACAACACGGGTGCACTTTCTATATTGTGTAGGCTCAGTATCTCATACAATTCCCTGGCTTTTTGTTGCATAGTTTTCTTTCTGAACCTGCTCGGATCAAGTGCCCTAAACCCAGTCATTAAGAACTGTTTTCTCTTAGGAGCTGGAAGAGATTGGTGATTTGGAAATGTGCAGGTATAAGAAACAGAGTAGTCACAGGGATAGAGGGTGACAACTTGGTTTAGAGGACACCTCAGCTTCTGAAGGGGAATGGCTTGGATAAGAGAAATAAAAGGCATAAATAAAATTCAGGGAGCACAGGGAAATATCTAGCATGAGACTGTAGGATGGCATACAGAGCTAGAATATAGCTGAGAACTTTCAGAAGTAAAGGGAGAAAATTTATCATGTTGGCTGGCCCAGCTGAAAGAGGTAGGAAAGAACATTCAGATATGGAGGATAACAATTATGTGTCTGGAGATGGGAGATTAGCTATGCCAGATAGCCAGTGGCAGGACCCTTCCTTGCTGTGGCATTATTTTCAAGTATTAGGGTTTTTTTAAGTTTTTTATTTCTTTTTTAATGAGCAAATCTATCTATCTATCTATCTATCTATCTATCTATCTATCTATCTATCTATCATTCATGATTATACCTTAATGCATCCATTGTTGGTAGCACTGACAATTTACAGCACTGGTGTTTCCAGGGAATTGGACCAAAAAGGAAGTCTCTCTGACCTTAATAGTACTCATCTGTATCAAATGCAGGAAACTTCTAAAATTTCTTGAGTTTCTAGAGATGTTTTTCCCTAGCAGACCTTATCATAAATAGAAAGCTAGCAAGAGAAGCATGTCATGAAACATGAAGAGAGCAAAAGAACACTCCACACATAGGACAGTAGGCTGATTCTTTCCTGTAGCCTGCAGGGAGAAACACATGCTCTGCAGACTTTGGACACCTGGGAGGCACTGGGCCTGTGCAGTGTTATTGAGATAAGTCATCTTTGCAGCTGTGCAGATTTGCATGTCCCACAGAGCAACGCCTACTGCCCTGAACATTTATCAATAGGCTGGTGACATCCTGTGCAGAAGTCTCTCTCAGTCCGGACACAGCATGGACATGAGGGCCCCCGCTCAGCTCCTGGGACTCCTGCTGCTCTGGCTCCCAGGTAAGGAGGGAAACAACAAAAATTTTATTCAGCCAGTGTAGCCATTAATGCCTGGCACTTCAGGAAATTCTTCTTAGAACATTACTAATCATGTGGATATGTGTTTTTATGTTCCTAATATCAGATACCAGATGTGACATCCAGATGACCCAGTCTCCATCCTCCCTGTCTGCATCTGTAGGAGACAGAGTCACCATCACTTGCCGGGCGAGTCAGGGCATTAGCAATTATTTAGCCTGGTATCAGCAGAAACCAGGGAAAGTTCCTAAGCTCCTGATCTATGCTGCATCCGCTTTGCAATCAGGGGGTCCCATCTCGGTTCAGTGGCAGTGGATCTGGGACAGATTTCACTCTCACCATCAGCAGCCTGCAGCCTGAAGATGTTGCAACTTATTACTGTCAAAAGTATAACAGTGCCCCTCCCACTGTGATACAAGCCTGAACATAAACCATGGAGGGAAGTAGATGTGTGAGTCTGGGCTGCCCCAGCTGCTCCTCCTGGTGCCGCCGTCTGCTGACAGCAGTTCTCAGATGCAGCCAAGGTTTGAAGCTCACTGGGAAGTTTTGGTAGAAGGGGTCAGGGAGGCACATTTACATTCTATCTCTCTTTATCCTCAGCTCCATCAGCTGATATGCAAGTATCTCTCCTGATTATTATTAATAAAGGACAAAGAAAATTAAACCTAGGAGGTCTAGATTGCAGCAAAAGTCAGACTTATACAGAAAAGGAGAAGGTACTCTACATATTTTTAAAGAATTTTTTTTTGATACAGGGGATTAGAGTCTAAATTATGACCTTTCAAAGATCAGACATAAGTACATACACATATAAGTATGTTCAGCCAACAATATATCAGATAAACGTATTGCACCTATATGTATACTGTAAACATTTATGCTCCGATCCCACCTTCTTCCAACACTACCCAGATCAAGATCCACACTCTTCCCAGCATCTCAAATATCTCCCCAGGTTACTTCCCTGTCAATTCCGTGTTCCATCTATCATCATCCTAGGCTTCCGCTGTATTTTATTTCAATATTTATTAATTTTTCCTATACTTAAGCTTTATATAATTTCAATCATACAGTATTTACTCTTTGACGTTTTGCTTATTTTGATCAAAATATTTTTGAGTTTCATCTGTGTTGTTTCTCTGGCAGTAATTTGTGCCTTTTTATTGAGGCACAATTTTCCATGAATATGCCAAAATATATTCATTTTTCAACTAATGATTTGTTTTTGGTTTAAGAATATTACTGGTAAAAACCTTAAGAACATTCTTGTGCTTGTCTTTTGTGAACTTATGCACTCATTTCTCTTGGGAATATTCCTAAGAATGGAAGTGTTGAGTTATAAAGTTAGCATAGATTTTGTCTTAGTAAACATTGACAATAGTTTACTGAAATACTGAACATATTTACGTGAAACCAACCACGTCATAAAAGTCTCAATTGCTGTCAATCTTTTTCAGTACTCAGTACTGTCAAACTTTTATTATATCTAGGGTGGAGGCCAAAGCAACCCCATCTTGGATGCTAATTTTCCATGTCTGACTTCTGATTAACCTGAGTTCTGGGACGGTCTCTAAGATTTTCAGTTTATCTATTTTATCTTATTTAAGAGCAAGTACTTAGCATAAATCCTGCCCTTAAACAACCTTGATGTAATCATTCTTTGATTGTCGTACACATCCTTTCTGAACCACTGGTCTCCTATGGTATACAAGCCCTATTTGAGAGGGGTCATGGCAAGTGATTGACCATCTTATCTGCCTACTGTCAGAGACACAGACACGGCTTCTGTTTTTAAGTCTCTATTAAATGTTTCTTTCTGAGAAACTGGATGTGTCGGCCTCTTTCTTCAGCCTTTCAGCTTCCTCAGGCATTGGGGTCAAGTTTGCATAGATCTACCCTGTCATGTGCACTCCAAGGTCAGAGTTAACCAGGCCCATGTGTGTTTATGTCTTTCCACAATGTCAGACTTTTACTGATGCTATTTCCAACACAGAAGCTGCAAGCTACATGGAGCTCCCAAGGAGCCATTCAATTGTCAGTGTTGCGGGCACACAGGCTAAAACCATTGCACAAGCCGGTCAATATTGCAAACCATACATAATAGTATTCTTAATCAATACATAAACATTATAAGTTAAAGTTTACACAATGCAACATTTAACACCAAAAGAAAAAAAATAGGAGAAAGAGTTATCAAATCAATCCAGGGGTAGTGAAGAAGACAAAAAGAATCCTGGTCTGGCCTGAAGGTCCCTTGGTCCTTGCAAGGAAGAGTCTCTGATGTGTCAGAGCCTTCTTAGACAGATGAGGAGTTCTTACCACAAATGACAACGGGATGGTTGTGAATTAAGATGGCCCTTTTGAGATACTGACAGCCCGCACTTTCATGGTCACAGAGTCCTCTGGTAAGAACTCATAGTGCAAGACTGTGCTTGCTTGTGACCTTATCTGGTTGGATGCAGCCTTTATTTTTTTTATTTTGTAGGCAAAACATTTTATTCTTGTTGGCAAGCTGCCCTATGAAACATATAATGCAGTCTTTATCTGAGATGGAGTCAATTATGTCAAAGTTCCACTATACATATCCAGCACAAAACATCTGTACTGATAAATCTGAAGTTGTATCATGATTAAAATTTATACTTCCTTAATAGGTAATGATGTTGAGTCACTTTTCATATATTTATTTTCATTGGCTGTTTGCGTATCTTTAGGGAAGTTCCTGTTCAAATCATGTGTGTGAGTGTCTGTGTGTGTAATGTTATATTAATCATACACATTGATACGATTAGAAGTTCTTAATTATAATGTAATCTAATTTGTCATTTTACTTGTCATTTTTTTCTCCTGTGTTTGTTTTGTGTGTTTACATGTGTCCTCTGTTTAATAAATTTTTACCACCAAAGGGCTTAAAGATATGCTCCTATGCTTTCTTGAAGAAGCATCGTTATTTTACCTCTCACATATAGGCTACAGTCTATCTCTAATTCATGTTTTTTGCCTGGGGTGAGGTGGATCAAGAATTGTATTTTGATGTCTTGTTTTATTTATTTTTATTTTCATACTCAACAACTCCTCACCATTTCTTGCAAAAATAGAGCAAAACACAACAAAACAAAAAACAATTGAAAACCTATACCTCACTCTATTGCCTGTGTTTAAAAATCTCATGATTGAGTAAAAAGAATATTTTTCTTGACTCTTTGTCTATCTCTGTACTTACAGTACAGTCTTAATTACTGTGGCTTTATTATAAAGAAAAAAAAAGTCAGAAGACATAATACCAGATTTTTAGACTTAAGATTTTCTTGGCTATTCTACGTCCTTTGAATTTCCAAGTAAATTGTAGAATCACCTTTTCAATTTCAAAAATTCCTTTGAGGATTTTAATTGGACTGCATTGAGTCTATATATCAAATTGGAGAAAACTGAAATCTTTTTTTTTTATTATACTTTAAGTTTTAGGGTACATGTGCACAACGTGCAGGTTTGTTACATATGTATACATGTGCCATGTTGGTGTGCTGCACCCATTAACTCTTAACAATATCAAATCTTCTGTTCTATGGACATGAAAATGCTATTTATTTATATCTCCTTTAATCCACATTGTATGCAGAGACCTATTTCTAGTGATTAAGTTTTAGATTCTTTAAGAACTTATGTACAAAGTTTATCAGCAAATACAAATGTTTTGCTTATTCATTTCCATACTCCATGGGTTTTGTTTGTTTATTTGTTTTGAATTTTTGCATGTCTTAGGACCTCCATTATGATTTCATATAGTGGATGGTTCAGTATTTTTTATAATTTGAGAAGTGAAATGTTTAATATTTTATCACTAAGTAAGATGTTTGCTGTAGAATTGCCTGTACCACTTCTCAATAATTTTAAACCTCAGTAATTCTAAAGATGGATCATTTGTAGATGCTTTATCAGAATAAGATGTTTTCCATTATCCCAGGCTTGCTGAGAGTTTTATTGTGAATAGCTGTTGACTTCTTTCAAGTGATTTTCAGCTACTATTGAGATAATGAAAGTTATTGTTCTTAATTCTGTCAGTATGATGCATTATATGGATTGATTATGTAATGTTATAATAACCTTGCACTTCTGAAATATATTCAAGTTGGGCATGGCAGATTATCTGAGAGAGATAGAGGTAAATCTTCCCTTTTTTTTTGAATGTTTGTCTATGTTTATGAGAGATATTGACTTTTAGTTTTTCCATTTGAAATGTCTTCAGTAGTCTTTTGATCTTATCGCTCTTATTGTGCAGTTGTCAACATAACTTATCAAACTAGACAGTGAGAGATTAGAACATGAGCAACATCATTCTTAAGGCTCCTTGTGGTTATCGAGATGTTGGAGGGGATAGAGATATAAACCTGAGAAATATTTCAGTGAGAGAGTTGATGGGACTGAGGTTTGCACAGCCAATAGCAGTTGATTTTTAAAAATTGCTTATATGTGCAACTATATTTCCCTTTATAATTTTTACCCTTTACTCTGTGTGTAGAAAAGTGTATTTTATCCTGCTCTACTAGGACATTTGTGTTTTCATTTCTTTTTATAAATCTGAAATTCATGTTTATTTGTGGATTATCACTTCACTTAAAGATTTTATACAATGCCGTTCTAGCAATTTGAGATTTTGGAGTACTATACTGCTGATATTGAGTGGCAAACATAAACATAACCACTAATCGTATCTTATGATCTAAATAGAATACATACTGGTTGGAGTGGGGAAATTGTGCATATCATGAAGTAAGGACAAGCATTAGAAATAAAGGAAATATTTCTTAAGATATTTGATAGCTTAGGAAATATCATTTCATAACACTTATATTTTCAGAAAAATATTTGATGTGTTTGTGTTCTATTTCTGAATTAGATGTCACAGTAATCACTGTGCTGACTCAGGCTCTGGTCTCCAAAAACAGCTTGATCAGTTAGGGCTGAGCAGTGACTCAGCCTGGTATTGGCAGAATCCAGTTTAGTATCCTGCGATTCTTACTGTGTGTGCGCCTGTCTGACTTCACCCTGACTCAGTGGAATTGGTCTGAGACAGTTGCCTTGCTCACAGTTAGGAGCTGAAATTATGAGGCTCCCACATGATAAGGAAACAGCCTTTCTTCTCATTGTAAGATGAGTTCTGAGGGCTTTTTTGCATCTGTGAATTGTGACTTCTCACGAGGAACTCACACACTTGAGTGACCTGAGAAGACCATGAAGTGTGATGTATTTAACCTCAATTACATCACCATTTTTCATGTGATTTTTTTTTTCATTTCAGTTGTCAATGGGAACATTATCGTGCCCAAACTTACAAAACTTCCAGACAAAGCTTCCTGAGAGAAGTTGAAAGGCCACCATCAGCTGAGAAGCTGTGACGATATTTGTAGCTGCCTGAATTGGAGCCAACAAAAACCAGGTCAGGTTCTGAATCTTATTATTTATAGTAATTATGACCTGCACCTTGCTGTCCTTGCCAGGATTAGTGACAGTGGGTGGACTGATTTCATCCCCTCCATCAGCAGCCTGGAGGCTGAAGATGCAGCGTATTGTTACTGTCAACAACATAGGAGCTTGCCTGTCACGGTGTGAGAACTCTGGACAGCGAGAGGACACCAATCCACTCGTTTCTCTTGTCAAAATGACTGATATCTAAGTGGGAAATCTAATGAACCCCTCAGAAAGGGCCTTTGGATACTACTTTATCCCATGATGAAAGACAGGAACCAAAACCATACACATTTGATGGGAATTTGGGCTCATCCACTTAACAGCTGTGTGACTTTCAGGACGTTACTTAAACTTTCTTTGCTTGGTTTTCCCATCTGTAATAATAAAAAATAAAGGAATAACTATATCATACAGTATTATGAGTTGAATAGATGTTTTTAAAATGTTTATAAATAGTAAACATTTGATAACATTATTTATCATTATTTTGCTCCACCCGGTAATTATATATATAATATTTCTCACCATATTTTAAAATTTGAACCATTTCATAATTTAAAAATTGTTTTGCAACTTCCACTTCTGTAAAATGGTGGAATGGCTTATGTGGAACCAACCTGCTGGGTACACCTAAAAAAAGCTGAATAAAATATGAAAACGTGTTTGAAGGCATTAGAGCATCACCATGTCTGAGAGTCTGATTACTTTTGATGTTTTATCCCTGACATCCTCCAAGCCCCTCCTCCTTTTTTCTCTGCCCATATCTCTATAAGCACTGGTAGGAAATTCCCCACAACCCTCCAGCTCACAGGGAGAACATTCTCTCACTCTCTCCCCTTACCAACTCTAAAAGCCTAAACTCTGCCTCTTCAGGCAGGTCTGCACCAGCTCGTGCCCACCCCACACAGGCATCCTTCGTGGGAACAATAAACACTCTCTCAAGTTTTCTTGGCCTCAACTTAATAATTATTAATTAGGAAACCGGCCCATCTACCTCCATGATGGGGCATTAAACATTACAACCCAGCAGGTCTTCAAGGAGACAAGAAAAGCAGGGAAGCATAGACAGGGGAGCACTAGTTTTGTGCCTTCAGTGTCCCTTGAGACATAAGCAGGCTCAGAAATAGAGGCCCAGTCCTGAAAATCTGAAAGAAAGGAGGGGCCAAGGGGCCTCGGAGTCCATCAGAGCTTTAAAAAAATCTCATATGGCCACAGGTGAAAAACTGTCCCGAACGACTGCAGAAAAGGAGGGATCCTGACACATACCAAGGTCTTGAGGTGAAATCTTGCTAGGGAAACATACCGGGAGGAGGTTGCACCAGGAGTAGCAAGGCACCACCGTGTTGATACCCAGGCCCAAAGTACTGCAGTCCTTTGATGGCATTAACTTGGTACAGCCCTAGCATTTCATTCTGGCAGAATAAGAAGTAAATCCTCTCTGGAGTGTGAAAATTATTCCAGAGCCCAAAATTGCTTCTAAAATGTTGTAGGGCAAGTATCAGTTTAAATCTACATAGATATTAAGTGTATTAAACATAGTGTGATTTCAATCAACAATACCCAAACATACAAAATGGAGAGAAAAAAAACAGGCAACAGAAAGGGACCAAAATAATTTGCGGATATTGGGACAATAGTATATTATATGCTGAATGCATTCTATGACAAGATCAAGAATTTTAGCAGAGAACCAGAAACTATAAAAAGAAATCAAACAAATGTCAAATATAAAGTAATTCAAACCAATAACTCAATGGATGAATGTAACGGTAAATTTGACAGTTAAATTTGCTCTTGCAAGTGATCCACTGGAAGTTTGGTCAGGCCATGAGGCAATTTGTAATAAATAAAAAGAATAAAATCATTTCTAGACAAATATGATGAAAGTGATTTGATTTAATTAAGTGTAAATTATTGTCTCAAAAATTGTAAATTGATTGATCCTCAGGTGAAAGAAGCAACACTCCTTCCATTTTAGACCAAAATGTGTGAGAATTTCCTGACCAGAGAAAGAACACAGAGCACTGGGCAAGAAAAGGAGGCTGAGTGATGAGGTGGCAGCCTGGGACCCTCGAACCCACGTGAAGCCCTAAATTCCGCAGGCTTCAGTGCCTTGTGTGGAACCAGAGAGCAAAGCCATTTTCAAAAGCATTGCTCCGCCTGTAATCCCAGCAATTTGGGAGGCTGAGGCAGGAGAATAGCTTGAACCCCAGAGGCGGAGGTTGCAGACTGTCAAGACGATGCCATTGCAGTCTAGCCATTAGCATGAGCAACAAGAGGGAAACGCCGTTTCAAAAAAAAAAAAAAAAAAAAAAAAAAAAGCATTGCTCCTCGCCTTCAGACACAGCTTCCAATACAGTTTTGAAAAATAATTTAAATCATTCCATAAATACTGGAATGTAAATATTTCATAAAAATCTAGAATGTACTCCATTTAGAGAAGATAGAAGAGGCAGTCTTTCTGCTCTATAATCATCTGGAGGGCACTGTCCTGCTCTGAACTTGAGCTCTAGCCAGAGCTGATAATACGAAGACCTTTCTCTGTGCAGCCATCAGCCTCGACCCCCAGCACTGCAGGGGAGCTGAGAGAGGCCAGAGGCACAGACATAGTGGAAACTGCCCACAGATTCCGACTGAGGGAACAACGAAAGAGTGGAGTAAGAAATCACCGACTGAGCCGCTGTGGGCCTCAAGTCTGATAAACTTACGGTCACTCTATTGCTAACTAGAGAGCGTTGGACAGCAACATATTGTGTGGCCTCCACAACACTTGGAAACCAGACATGAGGAAATCCCAATTCATAGGTATTAACATCTAACTGAAAGCTACCCACCACTCGCTTATGTTTCCACAGTCTTGGATAGTGCCTGAAAACCATTTATGATTGTTTTAGGCATCATGAACAAGCCAAGCAAACAAACAAGAAAGCGTGTTTGAGAATATGCAAAAAAGACTTACCTTATTCACTAGGAATGACACTGTCAAGTACCTACCGGGAAAAAACACCAGGTGTCTTGGCGGAGTTGACCACAAGAAGGGGCACGTGCGCAATAGCGATCCTAGAGAGGGCTCTGGTATCTCGGATTAACAAGGGCCCAGAGTCCCGGCCGGTTCTGGGTATTATTAATTACTATTATTATTATTATTATTATTATTATTACTATTACTATTATTACTTCATCATCCCAGTTCATAGCTTACCATTTTCACGCACTAATAATTTTACACCTCTTCGCGTTTCTTATTTTTCTAGCTGACTCTATTGTAGAAGGACAATTAAACTTAGGACTCAGAACAACCTAATCAATGGGTAATTGTTTAAACATCAGTTCCCTCTGTCACATACTGTGACATGCAGAGTGTGTGTAAGCCTGGAGAAATGATTCACAGGAAATGTCCATGAGGAAGAGCTGTGAGTGAGAGGGTCTGTCTAGCAAAGGAGAGGAGTGAGGACTAGGTTTTTGGAGTGTGGCCTAGTAATTGAAGGGCATCAAAAGGACAAGGATCAAGATGTTCTTCATCCAGGTGTGAGGACATGCAAACCCTGCAGGTCCTCCCAGGCCAGTGGTCATGGTCTTGGAGACTTGTAGATCTAACTGTCATTTGCTCACATCCACAGTTACCACCTGGCTCCAAAGATAGCACTGGTATGGGCTAGCTTCCCGGATGCTCCAGAAGTGTAGATATAGTTTGCCAATGATTAAGAGGACAATGAAAATTGTATATTTGGTTAGATTTATATCTATGACTCCATTCAGGAAAGAAAAATGAGCAGAAGAAATAGCTCTCTGAACTAAATGAAAAATCACAACCTAGTGACATTTTTCCTTTCCCATATTGATCCTTTAATATCATGTTTGACACTTCAGAAGGTCAGCTGACCCCTGGGATATTTATCGTTAAATCATGATTCTGCTCAACCTGAGCCCATGGTTGGACCATGCCCAGGCATCTGAATACAGCCGGCCTGGGAGCCGCAGCGAGGCATTCTCTCTCATAGGAAGCTTTGACTGAGGTTCAGAGATGAATGCCTAGCACTCAAGGTCTTTTGCATAGAAACATACATGGGCTATTTGACCACTCCATCTAAGGTGTGAAAGTGAACCTGTTATCTGATTCTGCTCATCTAGGCTGAAAACACACTTCTGGATGATTCCTCTGCCCAGGATGGTCTTGTTGGGATGGATCCTCTTGCCCCTGGTGCTCTGCATTCATGGTACAGGATTCTTTGTACATATAAGTAATTTTCAGGATGAGAACAGTGGTGGCCACTCTTATCCAGTGGGTGAGACAGTGAAGATCAATGGCCAAAGTTTTTATTTCAGCCTTTCATTCAGATGGCAGAGGCTTAAAAACCTGAAGAACACCTAGATATGATGTATCTTTTTTTTCATTCACAACCATTGTTTTTGACTTGTATTCAGACTGATCAATTGTTTTTCCACCCTTTCCCATCAGGCTACTGTGATGACTCAGCCCCCATCCCTCCTGTCTGTGGCCGTGGGAGACAGGGTCTCCGTCTCCTGCAAGACCAGTCGCAATCTCATCCATAGGAATGGAGACATCTACTTGAACGGTTTCCAACAGAAGCCACACCAATCTCCTCAACCACTGATCTATATGGTGACAAACCGGGCTCCTGGGTCCCAGCCCACGTCAGTGGCAGTGGGTCTGGGAGGAATTTCATACTCACAATCACCAATGTGGAGCCAGGAGATGTTGCATATTCCTTCTGTGAGCAGCGCACTCACTGGGACCCTATACAGTGGAACGGCCCTAAACATACACCACCCTGTCAGGCCTCTGAGCCCAAGCTAAGCCATCACATCCCCTGTGACCTGCATGTATCCATCCAGATGGCCTGAAACAACTGAAGATCCACAAAATAAGCGAAAATAGCCTTAACTGATGACATTCCACCATTGTGATTTTTTCCTGCCCCACCCTAACTGATACGATATAGTGTCCCCTGCCCTTAAAAAGGTACTTTGTAATATTCTCCCCGCCTTTGAGAATGTACTTTGTATGCCTATCCCAAACCTATATGAGCTAATAATAATCCCACCACCCTTTGCTGACTCCTTTTTCGGACCAGCCCGCCTGCACTCAGATGAAATAAACAGCCTTGTTGCTCACACAGAGCCTGTTGGTGGACTCTCTTTACACGGACACACGTGACACACCCATGCAGGGTCAA
The DNA here is from genome assembly GCF_000001405.40 of Homo sapiens. NCBI lineage: Eukaryota > Metazoa > Chordata > Mammalia > Primates > Hominidae > Homo > Homo sapiens. The sequence continues at coordinate 89,979,609 of NC_000002.12, forward strand.
CCCTTCTGCTCAGCTGAGCATCTGCTTCCTCCAGGGAATCAGTGTCTGAGCAGCTGCTCCTCTTAGAGAAGAAGGAAATTGGGGTGAGGTAGAAATGGTGAGGAGCCCTTGAAGGAGGTGGGAAGATGTGGTGTGGCTCTAAGCCCAGGGGTCCCTCTCATTAAATGATCAGTGTCCAGACAGCATTGCTGAGGCAGCTCCCAGAGGGCTCCATCCTGAGTCCCTCTTCTCAGGCCCCCTGTATCACTGGCCCTGAAGAAATACTCTCCTGTTGTCCATGGCTCCAAGAACAGTTTGCCTTGCCCTGACTTTGCTGCTCAACTCACAGCCTCATTGCAGATTCCACTGGACCATACACAGTGTCAGATCCATAAGGAGGTACTGGTCTGTTCTAAATCAGCTGTTCTGATTCTCAACTTCCTGCCTTATGGCTCATCTCCATGAGATTCATGTGCTCCACCCTTTCTGGCTCAGCCATGCTCTTCCTGGCTTCCCCTAATCCCAGGTTTTCCCCTGGAAGTTTGATAGGCTTCTCCTCTAAGTATGTTGTCAATTTATTTTCTTACTTGCTTGATTTCTGGGGAAACAAGTCCTTTCAAGCCTAGGCCCTTCTGAGACCTCAGGGATGCAAGGCAAAAAGAGCAAAGCAGCTGCACGTGTATGAGACTGAATTGGTCACCTAAACTGTCATTAAGTTTTTTGCTAAGTCATTGCTTTTCTCTGGAAATAGTTTTTCAAGATGCAAGTATTTGATTTTTAAAACATGTGTGGCTTTTCCAAATGCTTTTCTTCTAAGTCTTCTTCTCCACAAGTCCAAGTTAGGCTAATTATATCCAGTAAAGTCTGGTAGCCCTTCTCTAATAGCTCCTCTTTCCGTACCCCTAGCAACACTCAGTCATAATCCCACTGATTCATCAGATGACAAATGCAAAAACTTGGAAAAATATATATTCTTCATAACAAATGCTATATATTTTAAACTGAGGCCCTAGACTTTCATCTTCTCCAATATTGTGTCTCAACTGTGTGAATTATATAATATGGCAGCAATTGTATTTCAATCTCTCCAGTTAGGAGCAGCTCAGTGCTTGCAGTATCTTTCCATTTGATTTCTATAACATTCCTAGTGGTAGAAAATTCAGTTCATTTATCCAATTACATGGCTTAGTAACAGCTGTCTGTTGGTGTAATACTTCCATGTTTTAATAATCCTATTCCCCTGTTCCATTATTCAAGCTAACAACATTCCATTGGTAAATGGCATCACTGAAAATTTACTGTTTAAGAATGAACATTATTTTTTCAATATTCTTAATTGGTTAGAAGACTTCAAAAATAACTAAATTCTGAAAAAAAAATAAGTAATGGCAGGCTCAGAGAAAAATAAATTATTTCTAATAATGTGAGGACATGACCAAATGGGAAGAGCAGTGAAAGCAGTTGCGTGTGTTCCCTTTGTCCAAAACATTTTACAAAAAGGATTTTATTGATCACGGTCCTTCATCATCACAGGTAACAAGACATGTTGACATTATGCAACTCAAGATGATGCACTGGCTGACGAGGACCATCTCTTTTGTGATATTCTTGTCAAAAACATATAATCTGAATTAGTTGAGAAAATTAGAAGGGCAATCTTAAAAATCATTGATAGTACATTTTGCAAGCATTGAGGTCATGAAAGACAAAGAAAGAATAAACAATGATCACAGATTGGAGGAGATTAAGGAGACAAGAATATTAAGTGCAATATGTCATCCTGGATTTGATACTGGAACTTGAAAGAATCTTTAGTGAAAAATTTATTGGGATCCAAATATGGAGTAAATACTATTGTATCAATATTAATTTTTCATTTTATATCATCCCACTTTGGTTATTTAAGATGTTTAATATTAAGAGAAGGTGGAGGAGAAGTATATTGAAACAATCTACTACTTTTGAAACTTTGCATAAATCTAAATTTATTTCAAAACTAATTAAAATATACAAATGAAAATATAAGTAAGAAAAGAACATAAGCTCCTAAGGAGCAATTCCACAAGTATCATTCTATTTTTCCTCATTTTCTTATTTGTGATTTCTGTTTCTTGAAATGACAATCCCGGTTTCTATTATCTATAGCAGTGGTCCCCAACCTTTTTGGCACCAGGGACTGGTTTCATGGAAGACAATTTTTCCATGGGTCTCAGAGTGGGGGATGGTTTCAGGACTATCCAAGCACATTATATTTATTGTGCACTTTATTTCAATTATTATTACATTGTAATATATAATGAAATAATTGCACAACTCATCATAATGTAGAATCAGTGGAAGCCCTGGGCTTGTTTTCCCGCAACTAGATGGTGCCATCTGGGGGTGATGGGAGACAGTGACAGATCATCAGGCATTAGTTTCTCATAAGGAGCACACAACCTGGATCCCTCACATGTACATTTCAAAATGAGGTTTGCACTGCAGTGAAAATCTAATGCTGCTGCTGATCTGACAGATGGTGGAGCTCAGGTGGTAATGCAAGCAATGGGGAGAGGCTCTAAAGACAGAGGAAGCTTTGCTTGCTTACCTGCTGCTCACCTCCTGCAGTTGTAAAAGATCAAATGAGATGTTGAATTCAATAGAGTTATTTTAAAGATGTTTAAAAAATTTATTTCTTTCGATCAGTACTCTATGATCAAATACTTAAAATGGAAAATATGAAAAAAATGATTAAACACATTGTACCTAGCTGAGGGATTTTTCCTAACCACTGCACAAATGAAGACCACGACATTGTGTAACTGCCCAACGTGTTCACCTTGCCTGCTGCCTAGACAGAGCTGATTTCTCAAGACAGGGGAATTGCAACAGAGAAAGAGTAATTCAGGCAGGGCTGGCTATGCGGGAGACCAGAGTTTTATTATTAATCAAATCAGTCTTGCTGAGCATTTAGGGAGCAGAATTTTTAAGGACAACTTGGTGGGTGGTGGGTGAGCCAGTGAGCCAGGAGTGCTGATTGGTCAGAGATGAAATCACAGGGATTCAAAGCTGTCTTCTTGCACTGAGTCAGTTCCTGGGTGGGAGACCATAAGATCAGATTAGCAGTTTATTGATCTGGGTGGTGCCAGCTGATCCGTCAAGTGCAAGATCAAAATATCTCAAGCACTGATCTTAGGAGCAGTTTGAGGGGGTCAGAACCTTGTAGCCTCCAGCTGCATGACTCATAAACCATAATTTCCAATCTTGTGGCTAATGTTAGTCCTACAAAGCCTATCTAGTCCCCAGGCAAGAAGAACATCTGCTTTGGGAAAAGGCTGTTATTGTCTTTGTTTTAAACTCTAAACTAAATTCCTCTCAAAGTTAGTTCAGCCTATGCCCAGGAATGAACAAGGACAACTTGGAGGTTAGAAGCAAGATGGAGTCAGTTAATTTAGACCTCTTTCACTGTCTCAGTCATAATTTTGCAAAGTCAGTTTCATTTGCAATAAAGAGTTTTAGTAGACATAAGGCTGGCCACACCACATGGGAGACAGAGTTAGTACTCAAATCAATCTCCCTGAAGGCCTGTAGTTAGGGGTTTTTCAAAGGCAGTTTGGAGGAAGGGGTGGCCAGGTAATGGGTGCTTGCTGCTGATTGGTTGGGTCAGAAATGAAGTCATAAAATGTCAGAGCTGTCCTCTGGAGCTGAATCTCTCCTGAGTGGGGCCACAGGATGCGGGTTAGCAGGTCCAGGTGGAGCCATTGCTGTCAGATAAGCAACAATACTTGAAAATATATCTTAAAAGGCCAATCTACAATAGTGGTGTTATCTGAAGGAGTATCTGGTGACCAGTCCACACCTTAGCAGAATCAGGCTCCTTTTTTCCCACTATTTGATGGCCTTTCATGATCTTTACAAAGGTAGCTGAGTTTTGGGTAACCCATATCATCATTTAAACTATAACCTAAATGGCTTCCAAAGTTAGCTCTGCCCAAAAGCCCAGGAATAATTAAGGAAAATGCAAGATGGGGAGGTGGGTTAGATCAGATCTCTTTTACTGCCATAATTTTCTTACTATTAAAATTTTTGCAATGGTGGTTTCAAAATAGCGACTTTCAGTAGAACAGTGGAAGTTATGAAGACAAAAAAATACCAAAAGAGAATTTTAAAACTGAAAAGTAGAATAACTCAATTGAAAATTTAGATAGGCACCACAATAGTTGACAGTGTCAGAAGAATCAGTGAACTTGAAGATCAACCAATAGAAATAATCTGTTCCAAAGAATAAAGATGTAAGCAGCCAAGCAAGACCTCAGAGATGTATAGGTCAGTGTGAAGAACACCAACAAATGTGGATGGGAGTCACAAAGGAGAAGGGAGAGAGAAAGGAGCTGAAAAAGTATGTGAAGAAATAATGGGAACATCTTTTCAAATGTATTGAAATACATTACTATATAGATCCAAGAAATGTGATGAAACACATCCAGGGGAAGCAAAAAAGATTCATAACTACACACATTGTAATTAAAATGCTGAAATACAGTTACAAAGGGAAAATCTTCAAGAGAAAAAAACCACTATGTACAAAGATACAATAATGTAGACACTGAATAAGGGTCCATTATTTCTAATGGAGACTAGAAGACGGTGGAATGGCATACTCAAATGCTGAAAGAAAAAAATCAACCCAAAGTTCTATATGCAGCAAAAGTATACTTTAAGAATAAAGCAAACTAAACATATTTCTTTGTCGATAAAGAGTCAAACTCTCTAAAATATTTGAAGAGATTTATTCTGAGCCAAATGAGTGACTGTGGCCCCCAACACAACCCTCAGGAGGTCCTGAGAACATGTACCCAAGGTGGTTGGGGCGCAGCTTGGTTTTATACATTTTAGAGAGGCATGAGACGTCAATCAAACACATTTAAGAAATACATTGGTTTGGTCCAGAAAGGCGGGACAACTCAAAGCAGGGGTGAGGATGGGGGGTGGTGAAGCGGGGGAGGTTCCAGGCTCTAACTAGCATTTCCTTGTTGACAATTGGTTGAGTTTGTCTAAAGACCTGGGATCAATAGAAAATAAATGTTCAGGTTAAGATAAAAGACTGCGGAAGACCAAGGTTCTTTTGAAGTCATACAGTGGCTGCCCTTAGAGAAAATAGATTACAAATATTTCCTATTCAGATCTTTAAAATGTGCTAGACTCTTCTTTAAGATTGGGAGAGCCTGGAAGAAAAAGATCTGGCTATGTTAATAGAGATTCTTTACAGATGCAAATTTTTCCCCACAAAGGACAGCTTTGCAAGGCCATTTCAAGATAGGGCAAAGAAACATGTTTTGGGGTAAAATATTTTAATTTTCTGCCTTGTTGCATAATGTTCCACCACAGTCAGGTTGGAAAGTAAGTCCAAGGATATGTAGGGTTAAATAAAACCCATCTGATGAGAATTTATAGTTTGTAGGGCATGACTCCCCAGACTCCTTAGATAGGAACTGAGACAAGGAAAAAAAAAATCAGAGCTTAGTCCTTACCTTGATAAACACAAATGAAAAGAAAATATTACTTGTAGATATTCAATAAATTATCTGAAATCAATTTAAGAAAACATTGCTCAGAATCACATGAAATTATAGAGGACAGTAATTTGAATCCACAAACAGAAATAAAGGCCTCAAAATAGTAAAGAACTGGGAAAAAAATAGACACAATGATAAAAAAATGTTTACTTCAATTTCTATGATATTCACTACCAAGTACAAACAAACTATTGTGGTAGATGTCAGAAAGACAGTTACTTTGGTTGGGATGGGGAGGCAGTTATTGAATGGGAAGGTGTACGAGAGAATCATCCAGAAATTTTGAAATATTCTATAGTTTCAGCTGGATAGTGAATATACATAAAACTTTATTCATTCCACATTTAGGATTTCTGCCCTTTATATGTGGTTTATTTCAATGAAAAAAAAATAGAAAAGCCAAACCTAGATTCTTTTAAAGAAAATTGGAGGCAAGAAAAAAGAATCAGCCAATATTTATGGAAACTCAACTTTATTAAAGACAAGTGCAAAATGTGCCTGGAAAAGTGCTAAAGAACTGTTGAAAAACAGGTGGAAAGAAAAGGAAATATTATAATATGTCTCTTCTCCAACTGAAGCAACACAGATTTTATCTTGGTTAGTTTTCCTTGAAACACGCAGGATATTTTATGTCCCCTTGCCCACAAGAGAAGCCCTCATCCTCCTGTTGTTGCGCTTAGCATCACTGCACCCACCGGGGGATTTGCATATTGTCCTCTAGGGAGGACCTTCCCTTGTGGGTCTGAGATAAAAGCTCAGCTCTAACCCTTACCTTGACTGATCAGGACTCCTCAGTTCACCTTCTCACTATGAGGCTCCCTGCTCAGCTCTTGGGGCTGCTAATGCTCTGGGTCCCTGGTAAGGACAGAAGGAGATGAGGGAGGAGAATGGGGTGGGAAGGTAAGCCTGGGGACCCCACTGCCTTCCATGTGTGTTCTGCCCTGCCCATGTGTTAGATGTACAGGTCTTGTTCTCCAGGATGGGGAATGTGAGGTTTAAATCTGTGAGAGTGAGGACGATTCAAAAAGAAGCAAGGACCTGTGTGCTCTGGTGAATATCGTCACACAGAGAAAGGGAGGTGGTGTAGGTGACTTCTAGAATCCCCTTTGCAGCTTGCAAATTTGGAATATGTTTAGTGTATAAATACAAACAACAAAAAATTATATAGCCTGAAATAAAAAATGAAAATTTATGATAAATGACACATGATATTTGTACATATCCTTCCACTTCTTTCTATCTATTTTAGGATCCAGTGCAGAGATTGTGATGACCCAGACTCCACTCTCCTTGTCTATCACCCCTGGAGAGCAGGCCTCCATGTCCTGCAGGTCTAGTCAGAGCCTCCTGCATAGTGATGGATACACCTATTTGTATTGGTTTCTGCAGAAAGCCAGGCCAGTCTCCACGCTCCTGATCTATGAAGTTTCCAACCGGTTCTCTGGAGTGCCAGATAGGTTCAGTGGCAGCGGGTCAGGGACAGATTTCACACTGAAAATCAGCCGGGTGGAGGCTGAGGATTTTGGAGTTTATTACTGCATGCAAGATGCACAAGATCCTCCCACAGTGCTACAGCCCTGAGCACAAACCTCTCTGCTTGAAGTGGCCCAGCTGCTCACATGTGATGTTTGTCTGGGGAGCAGCACAGCAAGTTCTCTGAGTCTGTGCATGAGGAAAATGTTGGACAACTCAGAGGAGTAGATTGGTCTCATGAATTCCTTGGTTACATCTCAGGAACTACTCATTTGTGTAGCTGCAAAAGCCTTGACATGGCAAAAGCAGTAGGAGAATGGGGAAGGTCCCATGGAGCTGATGCTGATTCATGATGCAACTGAATAAAAGCTCATTCGAATCCTCCTTTCTTACATTTCTCAATTGTAGTTAATCAGCATAAGTGCCAGGCAATTGATACAAATGTTGGCAACACATGCTGAGTGCCTCCTCATTTGTATGTATTTCATCCATTTTTATATATTTTAATAGGATAATTATTTGGTCATATTTAGAAATTGGTATTTTCCACCTTCCAAGCTTTCTATTTTCCTTACTTATTCCTTATCTTCCTATGTAATAAAGATACTGTAGACAACATTTTACACTAGTTGTAAAATGTGGCTCCCCATTTATACGGGTAGCTGGTTGGGGGCAATTAGCAAAAATCTTGGTTTTTGAGTGCCTAGACTTTTGTAAATTAATGTCAGATACAAGATCCAAATGCTAAAACTCTTTGATTTGCCTTGATTACTTCTTACTGATAGATCATAAAAGGAATTCTTGAAATTCCAAAAGTTGGGTTTTAAAAATAAAAGCATACACTGGAATATACAGGGCATAGAATTCACCCTATATATTGCTAGAAGAATAGAGAATGATAACAGTTTTAGACTTCGAGGGTACTTCAGGAATGGGAACACACAAGGAACACAGTAGATATGAGCTACTGTGTCTACCGTATTAGACAATCCTCCTGCATTTTAACTTACATTTGGTGAACTTCAGATGCCAGTGGGTGTTGCAAGTTGATGACATAAACCTAAAATCAAGTCCCGATGTATTTCTTGTGAAGAGTCACAGAGTTGAAGAGACCACTGCCTGGCTTCCTGAGTTGAGCCTGTGCCACTGCAAGTTTCATGGGAAAATGGTGAGAAAAGGTGTTTAGGTTTGTAATCATCAAAGGTTTAGTGAAGTTCCCGTGCAAAAAGACTCAATCCCATTCAACTCAGCATGAAGAGATCTTCTAGAACTCATTCTGCCCCTATAGCAGAGATGATGTGGTCAGGTTTGTGGAGATGAACATGCAGTGACGTGTTAACCAAAAGGCCCAGCAGAAAGGGATAGTGATCAATGTCCATGGTTGAGACATATACAAAGGATGATTTGCACAGCACTGGAGGAAAAAACATCCTGAGTGTTGGAGATTTCTGCCTTCCTACCCAAACTCCCACAGCCTGTCTCCTGACTCAGAACTCAGCAAATGCCACATGAAAAATCTGGCTATGGTTGCACAGAAATTGCCCTGTGCAACCTTCAAAGCTCAGTTATGTTCTCTCTTCTTGCTGGGTTTCTCTGTCTGTGCCAAATCAAAATTTCTATCCGAACGCACATTTGGTAAAAAAAAAAGGCAGAAAAACAAAATGTCAGATGAACACCAACTCAACTAGAATTAGTTGTTTTTTTACTCTAGAATTTTAGATCGCCTAGTCCTCATTTCTTCCATTACTTTCTAATGTCACTAATAGGTAACTTTGCATTTTATTTGTTTTTATTGGCACATTGTAATTGTACATATTTATGGAGTACACTTTGATGTCTTGATATGTACATATGTTGAAAAATGATCAAATCAGGATATTTAGGATGTGCATCAGCTCATGTATTTATCATTTCTTTATGTTACTCTGGGTCCCAGGTGAGGGGAATATGCGGGGGGTTGTGGGGGGTTCTGTGTGTCAGTGAAAACTCTCTCAACTTTGTTGGGTCCTTCAACCTGGCATCTCTGCTCAGCAAGCACAATAATTAAAGCTCAATGTAGATCAATGGTCTTGACTCTATTGGAAAGACAATGGGTATAATCTAGATTACATGTGTGATTATTTGTTTTTCTGTTTAAACTGTTTTTTCAAAAAATAAATTTTATTCTGTATATTTTAGGTTTGCAATATGATGTTGTGGCATACATATAGATAGTAAAATGCTTACTATAGTGAAGAGAATGAACATTTATCATCTCACATAGTTACTTTTTCGTCTGCGACAAGAGCAGCTGGCAGCTGGAATCTACTTATTTAACAAAAATCTCTAATACAGTACAGTTTTATTAACTATAGCCCTCATTTTCTACAGTAGATCTCTATACTCGTTATTCATAAATATCTACTACCTTGCATCTTTGGACCTACATCTTCCCATTTCTTCCCGTTCCACCCCCGGCCCTTAATAACGACTGTTTCATTCTCTATTTCTGCATAATTTATCTTTTTACTTATTTAATTTATTTTTAGGTTTACATGTAAGTAAAATCAGGCAATATTTTTATTTCTGTGTCTCGCTTTTTTCACTTAGAATACTGTCCTCTAGGTCCATCCATATTACGGCAAATAGAAGAATCTTATTTTTCGGCTGGGTGTGGTGGCTCATGCCCGTAATCCCAGCACTAGGCGGGTGCATCACCTGACATCAGGAGTTGAATACCAGCCTGGCCAACATGGCAAAACCCTGTCTCTACTAAAAATACAAAAAATACAAAAGAAAATTAGCTGGGCGTGTTGGCATGGGCCTGTAATCCCAACTACTCAGGAAGCTGAGGCAGGAGAATCGCTTCAACCTGGGAGGAGGAGGTTGCAGTGAGCTGAGATAGCATCATTGCACTCCAGCCTGGGCGACAAGAGTGAGACTTCTCTAAAGTAAAAATAATAATAATAATAATAAAGAATCTTCTTGTTTAAGGCTGAATTATATTCCATTGTGTGTGTGTGTGTGTGTGTGCATTTATGTATACCACATTTTCTTTATTCATTTATTTGTCCACGGATGCTCAGGTTTTTCTCATTTCTTGTGAATAATGCTGCAATAAACACGGGAGTGTAGGTATCTTTAAAAGAAGGTGGTGATTTCATCTCTTCTGTGTATGTATCCAAAATAGGGTCACTGTTGGGTTATAAGGTGGTTAGGTTTTGAATTTCTTTAGGAACCTCCATACTGTTTTCCATAATGGGTGCACCAATCATCATTCCCACCAACAATGTACAAGTGTTTTATTTTCTTCACACCCTCATCAATATTTATCTCTTGTCTTTTTTATAATAGCCATCCTAAAGACTGTAAGGCATTTTATTTCTAATCTCAGATTTCACTGTAGAAACAGTGATGACACAGTCTCCAGCTTCCCTGTCTTTGTCTCTGGAGAAAAAAGCCACCCTGACTTGCAGGGCCAGTCAGTGTTAGCAGCTACTAAGCCTGGTACCAGAAGAAACCTGAGCGGGCTCCCAGGCTCCTCATCTATGGTACAGCCCTGATTTGTGATAGTGGGTCAGGACAGGGCTTACTCTCACCATCGGCAGGCTGGAGCCTGAAGATTTGCACTTCATCACTGTTATCAGCATAGTAGTTGGTGTCCCATACTGATTCAACATGCAACAAAAACCTCCAGGAGACCTAAGGTGTTTATTTGATTATACCACCTGCTTCCTTTTTAGTCATCTGATGTGGTGCTGCTCAGTTTTAGCATCTCTGCTTTGATTGGAAATTCTGAGGTTCTCAAAAGTAATTCCTTATAATATTTATAGTTTCACTGATGGATTTTTTTCTCAGACCCAAATGCACAGCCAGGTTCAGGCACAATTTCATGGTCAAGGCCATTGGATCAGACTCACATGAGTGGACGCCTCTAAAGGTCCTGGCCAGTGCGATAAAGTAGCAACGACAATGATAAAGAAGAAGAATTAGAAAGGCAGAATTAAAGGTATAACAATTCACTGATGAAAGGACTGTGTGGGGGAGAAATTTCAAATTGTCTACACAGAAATTATTAGAATCAATGAGATACATAGTAAATAGATTAAAGATCAATATAAAAATATATTTATTTTTATATAAATGTAACAACTGCTAAAAATTAAAATTATGAAACACATCATTTATAGTAGCATCAAACCAAGAGGCATTAGAAAAAACTAACAAAATATACTGACAGCTCCAGAATATAATTCAAAGAAATCAAAGAAAATCTAAGCCAATGGAAGGCCATAGTACTTTCAAAGGTTGAAAGTCCCAGTATTGTAAAGATGTTCATTCTTCACAGATTGATATATTAAAGATAATCGAAATCAAAATTCAAACTGTTTGTAAATGGAAATGTAAAAGCTGATTCTAAATATCATATTACATTGTTAAGGAGTTTGAATAACCACAATAAACCCGAAGAAGCCCAAGAATGAGGACTTACACTACTTGGATACTCGAACCGTGCTGCTGATGTGAGTTCAAACAAATTGCCTAATGCAACAGAAGAGGGTATTCTGAGAATGACTAACACATATAGTGACACTTTTTAGGGACAAAGGTGACACTGCACAACAGAGTGAAAACAATAAAAAGCTGTCCAACATCAATAATCATCCCAGTCCTACAAATGAAAATCACAACTGTCTACCACTAAAACTTCGATAGGATGACTCAAAGGGACAATGCCAAATACAGTGACGGAAAGGGGGAACTAGAAGGGCCACACATTATGTTTGGGAATATAAAGTGGTACCACAAGTTGGAGAACTGACACTGAATATATAATCCCTTTTAATCCAGCCCTTCCACTCAGAAATGTGTACAGATGTGCACAGAAAGAAATGTGCAATAACACTTGGCCGGGCGCAGTGGCTCAAGCCTGTAATCCCAGCACTTTGGGAGGCTGAGGCAGGCAGATCACAAGGTCAGGAGTTTGAGACCAGCCTGGCCAATATGGTGAAACCCTGTCTCTACTAAAAATACAAAAATTAGCTGGGCGTGGTGGCGGACGCCTATAGTCCCAGCTACTAGGGAGGCTGAGGCAGAAGAATCGCTTGAACCCGGGAGGTGAAGGTTGCAGTGAGCCGAGATCATGCCACTGCACTCCAGCCTGGGTGACAGGGTGAGACTACATCTCAAAAATAAATAAATAAATAAATAAATAAATAAATAAATAAATAAAATAACACTCATAGCATTATTAGTGATAGCCCCAAACTGGGAATATTCTAAATACAAATCAAGAGTAATTTGAATAAATAAAATGAGGTAGGTGCATACAATTAAATACTATGGATGAATGAAAATATAAAAGCTGCTACTACATCCATGAATGTGGGTGTATCTTACTAGCATAATAATGCGCAAAAGACGTTAGAAATAAAAAGCTCACTATCCATGATTCCTTTTTATATAGTTCAAAAACCGCCATCACTAAATCAATGTTACTGAAAGTGAGATTTAAATTTGCATTGGAGAAGAGTGGGGCTAATGTTTGGGAGGAGACAGAAGGTGCTTCTAGGAGACCGGGAGTGTTCTGCTTTGGTACGGTTGTTATACAGTGTGTTCAATCTCTGAAAAATTTATTAAAACCTGCATTATAATTTGTGAGTGCATATACACATGTTGAGATTTGTGAATATACATGTATGGGTAAGTTTTATCTTATCAAAAGTTTATTTTAAAAAAGTTATGAAGCATAATGTTATTTGCACCAATCAATGCATCCTAACTTCTTTCCTTATCTAATCAAATTATATTTAATTATAATCTGTATTCATTTTCACATTCCATCTGTGAAACCAGGGCACCAAATGTAAGGAAGCCCAGGGTTTACAAGGTTACCACACTCTTAGTGTCATCAGGAACACATGAGTCACTATAATCTCTTTTATTTTTTTGTCCTGGAAAGCATCAAAATTCTAAGCTACTCAAAATGTATTGCATTTTAATGATGGTTCCTATTTACCCTAAATGTACGAATCCAATTAAGTCAATATTTGTAGAATCAGAACAATTTGCTTCAATGTGTTTTTCACTTTTATTTATTCACTGAAGACACTGGTAATTTTACACTATAAAAAGTGAAATAAAAACATACACAAAATTATACTTGCTATATCCTTCAGTAAAGATGAGATGACTAAAACCCAGATAGATTTGTTGATAGGAATTATTCAAGATCATCCAGCTAGTTGAAGAGCATCACTTAGAATTCTGGTGACCCCTTTTTAGGACAAAGCTGTTCCTAAATAATTCTAAAGATGTGCCAGTAACTTGCTAAGAACATTGAAGTACAAGTTTTTGTGTAGATATATGTTTTCCTTTTTCTTGGGTCCACACTTAAGAGCTTCCTGGATCATGTGGTAACTCTATGTTTAACCACTTGAATTGCAGACTGTTTTCCAAACCTGCTGCACCATTTTTCATTTCCACCAGCAGTGCAAAGATTCTATTTTATTGCCAACCTATGCAATGAGAAGAAAAACCTCTGAGTGAGGAGGTATTTAGAAGAACTAGAATATATCCAGATGTAAGAAAATAAATCCAAGGTAGCTTAGAGATGCCCATTAAATAGTTTTTAAATTTTTCCTAGTCTTCCCAAACCTGGTTACATGTTTTTACTACCTGGTGGATGGCACTCACTCGCAATGGTGTTTAGAGTTGGGAATGGACTCAGGAAGTGGAAAAGTTCCTTCAGACAAGGAAGAACTGGTTCAAGACACAAACTAAGGAGTGCTAATCGGAATGAAAGACGGGGATCTGAGGAAAGTGAAGTGAAAATTTCCTTTAGGAAGGAGGTAACATTTAAGCAGAATGCCTTGTTCTTTAGGTAGTGTGTCTGTCCTTAGGATCTTGTGTTCTGGACTAGTGCCTGACATAAAAGGACTGAGCACTGACATCTCTTTCTCTCACTAATTAACTTTTTGTGTCAGTTGTTGTAATTCCTTATATAGAGTAGAATGATCTCGAAAGGTTAGATGTTTTATTTAAAAAAAATTAATAAATGACCACCGTGAGTGAATCCTAAACAAGATAGAATGGGAATAAACTGAAAGAACAAAATATAAACGTATATGTCATATTTGCTTTTTGTTATGCCTATATAAATCTATAATTTTAAATTTTGAAGTCAAGGAAAATACTGGTTATTAAATTTTATCATCTATTAAACCAGTATGATGGTAAAACTTGTTATTGCCCTTCAATTATGATTCCTAATTTTGCATGAGTAATATTGTCGTTGTTATAGTCAGATTATTACAATTAAATTGCGTTGCATTATATGCCTTATATTTGAGGAATTTTTCCTATGGAATGACTTTGCATTTATCAACACATTTTTAACTTAGGTAGATTAACTTATAGGTTTTGTTGATTTTTATCCTCACCAACATTCTTTTACAATCACAAACCACAGCTTCCTCTTCTTGAGCAACCGACTTTACTTCATCTCTTTATCAGCTGTAATACATTTTTCAAGGGTTTCTAGTTTCATAAATCCTTATGCATATCATAATTTACTTGTTTCAAATTAAAAATTTTCTTCATATTTTATTTCCCTAGTTCAATAGAAAATGCATGCAGTATAATTTCTTTTATAAAAACTTTGCACATTTTCAAATATAATTACATTGATTACTGGGAGTTCATTTTGCAGGCCAGGACTCTGAAGCAAGCCTGACATTTATCTTTGAAAAAAATAACCCTTACATTCTTTGAATTTGTATTTTATTATGAAATATATGTGTTTTCTCATTTTATAAATGTTTGAATACAATTGTGTGACTCCATTGAATTTACACTCATTAGTAGTTAACAGACATGGAAATTTTATTTCAGATTACATTTCTTCTTACTGGTTCTTTTCTAAGGACTCATTTCTTCCTCAGGAAAATGTTTAATTCTCAGGTTTAACTTTCTACTCTGTTTTTCTGTCTGAGCTCTCTCTTTATTATCTAATGTCATGATTCTCTCCTTTGAAAAACAAAAGTGCTACTCTAGTTTGCCTTCCATATCACTGTTTTGATCAATTGCAGTGCCAATTCTGCTATATTGTCTTGAATATTGGGTTTTGTTTTTAATGATGCAGTTTGTTTTATTTTTCTTATATTGCAGCAGAGTTTAAGGAACTATGCTTACATTTTCGATAATTACATATTTTGTGCTATTTTTCATCCTAGGTTATATATTTTTCTTTATTTTATTGATTATGCAAAACATAATGTAGAAATGTTCTGGAGTCCACAAGAGTGTTTTTTTTTTTACTTAACTTTTCTCTTTATTTTTTTTACAACATCTTCTTTTCCTCCTTTCAATTCCTCCTTCCTCCCTTTCATTTTTCTTTTTCTATTATCTTTTTTAATGGGCCTCAACTTTATTAACTGATTGCAAGGAATAATAATCAATGATGGTTAATAACACAATTATAATGTTGGTCCATAATGCACTTTTATTATTAGTCCATTATGGTTCTTATTTATTTATTCATATTTTTAGCACTCACTAATTCATTCATTAATATTAGTAATATAATAAATTCATGTTACTATCCTGCAAAACAACCACTTAAGATATCAACATATCCAGTTTGAGGTTCTCCACAATCTCTTAAACATATTATTTCCCACCACCATCAAGTTAATCAAAATTTTCAATTCAATATTCTTTATCAATGTAGTTTATTTCTTCTACATGTATTCCTTTAAAAAGCTGTTTATTTCTTTTAAACATTATAAAAAGGATGTCATACTAGTGAAGTCTAATTTATTAATTTCTTTCTTTATGCTAGATATTTTGTTTATTTTCTCTAAGAATTTTTTTTTATCTCTAGGGTCATGAAATATGCTTCTATACCCTTTTGTAGAGGATTTACTCTTGGGCCTTTCATATTTATATTTACAATTTATTGATGATTAATATTTGTATATGGAATAGAATTAAGATTCATTTTCATATAATACAGATACTGAATTGATCCAGTATGATTAATTTATTTTACTTCTACTACTTTGAAGTAGCACTTTTATTGTAAATCAAATGACTACGCATGGGTGGAGCAGTTTCTGGATTCTCAAACTGATTGAACTGGCTAATTTGTTTGACACTTCACTGATACCATATATTTTAATTCCTGTAACTTACAGGCTTTGGTATTGTGTAGTATTAGTCCTCCAACATTTTTTATCTTAGCAAGACTGTCTTGGTTACTTTTTGCATTTTGAATGTTCATATATATTTAAGTAATGTCTTTTCAATTGCAACAATAATTCTCTGAGATTTTTTATTGTGAATGTTTTCAACAAATTTAGGGAGAATATACACTATTAAGTCTCCCAATTCATGAGCATGGTGCAACCTTCCATTTATTGGAGTTTTCTTTATTTTTATCCAACTGCATTTTGTACATTTCTGTTTGGTTTTGTTGAACATATTTTATGTGACTTTTTATTTGGGCATATTGTTAAAGAAAAATTGCCAAAGTAATATAAGAACTCCAATGTATACGTTACCCAAATTCATTTAGTAACCATAGATGACTTTCTACTTCCAAATTCTTTCTATATTTATGAGTTGGCATCTAGTTACTACTGATTCAGAACAAATCACCCAAAACTTAATGACACATTACAATTGACATCATTATACTATTATCTTTGTAGTTGTTAGGTGTTTCCTGGGCTGACCAAGATTTCTGCTTGGGATTTCTTACATGGATGTAGTCAGATAGCAGCTGGGGATGGAGTCATATAAAAGGTGGCCAATTCAGGCTATAGGATGAGTCCTCAGCTGAGGCTGTGAATCTCTACATGCTCCTGCTTGGCTTCTTGTACACTTCCTCGAAGAGTACCAGACAGATGTTTTATAACCTCTTATGACTTACTATAGCCTCAGAAGACACATAGTGTTACTTCTATCACAATTATAGGTTCACTAAGATTCCAAAGGGGGAAAAGTATGCTAATATGTCCAATAGGGAAATTATCAACATCACACTATTAGAGGAACTAATAAGATGGAAGATCTTGTGACTATCTTGGAGTATCCAGTTGGCAACTCTCTACGCTTGTTTAAATCAATCTACATTTTTACTGTATGCAACATATACTAATTTTCATCTGCAACATCTACAAGTATTTCCCATGATGGTGGTAAGTTAAAGTTCAAGATCTCCTCATCTAGATCAGACTCTGTGCAGTTGAGCCTCTTTGCCCATAGTTCCTAAATAGCACCTGTCCCCCTATCCCACTCAAGACTTGTGAACAATGATGAGACAGGACTAGGATGCACATACTTGACAGACAATGCTGTAGATACTCCCTTTCAGGAAGAAGGCACTCAGCAGTCAAAATTCCACAGAGCATAAAGCCACAGCTTCCTTTCAGGGCTTCCTGCTTCAAATGTCTGTGTTTTTTAAATTTTTTTTCCCTCAAACTGTACTTTTCTTTTTTATTTTTTTGCCTTGGAAATAATGTAATTATTATTTAAAACTCAGTGAAATCATGAGGATACAGTCAGGCAAACCCTAAATGTGGGAAATCCTATAGGATAAATTATTTCTTTCTTTTTTGTTTTTTAAGTGTGTAATTCTTTTTTTTATTATACTTTAAGATTTGGGGTACATGTGCACAACGTGCAGGTTTGTTACATATGTATACATGTGCCATGTTGGTGTGCTGCACTCATTAACTTGCCGTTTAGCATTAGGTATATCTCCTAATGCTATCCCTCCCCCCTCCTCCCACCCCACAACAGGCCCCGGTGTGTGATGTTCCCCTTCTTGTGTCCATGTGTTCTCATTGTTCAATTCCCACCTATGAGTGAGAACATGCAGTGTTTGGTTTTTTGTCCTTGTGATAGTTTGCTGAGAATGATAGTTTCCAGCTTCATCCATGTCCCTACAAAGGACATGAACTCATCCTTTTTTATGGCTGCACAGTATTCCATGGTGTATATGTGCCACATTTTCTTAATCCAGTCTATCATTGTTGGACATTTGGGTTGGTTCCAAGTCTTTGCTATTGTGAATAGTGCCACAATAAACATACGTGTGTATGCGTCTTTATAGCAGCATGATTTATATTCCTTTGGGTATATACCCAGTAATGGGATGGCAGGGTCAAATGGTATTTCTAGTTCTAGATCCCTGAGGAATCACCACACTGATTTCCACAATTGTTGAATTAGTTTACAGTCCCACCAACAGTGTAAAAGTGTTTCTATTTCTCCACATCCTCTCCAGCACCTGTTGTCTCCTGACTTTTTAATGATTGTCATTCTAACTGGTGTGAGATGCTGTCTCATTGTGGTTTTGATTTGCATTTCTCTGATGGCCAGTGATGATGAGCATTTTTTCATGTGTCTGTTGGCTGCATAAATGTCTTCTTTTGAGGTGTGTCTGTTCATATCCTTTGCCCACTTTTTGATGGGGTTGTTTGTTTTTTTCTTTTAAATTTGTTTGAGTTCATTGTAGATTCTGGATATTAGCCCTTTGTCAGATGAGTAGGTTGCAAAAATTTTCTCCCATTCTGTATGTTGCCTGTTCACTCTGATGGTAGTTTCTTTTGCTGTGCAGAAGCTCCTTAGTTTAATTAGATCCCATTTCTCAATTTTGGCTTTTGTTGCCATTGCTTTTGGTGTTTTAGACATGAAGTCCTTGCCCATGCCTATGTCCTGAATGGTATTGCCTAGGTTTTCTTCTAGGGTTTTCATGGTTTTAGGTCTAACATTTAAGTCTTTAATCCATCTTGAATTAATTTTTGTATAAGGTGTAAGAAAGGGATCCAGTTTCAGCTTTCTACATATGGCTAGCCAGTTTTCCCAGCACCATTTATTAAATAGGGAATCCTTTCCCCATTTGTTTTTGTCAGGTTTGTCAAAGATCTGATGGTTGTAGATATGTGGCACTATTTCTGAGGTCTCTGTTCTGTTCCATTGGTTTGTATCTCTGTTTTGGTACCAGTACCATGCTGTTTTGGTTATTGTAGCCTTGTAGTATAGTTTGAAGTCAGGTAGTGTGATGCCTCCAGCGTTGTTCTTTTGGCTTAGGATTGACTTGGCAATGCGGGCTCTTTTTTGGTTCCATATGAACTTTAAAGTAGTTTTTTCTAATTCTGTGAAGAAAGTCAATGGTAGCTTGATGGGGATGACATTGAATCTATAAATTACCTTGGGCAGTATGGCCATTTTCACAATATTGATTCTTCCTACCCATGAGCATGGAATGTTCTTCCATTTGTTTGTATCCTCTTTTATTTCATTGAGCAGTGGTTTGTAGTTCTCCTTGAAGAGGTCCTTCACATCTCTTGTAAGCTGGATTCCTAGGTATTTTATTCTCTTTGTAGCAATTGTGAATGGGAGTTCACTCAAACTGTACTTTTTATCCCTTCAAGCAACTTCATCAAATCAAACAACAAATAATGAGTTTTTAGCAGTGTCTTCTATGTTGATCAAAACTCTCATTATCCTTTGAGGCAGTTTAATGTAAACTTTCTTCATTAATTCTTTGTGTTTTCACTTTATTATGAATTTTTTTTCTTGAATTTACACTGTAAGGCATGGATTTTTTATTTTCAGTTATAGTCGGTATGGCTTTTGTATAAAATTCTCCACATTCTTCTTTTACTTTGCTTCCCTCAACTCTAAATCCCCAAATTCTGTTAGTATGGTAACTGACCTCATAATCTTGATCCATTTTGTATGGAACATTCCCAGGTTAGGTTCATACCAAGAAAATGACTCTGTATTCAAGCCACTTGAATTAATAGCTGTATCAGTGATTATTATTTATGATGACCATGGTCTTATAAGGTTCATATAACATGCTTGTGGTCACTTGCATTAGTCATCATCAGAACAAGACCAGCTGCAGCTGAGGACTGAGGAAATGTTGTGGTGATTTGGAGTATTATTAAGCGAGGGGTTCCACATAGTCCCTCTACAGACTGAAGACACTGGGGAAGGAGCATCCGTGTGTGTGTGACAGCTGTGAAATAATCTGTTCTGGAACAAGAAGCTCCAAAATATCACAGCCTGGGATGACTTTGTGTGCTTTCCATAGAGCATTTGGCTACATATCAAAGCCGTTATTAGTGGGCTGTTCCCTGGCTCAGGGCAGGTGTCTGCCTCAGCCATGTACATAATGGACATAAGGAGCTCAACTCTTCTGTCTCCTGCTGCCTGATCCCAGATGAGGAAAAGGATTATGAGGAGGTGCCACATGATGGTGAAATTTGCTTTCTTCTCATTGTAAGTTGAATCTTTAGTACCTTTTTTGGTCTGTGACATTTGATTTCTCATGGAGCACTCACAGTGTTGAGTAACATGATAAGCTCATAGAGTGGGATGTGTTTAACCTCACTGACATTTGTGCTTATGTGATTTTTTCAAAAAAATTCAGATGTCAATGAGAATATTGTGCCGCCTCAGTTTTATTTATTTTTATTTTTTTAACTTTTGTTTTAGGTTCAGGGATATATGTGAAGTTTTGTTACATAACTGAACTTGTGCCATGGGGGTTCCTTGTACAGATTACTTTGTCACCCAGGTATTATTCCCAGTGCCCAATAGTTATCTTTTCTGCTCCTTTCCTTTCTTCCACCCTCCACCCTCAGGTAGACCCCAGTGTGTATTGTTCCCTTATTTGTGTTCATGAGTTCTCAATTTTCAAGTTCTGGACAAAGGTTGAGGGAAGCAAGCCACTATCCAGAACCCTAGTGTCTCTGCATGGTTGAGTGACCACGAGTCTGAGGTAGATTTTGCTCCCACAATCAGCAGCCTGAAGCCTGAAGATGCAGGGTACTGTTACTGTCAACAACATCAAATCTTGCCTCTCTCATGTGACGAAACTGAGCAAAGGCAGTGCAATGATCCAGCAGTGTTATCTTGTTCAAGTTACTCATACATAATTGATGAAATCAGGTAGAAAGCTCAGTGAAAGAGATTTTGAAATATTAGTTTCTGTGATAACAGAACACACAGATTGTAATCACATATCATTGGTTGGAATTTTGTCTCTTACACTTAATATATGTGTAAATTTGGCAAATGACTTAAACACTTTTACCTTGTTTTTTTATCTCTAATAAAGGAAAATAAAGAAGTAACTATACCATAAGACTATTATAATAATTAAGTAATTGAATACTTATAAAATGTTTATAACTTTCAAATGTATTAAACACTAAATAATTACTAATAATCATTATAATTTTGCTACATCTCTTAATTATGTAGATCCAGTGTTTCCCCAAATACTGTTTTCTTTGACGTTATTTACAAAATTATGATTTTTCCCCTAAAACTCCCACTATGTTAAATAGCAGATAAATTTATTTCATGCCAAGCTGCTAAAAACAGATATAAAAAGCTGGACAAAATATAAAAAGCTGATACTCTAAGGTACCATGTACCTTCGAATAAGTGCTATGTAATAAGCATCTGACTCCATTTTTGATGTTTGATCAGTGACAGCTTTCAATCACCACCTCCCACTTTCCCTTCCACCACATATTTGTGCAACTGCCTGCAGGACAGTCAAACCTCATAGATCCTCAGCAATGCAAGATAGCATATCTCCAGTCCAACTATAAAAACTCAGCCCTCTGTGTAACTCGAGCCAGCTTATACCAGCTTGTGCATATCCTGCTTTCCCCCAGATTCCCTTGTGTGAGTTAGAAAATTTCTCCCAAATTCTCTTGTACATGGAGTGTCAACAGCTTCACCATAATATCTACTAATTAGAAAAGATCCATCTCACCTCCGTGGGTGACCACAAAATATGCCAAGAGAGCAAGTATTTGATGAATCAAGAAAATAAGGTAAGCTTTTATGAACTGAATATTTGTGTCCCCTCAAAATTCACCAGTTGAAGCCCTAACTCCATGTGCGAGTATATTTGGAGGTAGCTCTAAGAAACTAACAGTCAAATGAGGCCATAAGGTTGAGATTCTGATCTGATTCAATTAGTGTCTTTATTAAAAAAAAAAAAAAAAAGGAGAGATTGGGCTCGGTGGCTCATTTCTGCAATCCCAGTACTTTGGGAGGTGGAGGCAGGTGGATCACGAGGTCAAGAGATTGAGACCATCCTGGCCAACATGGTGAAACCCCGTCTCTACTAAAAATAGAAAAATTAGCTGGGTATGGTGGCACACGCCTGTAGTTCCAGCTACTCAGGAGGCTGAGGCAGGAGAATCACTTGAACCCAGGAGGCAGAGGTTGCAGTGAGCCAAGATTGCACCACTGCACTCCAGCCTGGTGACAGAGCGAAACTCCATCTCAAAAAAAGAAAAAAAAAAAAGAGACCAAATCTATTAGGCCATTCTTGCAGTGCTACAAAGAAATACTGAGACTGGTGATTTATAAAGAAAAGAGTTTTACTCAGCTCACATTTCTGCAGGCTTTGTAGGAAGCATGATGCTGGCATCTGCTCAGCTTCTGGGAAGGCCTCAGGAAGCTTACAGTTATGATGGAAGGCTAAGGGGTAGTAGGCCCATCACAAGGCCAGAGAAAGAGCAGAAGAGAGAGAAGGAGTTGCCATATGCTTTTAAATAAGCAGATCTCATGAGAACTCGCTATCATGAGAACAGCACCAAGAAGATGGTGCTAAACTGTTCATGAGAAATCTATCTCCATGATCCAGTCACCTCCCATCAGGCCTGACTTGCAATACTGGGGATTACAATTCCACATGATATTTGAGCAGTAACAAATATGCAAACAACATCCTTTTACCCCTGGGCTCTCTCAAATCTCATGTCCTTTTCACATTTCAAAATACAATAATTCCTTTTCCATATCTGCCCAAAGTCTTACCTTATTGTAATTTTAACACAAAAGTCCCAAGTCCAAGTTTAAAGCCACATCTGATACTCATATTCTTCCACTGATAAGTCTCTGAAATCAAAACAAGTTATCTACTTTCACAACAATCAAAAGACAAAATCCCATTGATTAGTCACAGCAGGAATTAAAAACTTAGAAAAATATCTATTTTGAGAAATAAGTACCATGTTGATATAGCCACATATTCTTCAACTTAGTCCCTAGGATTTCAGATTCTTGGAAATCATGTCTCAACTGTGTGCATCCTAGTATGGCACCAATAGCATCTCAACCTCCCACTTTAGAAGTAGCTCAATCAATTCTAAACTTTTTCATTTAGTTTCTGAAATATTCTAAGTGATGCGTAGGACTATATATTTGTCCAAATTACTCAGGAACATCCATCCACTGGTGGGTACCACTATGTTTTAATAGACACCAGTCCTCTCTTCCTTCCTTCACGTCATCAACATTCCAGTGTTGAATGGCCATGATGGAAATATTTGACATTTAAGAGTGAGCATAATTTATTTAATCAGTATTCTCTATTGGAGAGCAGGCTTTAAGTAGAACTGAATTCTGAAAAAAATAAATAAGTAAAAAGAGAATCAGATAGTGTCTGAGTTCTTTCATGCAACTATAACAAACTCACAGACTGGGAAATTTATAAACAATAAATATTTATTTCTCACAGTTCTGGAGTT
Source organism: Homo sapiens (assembly GCF_000001405.40). Lineage (NCBI taxonomy): Eukaryota > Metazoa > Chordata > Mammalia > Primates > Hominidae > Homo > Homo sapiens. The sequence continues at coordinate 90,003,172 of NC_000002.12, forward strand.
CAGAACTCTAGGATCAAGATGCTAACAGATTCAGTGTCGGTGAAGCTGTCTGGTGGAGCCAGAAAAGGCAAAGGAGACAAATTGAATCTTGCATCTGCACATGGCAACAGAGATGGAAGGGCCAGGCAGCTCTCTGAAATCTTCTATATAAGGCCATTAATCCCATTTATTAAGGGCAGAGCCCATGACTTAATCACTTCCCAAGGGGTTCTACCTTTTAATATCAACTTAGGCTTTAAATTCCAACATTAAGTTTGGAACATCACAAACATCTAAACCATAGCAGATGGGACTAGACAATTCCTAACAAAGTCAGCACATAACCATATAGGAGGAGTGACAAAAGCAGCTGCCTTGGTTACCTTTGACCAAGACTTTCTTACAAAAAGGGTTCCTTAGCAATATTCATTTATCAACACCAGTGATGACATGTTGATACTGTGTAACTCTTGATAGGATGTACTGAAGACACATCCCTGCTGTAATATTCTTGCCAAAAATGAAAAATCTGACTTTAATCAATAGAAAATACCAAACAATAGAACTTAAGGGACATTCTGAAAAATAACCAGCCAGCATAAATCAAAAGTTTCAAGGTATTTCAAAACAAAGACTAAAAAGCTGTCAGAGATTGAAGGAAATTAAGAAAGCATGAAAACTGAATGCAATATGGGATCCAGAAATTTTATCCTAAAACATTAAAAGTAAAAATGGTAAATACATGTATCAGTGGAAAGCTCAGTGAAATTCAAATGTAGATTGTAACTTCGTTAATAATAGTGGATTAACCATTAATGTTAAAGCTATTTGAAGTACTAGAAAAATCAGTTTAAAATGATTTTATATTCAGCAAAACTATCCTTAAAGAAAAGAAAAGAAGCCGTGACTAGCATATATGTCCTATAAGAAACTCAGGAAGAAATCCTTCAGAATTCAGAATCACAGTAAATGACAATGAACAGTAATTTAAATCCATGAAATTAAATGAAAGCTTCATAAATATACTTACCTCAACTCATATGTTGTTGATGTTCACGAAAACTGAATCTTTGTGATAGATATCAGAGTTGCAGTTCCCTTGGTAGGTTAGAGGCAGAAGCTATTGACTAGAAAGGTGAATGAAGGCAGCATGTGGAGAATTTCAAATCATTCATATTTGTATCTGGGTAGTGAATGTGAGTACTTTATTTGGTTGAGCAGTGAACATGTTTGCACTTTACTCAGGGCACAATTTATTTTGATTTATAAAATTAACAGCAAACCAAGACCCTTTCAACACACATGAAGAAAAAAATAAGAAGCACCAAATATTTACAGAAACTCAGCCGTATTAAAGAGAAGTGTAACAAGCACTGGGAAAATACTAGGAAGTAAAAAAATTGACAGTAAACACAGTAAACATAGAAATATATCCTGTCCCAATCAGGCTGCATAGATTGTTATTTCTGCCAGTTTTTTCTCAAGCATACAAAATATGTTGTTCATAGGAAAGGCCCCCATACCCCTGCACATATCATGTTATTTCTATACCACTGCACCCACCAGGGGATTTGCATATTGTCCCCCAGGGAGGACCTTCCCTTGCAAGTCTGAGATAAAAGCTCAGCACCAACCTTGACTTGACTAATTAGGACTCCTCAGGTCACCTTCTCACAATGAGGCTCCTTGCTCAGCTTCTGGGGCTGCTAATGCTCTGGGTCCCTGGTGAGGACAGAAGAGAGATGAGGGAGGAGAATGGGGTGGGAGGGTGAACTCTGGGGGCCCCATTGCCTCCCATGTGTGTTCTGTCCTCATGTTAGATGTGTACGTCTTGTACTCCAGGATGGGGCTTGTAACTTTTATATCTGCGTGAGTAAGGCATGTGAGGTTTAGATCTGTAAGAATGAGGAAGATTCCAGAAGGAACAAAGACCAGTGCTCCGGTGAAGACTCTAACAGAGAAAGAGGGAATGGTAGAGGAAACTTCTAGCACTCAAAGCACTCTGCTGTGCTTTGAAAATATGTTTTTATTTTGAAATTATATATTACTAGGGTCTGAATCAAATTATAAAAATTGATTTAGCCTGAAATAAATAACAGAAGAAAAATTATTTTAAAATTGTGCTTAAAGTTTCTACATAACCTTGCACTTCTCTCTCATTATTTCAGGATCCAGTGGGGATATTGTGATGACCCAGACTCCACTCTCCTCGCCTGTCACCCTTGGACAGCCGGCCTCCATCTCCTTCAGGTCTAGTCAAAGCCTCGTACACAGTGATGGAAACACCTACTTGAGTTGGCTTCAGCAGAGGCCAGGCCAGCCTCCAAGACTCCTAATTTATAAGGTTTCTAACCGGTTCTCTGGGGTCCCAGACAGATTCAGTGGCAGTGGGGCAGGGACAGATTTCACACTGAAAATCAGCAGGGTGGAAGCTGAGGATGTCGGGGTTTATTACTGCACGCAAGCTACACAATTTCCTCACACAGTGGTACAGCCCTGAACAAAAACCTCCCGCTGGAGTGGCCCAGCTGCTCAAGTGTGTTGTTTCTCTGGGGAGCAGTTGAACAGAATCTCTATCTGTATGAGATAAACATGTTGGAGAACTCAGGGCAACAGGTTGCATCTGAGGGTTCTGTCCCATGGGTGCCTCAGTTGTACGTCAGGCAAAACCTGTTCACAGCCCTGTCAGCTGCAACAGCCTTGGCATGGCATAAGCCATAGGAAACCAGAGGTGATCCCAGTGCCTGCACAGGTAATAGACTGCCCTGAGGGAGAGCTTAAGAAAATCCTATTCCAATCTTCCCTGCCTTGCCTGCATTGGGAAATAAGACTTAAAGAGGTAAATAACCAGACAAGTAACCCAGATTTGTTGCAACACTTGAATATATCTTGAGGTTTAGCAATTTAAAGTCTATATTTAGGAGGATAATATGTGGTAATATCCCAAAATTGAACTTTTCAACTTTCCTAACTTCTTATTTTTCTCTTTCACCACCTATCTTCCCACCACATATTGATGGTGGAAAGAGCCTTCCGCACAAGCTGTCATCATGAGGAGCTGGATGAGGGCAATTAGTGAAAATCTTGGATTTCAGCCTCAGAATGGACTTTTGTAAATTGGTGAGAGATAGAAAATATGAATGCTAAAATTATTTTATTCGCTTCAATTGTGTCTTGCTGACAGAAAAGGATAGTTTTTGAAATTTCAGAAGTTGAGTTTCATAAACAGAAACTTAAACTAGAAGACATAGGTTATAGAATTTACCTCATAGAACACTGAAATAACACAGAATGATGTGCGATTTCTTTCCCCAAAATGTAAGAGTTTGAAGACAGTGGGCCGACTTCAAGAATGGGAGAATTAATGGAAGATAGTGGAGGTCAACTATGGCCCAATAACCTGCTCTTTGACTTACATTAGGTACAGTTGTGGATGACAGTGACTGTTGGGGGTTGGTGATATAAACTCAGAAAGGAGCCCAAATGTCTTTCTTATGAAGAATCACAGAGGAGAAAGTATCACTCCCTGGCTCCATGGGTTGAGCCTGCACCACTGCAAGTTTCAAGGAAAAGTAGTTCATCAAGAATGATCTTTTAGTTCTGCAATCATCAAATGTTTATTGAAGTTCCTGTGCAAATAGACCTGAGGTTCTGTGACTTAGTCACAGTCAAACTAAAACAACCCAGCAGATGCCATGTGGTTGGGTTTGAGAACACAAATCATGCAGTGGCATGCTAACCTGAAGTCCCAATAGAGTCTACATCAATTGGGGAGCAGTGGCAATGATGACCAATATATCCATGATTCAGACATGTATTATGAATGGTCTGCGCAGAATTTATCAACAACAAAAACTCCATGAATCCTCTGTATGGGGAGTTTCTGTCTTTCTAGACCAGCACCCAAAGACTGCACATGTCATCAAACCACAGCCAATGTTCCATGGAGAACACTATCTGTGAGTTGAGGCTGCATTGTGCAACCAAAGAGGCACAGCCAGATTCTCCTTTCACAGATGAGTTTCTCTGCCTGTGCCAAAGCAGAACTTGGGTCCAAATGCCAACCTGGCAAATATGGCAGGAGAACAAAAAGTCAGGTAAGCATCAGCTCAATTAGAGAGGATTTCCTCACCCTGGAATTTTAGATTACCTAGGCCTTATTCTGTCCACTGTTCTCTGATGTTATAATTTCATAAATTTTGTATTTTTTGTACCTTTTGCAGCAGTTGCTTTAGGGCTTTTAACCACAATGTTATTGTACCTGGGAGTGGAGATAACTTTTTCAACTAAATAATGTTTTAGAAATGACAATTTTGGTATTCAATTGTCATGAAAAGAATAAATGGTTTTCAATATATAAGTACATGCATCGTTTTCACACAATGTAGTCATTACATGAAAATGAACCTCATTCCTACCTTCTAGTAGTAATTGTATAGAAAATATATAGCTTGCATAGATGACACTTAAAATAATGCCCTAAAAGTATTTCTAAACTAATCATGACATGATATGATCAAAGTAAAGGGGCATTTGAATCAGCAGGACAACATACTCTTTTCCTTGTTAAGGAAGTAAACCATATTAGAAATGACTGTATATTCCAAGATAATGCATTCTGTGGTGAGGGAAGTTAAAATCCAATTTTTGAGGAGAGAAATCCAGAAAAAAATGGATTATGGCAAGACGTTTGTAACATAGGCAAAGAATGACAATCCTTCAAAGTATTTTTCTGCACATATTCAAAAGTGGAGACACACATGCAGTCAAAATTTTAATGATTACATACTCACAATCACTTCTGTGGGGCCTGGAGATACTGCACATACGACTGTTAGCAAGACACTCACTGGGACGCTGCGTTGTGTGATGGCCCCACATACAAACCTCAAGGAGGCTCAGCCTCTCAATGCAGCAGGAGCAGCTGGGGTACCCAGGCCACACGTCCATACCAGGTGGGCTCAGTTAGAGATGGCTGGAGAGCCTTCCAGGAAGAGGCCATGAGGTTTCAGTCACAAACACTGGCTCCTCTTCTGTGTAAACAGGGGCTAGAGCCCTCCAGGACAATTCCTAGAGCCTCTCCCTTTCTCTCCAATTAGTGCGCTGACACCCTACAGACTCTCCAGGAAGTGGTTGTCATGTCCTCCCTGCAACAGCCACTAAAGTTCCCTACTGCTGTCATGAATGCAGGGACACTTAGTCACATCACTGGGAGGCGACCCTAGTGTATCCTGACCTCACCTGCTGCCACTGATGACTTTCAGGGCACCTCTTTCTCCCTTTGCTGAGTGACTCTCACTCTCACCAACCATCAGGAGAATGGAAAGCTGCCTGCAATGCATGATGTTGGCTGTTGAGCAAATCAAAGCTCACAGGAGTCTCAAACATGTACACCACATAATAATATTTTCTGATAATACTATTTGGACTTTTCTTCCTTTCAATTCTGGAAGTAATTGAGAATATTTTTTGAACTCTTAGAAACACTTAGTATATATGTGTAGTAGGTAGTAACTAGTTTTGTCTACTGGTTTATTTTGTTTGCTTGTTTCAGGCCATGATGCGGCATGTTAAAATACTGAAGACAAAGATACATTTTAGAATTAAGCATACTGTACATTGGCTCTTTCCACACCACTGCAACCACCAGGGGATGTGCATATTGTCCCTTAGGAATGACCTTCCCTTGTGAGTCTGGGAGTAAAGCTCAGCTGTAACCTTGCCTTAACTGATCAGGACTCCTCAGTTCACCTTCTCACAGTGAGGTTCCCTGCTCAGCTCCTGGGGCTGCTAATGCTTTGGGTTCCTGGTAAGGACAGAGGAGATGAGGGAGGAGAATGGGGTGGGAGGGTGAGCTCTGGGGGCCCCACTGTCACCCATGTGTGTTCCGTCCACATGTTAGATGCACGTGTCTTGTGCTCCAGGATAAAATGTATGGTGGCACTTTTATATGTGAAAGAGTGAGGAAGATTCCAGAAAAAGCAAAGACCTGTGCTCTGGTGCAGATTCTGACATAGAAAGAGGAGGGTAGCATAAGTGACTTCCATAGGGCAACTTGGGCCTTCAAAATGTCTGTTTTTTTTTTTAATTGAATTTTTTTGGTGCATGAATCAAAATTACACACACACTCACACACACACACACACACACACACGCCGCAATACAATTATTTAGCATTAAATAATTGTAGAGAAATTATGATAATGTCTCATGATTTACATAACATTGTACTTCTTTTTTATATTACTTTAGGATCCTGTGGGAATATTGTGATGACCCAGACTCCACTCTCTCTGCCCGTCACCAATGGAGAGCCGGCCTCCATCTCCTGCAGGTCTAGTCAGAACCTTTTACATGGTAATGGATACACCTATTTGTATTAGTTCCTGCAGAAGCCAGGCCACTCTCCACAGCTCCTGATCTGTAGGACTTCCAATCAGTTTTCTGCCTTCCCACACAGGTTCTCCCCAATGGGAGGAGAGAGTAGACCAGTCATCCCCAGATATATCACAGGACTAGTTTCAACCTTTGGAAGCTGGTCTATATCCTATGGTTAAATAGGCATTTGTGATACGACCTGAAATACATTTGGACAAGAACTTCACTAACAATTGAGTCACTGAAGACTTATGGCCCTGTGTGACGCACCACATAACCGTGAGTTTGCAGTGGTTGCAGGTCAGGGACAGATTTTATGCTTAAGATCAGTAGGGTGGAGGCTGAGGATCTTGGCTATTACAACTGCCACCACACTCTACAATATCCTCCCACAATGGTTCAGCACCAAACAAAAGCCTCCTGCTTGGATTGTCCCAGCTGCCCAAATTAGTTCCTTCACTGAGGAGTAGACAGGGTATATTCTCTAAATCTATGTAACAGGAAGATGTTGGTGAACTCAGGGGATTAGTATGAAGCTACACCTCAGGCATCACACATAAGATCACTTCAGCAGTCGCAGCCTTAGCATGGGCAGAACCTACAGAAGATGCAAGTGCCCTCTGAGCCAGGAGACAGGAGGAAGGAGGAAGGGAAAGGTGACTTAGCTCATCTCAATCCTCTCTCCTTTGCATACATTTGTCAACCAGATGTATTCAGCCTACCAGTCACACAACTGAGGCTGATACATGACAACATAGCACTGGTATATTCTTGGTATTGTTTGGCTTAGCAGTTACTAGTATATATTTAATGGGAGAATATTTGGTGGTGTTAACACATTGCTTATCTCCCTTACCCCAGTTGTACTTTACACTTGTTCTCGGCACACATTCTCCTCCAGGACTGGAGCATTCACAGGGTTTTATGTTACTGTTCTTATGGGAGTAAAAAGAAAAACGATTCACATTCTTGCTACTGAGCTAGGCTGGGATGTCCTGGGCCAAGCTGAAAATGTGAAAAATAAGAGTATGAATATTTATTAAGTTTTATCTGGATCTAAGATACTTATCCATGAACCAGTCCTGCAGCTGTGCCCAGCCTGCTCCATTCCCTGCTGATTTGCATGTTCCCAGAGCACAACCCCCTGTTCTGAAGACTTCTTAATAGGCTGGTCACACCCTGTGCAGGAGTCAGTCTCAGTCAGGACACAGCATGGACATGAGGGTCCCCACTCAGCTCCAGGGGCTCCTGCTGCTCCGGCTCCCAGGTAAGGATGGAGAACACTAGGAATTTACTCAGCCAATGTGCTCAGTACAGCCTGGCCTTTCAGGGAAATCATCTTACAAATAGTTGTGTGGATTATTTGTTTTTATGTCCCAGGAGTCAGATGTGATTTCCAGATGACTCAGTCTCCATCCTCCCTGACTGCATCTGTAGGAGAGAGAGTCACCATCACTTGCTGGGCGAGTCAGGGCATTTGCAATTATTTAAGCTAGTATCAGTAGAAACTAGAGAATCCTCCTAAGCTCCTGATCTATGCTGCATCCAGTTTGCAATCTGGGGTCCCGTCACGGTTCAGTGGCAGTAGGTCTGGGACACATTTCACACATTCTCACCATCAGGAGCCTGCAACCTGAAGATGTTATAACTTATTACTGTCTATAGACTTACAGCAGCCATCCTAGAGTGTTACAGGTCATAAAATAAACCCCCAGGGAAGCAGAAGTATGACTCATGGCTGCCCCAGGTGCTTCCACTGGTGCCTCCATCTGCTGAGAGTGTTTCTCAGGTGCAGCCAAGATTTAAAGGTTTTTGTAGGAATGGTCAGAAGTCTCATCTGCATTCTAATTCTTTTTCTTCCTGCTTAGCCCCAGCAGCACAGACATGACACTATCTCTCCTGATTTAATAAAGGATAGCATTTACGATACCTGAAGAATCTGTGTTATTGCATCCATCTGGGTCATAGATTAAAAGAGAAACCACTCTACAGATTGCCAGAAGGCATTGTTTTAATACAGGGAATTAGAGTTGAATATACAAAACTGGGAGTGTGGTAGTTAGGGAAGCTGACACTAGAAACACGGGAGTCTCTGGAGGTCTGCCAGAAGCCAGAGTTCATCAGCCGCTAAAGGCATGGGCTATCTAACCATATAGTCTTCTTTGTCTAGGAAGTCCGTATGCGAAGATGCTGATGCTATCAGTTGTTGCAGCACCTCACCAGGTGATTCTCCAGTCCTTATCTCAGTGAACATGTTTGCCTACCGGTGTCAAAGAATATTGAATCGCCTTCTTCTTACCTTCAAATATGATGAGAGGTCTTCTCTTTGAGTAACTCTACAAGAAACCATAGAGGGTTTAATGGGTTTCAGGAAAGGTGCTTTTAGAAATCATGGTGAATATGAGGAATTACAGCCAAGTGGGATAAGTATTTCCCAAAATCTCAGAATTTTCCAGGTATGGGGTGGCTTCAGAATACATTTGGATGTTCTTACATGTATTATTAGAAAGTTTGGTATTATTGCAAGAAAATTTTATTAAGTCGTAAAGTAAAAGAAAAAAATGACAACATTGCTTGAAATACATAGCAATCCTTTGACAAATGAAAAAAAAATTGACAAAACAAACAAGAACACCTATAGGTGCATGTAGCATACTTTTTCCTTAATATAAGAGCACTTTGCTACTTAAAATTTGTCCAGATTCCAGTGGCATTCTCAGCGTCACTATGAACACAGTACAAATGCAAAGTAGCAGATGTGCTTTAGACCTTGTTGCATGATAACCTGCACTTCAACTAGTTAAGAGGTAACGTACGGGTGTTTCAAGAAGCCAAGTTTTAGAAGACATTTACTTTAGCTAAAGATTTTTTTTTCCCCCACAGTGAGACCATTTATGTTAAAACCACTTAAAAATATATGCTGCTTTATTTCTAATTAATGCAAAATTACATTCAAAAATATTTTTAATATTCTAAAAGTTGAAAAACAATTATTTTTTATCAATGGATCAAATACTTTGATAGTTAAATGCAGTAAACGTTTTTAGAAACTTTAGGACTTAACAAAGTAAAAGAATAAATTAAATTGTGTTCACTGTTTTAGAGAACATTAGGATACCATTTGCCTGGTCAGTTTTGTTTGAAAATTGTGTTCCTTTTTGCTGCCTTCCATACAAATGTTGTGTCTTGGCTAGGCCCTTCCTTGATCCCAAATGAAACACAATCTAAAGGCAGAAGAACCACTCCACTAAGCTCTTCCTTGATCAGCCACATCATTGTTATCATAAACATCTATTAACAAGAAAATATCTGCTTAGTTTTATTATCCGCTGAGTTTTGAGCAGTGGATAAGTGCATGTTTCCGTAAGTGCACTTTTTCCATAAGTGAGGTGAATTTCACTTAATTCATATCATTTAGCTTTAATTTCCTCTAAGTGTCTTTATAAATGGATGACTAAATATTTATATTTATGCTATCAGATTTGATAACATGCATCTATCTATATGACTGGATGTGTGAATATTATATTGGTCAGCTTTCACCCAGGTGGTCATGTCAGAAAAGGCTGTTAGTTTAGCCTGAGTGTAGAATTTCTATCTTAGATCACATATATCATGTGTCTTCCTGTCTTATATCCCTGTGTCTTCCTGTCTCACCAATTATCTAGATTCAGTGAATGGTGTGTGGTACAAGACTTGTAGGAACTAAATTAAGTTGTGTGGTCCCATTTCTTTTGTTTCTACCCTAAATATGCCTAGTTGTTTTCCCTGGTGCATGACAGAATATGGTTGGAATGAAGAGTTATTGGAACTTTATCTCCCAAGTACACCTTTCACTTGCTGCTTAGGGATCTTTTCTGAGGGCCCTGAAGCTTCCTCAAAGAGCAACACTCAAGTACCCACAGTGCTGCAGGTGCAGGGGTGACCACAACTGCACAGATGAGAAGCACCCAGGTTCTGACCCTTCAGGTTACCAATGCCATTTCCCTGAAGACAGACAATCATGCTGTCCATGCAGGTAACAGACAATGATGCTGTCCATATAGGCAGGGGACAACTCCTTGGGTGATCCTCTAATCTACACACCGCTTGATTCTGTGCAATGCTTATATCAATCCAGAGTCAGGTTCTCTTCTCCTTAATAGTTCCCAGAACCTCTGCTTACACCCCCTGAATCTCATTTCATATACTGCTGCTCCTTTCCTTTAATCAGTTAAAATCGTTTGCTTTTTCTTCCTTTCTCTTAGGTATCAAGGAAGCAGTTTTACTAATGCTGCTCTAAGTTTCAATTGGATCTTCATTCATTCTGGAAATAGAGTCAACAATATTTATCTAACTGTCAAGACGTTATCTTGGCAAGCCCTGAAATCAAATCCATTGTGTTGGAGACAGAGCTTTAATCCTTATAGATTATGTGCCATTAGTAAATTTGCTTATGTGAAACTTTGGCAATAATAGAATCTACCTAAAAGGTCTCTTTACAATTTATACAAGGTAAAGCATTTACAATAGTATCTAATCATTATATGTGCTGGTATTAATTTTGTTGTTACTATTATGATAACATTTAGCACTGTAATAATCATTATTATCATCACTAGACTAATTTAGAAGAGAGTTAGGAGAAACAATCTTAATTCTAATCCAAGGATGTTTCATCTATAGCCACATTAGTTTCTGAGATGGGATTTTCACTGACTGACTCACAATTCTTAAAATGCTAATGATTTGTTCTTGATCTATACTAACTTGCTCAGACTTTCAATCATGCCCACCCAGATGGGTCCATTGCATTTCTTCTCATCATTCATTATCATAACTTTATCCTATGAAAGGTTAGAATGTCATATTGCTGTCCTTTCTTACATAATCTTTATTCTGTCTTTTTAACCTTTTCTCATTTTTTCTACTACATCTGCCATAACTCAAAAACCAAATCTCAGGTTTTTCCCAGGATTGGCATGCTTCTGTGCTAAAGATGTTGTTCATTCTCTTACTTTCTGGATTTCTACGGGACAAATTATTTCAAACTCAGGCCTTTCTAATACCTCAGAGGTATAGGGCATAAAAGAGAAAGAAAAAGCATATGTATGAGTGTGATTTGACAAATTGAAAAGTCACTTCACCTTTTTGTGAAGTCATCTATTCTTTCTTGCAAGGGTTTTCAAGTTGTGCCTATATTTTTAAACACGTATGACTTCTTCAAACACTTTTCTTCTCTAAATCTTTTCCTCCAAAAGCCCCAGTCAGATTAACTGTATCCAGTAAAGTATGGTTGACCCTTCTCTGATATCCTCTCTATATATACCCAAAAGTTTCCATTCTCTTCTAACATTTTTGTTTCATTACCATCCAAAGACAAAATTCTATTAAATTTTCAGATAATAACTTAAAAATTTGGAGAAGTACATATTTCTAGAAATAACTGTCATGCATATGTAGCCACATGTTCTTTAACTGAGGGACCAGAACCTCTTATTTCCACAAAGAGTGTCTGAACTGTGTGCATACTAAAATGGTACAAATGGTATCTCAGTCTCCTCAGCAGAAGTAGCTCAGGGCAAGCTGTTCCTATCCATTTGATTCTTGCAGTATTCCAAGTGCTAGAAAATTATGTTTTTCCAAACAGTTGATTCAGTAACTGCTGTTCATTTGTTGGTACCACTACATTTTAATAAATCTCATTCCTCTGGGTTTTTTTTCAGGCTATTAACATTTAAATGGTAAATGGCCATCATAGTAACATTTGCCATTTAAAAGCCAACTCATTTATTTGTTCAATATTCTCTATTGTACAGTAAGTGTGAAGAGGGTTAAAGCCTAAGAAACATAAAAAAAAATAGTTTCAGACAGGAATAGGTTATTTCTCAGAAAGTCAGCAAATAACCAAATACAAAGAGTGATAGAAGCAGCTGGCTTAATTAGCTTTGTCCAAGACCTCCTTTCAGAAACCAGAATCTTTGGGACACAGCAAAAGCAGTGTTTAAAGGGAAATTTATAGCACTAAATGCTCACGGGAGAAAGCAGGAAACATCTAAAATCGACACCCTTACATCACAATTAAAATAACTGGAGAAGCAAGAGCAAACAAATTCAAAAGCTAGCAGAAGACAAGAAATAACTAAGATCAGAGCAGAACTGAAGGAGATAGAGACACGAAAAACTCTTCAAAAAAAATCAATGAATCCAGGAGCTGTTTTTTTTGAAAAGAGCAACAAAATAGATAAACCACTAGCCAGACTAATAAAGAAGAAAAGAGAGAAGAATGAAATAAACACATAAAAAATGATAAAGGAGGTATCACCACTGATCCCACAGAAATACAAACTACCATCAGAGAATACTATAAACACCTCTAAACAAATAAACTAGAAAATCTAGAATAAATGGATAAATTCCTCGACACATACACCCTCCCAAGTCTAAACCAGGAAAAATTTGAATCCCTGAGTAGACCAACAACAAAGTCTGAAATTGAGGCAGTAATTAATAGCCTACCAACCAAAAAAAAGTCCAGGGCCAGATGGATTCACAGCCGAATTCTACCGGTAGAAAAAGAAGCTGGTACCATTCCTTCTGAAAATATTCCACACAATAGAAAAAGAAAGAATACTCCCTAACTTGTTTTATGAGGCCAGCATCACCCTGATAACAAAACCTGGCAAAGACACACACAAAAAAGAAAATTTCAGGCCAATATTCATGATAAACATTGATGCAAAAATCCTCTATAAAATACTGGCAAACCGAATCCAGCAGCACATCAAAAAGCTTATCCACCCATGATCAAGTTGGCTTCATCCCTGGGATGCAAGGCTGGCTTAACATATGCAAATCAATAAATGTAATCCATCACACAAACAGAACCAATGACAAAAACCACATGATTATCTCAATAGATGCAGAAAGGGTCTTTGATAAAATTCAATACCTCTTCATGCTAAAAACTCTCAATAATCTAGGTATTGATGGAATGTATCTCAAAATAATAAGAGCTATTCATGACAAACCCACGGCCAAGATCATATTGAATGGGCAAAACTGGACATATTCTTGTCAAATACCGGCACAAGACAAGGATGCCCTCTCTCACCACTCCTATTCAATATAGTATTGGAAGTTCTGGGAAGGGCAATCAGGCAAGAGAAGGAAATAAAGCATATTCAAATAGGAAGAGAGGAAGTCAAATTGTCTCTTTTTGCAGATTACATGATTGTATACTTAGAAAACCCCATGGTCTCAGCCCCAAATCTCCTTAAGCTGATAAGCAACTTCAGCAAAGTCTCAGGATACAAGATCAATGTGCAAAAATCACAAGCATTCCTATATATCAATAATAGACAAACAGAGAGCCAAATCATGCATGAACTCCCATTCACAATTGCTACAAAGAGAATAAAAAACTTAGGAATACAGCTTACAAGGGATGTGAAGGATCTCTTCAAGGAGAACTACAAACCACTGCTCAAGGAAATAAGAGAGGACAGAAACAAATGGAAAAACATTCCATGCTCATGGATAAGAAGAATCAATATCGTGAAAATGGCCATACTGCACAAGGTAATTTATAGATTCAATGCCACCCCCATCAAGCTACCATTGACTTTCTTCACAGAATTAGAAAAAACTACTTTAAATTTCATATGGAACTAAAAAAGAGCCCACATAGCCAAGACAATCTAGACAGAAAGAACAAAGCTGGAGGCATCACGCTACCTGACTTCAAACTATATTACAAGGCTACAGTAACCAAAACAGCATGGTACTGGTACCAAAACAGATATATAGACAAATGGAACAGAACAGAGGCCTCAGACAGATGCTGGAGAGGATGTGGAGAAATAGGAATGCTTTTACACTGTTGGTGGGAGTGTAAATTAGTCCAACCATTGTGGAAGACAGTGTGGCGATTCCTCAAGGATCTAGAACCGGAAATACCATTTGACCCAGCAATCCCATTACTAGGTATATAGCCAAAGGATTATAAATCATTCTACTATAAAGATGCATGCACACATATGTTTATTGCGGCACTGTTTACAATAGCAATGACTTGGAACCAACCCAAATGCCCATCAATGAGAGACTGGATAAAGAAAATGTGGCACATATACACCATGGAATACTATGCAGCCATAAAAAGGATGAGTTTATGTCTTTTGTAGGGACATGGATGAAGCTGGAAGCCATCATTCTCAGCAAACTAACACAAGAACGCAGAACCAAACACCGCGTGTTCTCATTCATAAGTGGGAGTTGATCAGTGAGAACAAATGGACACAGGGAGGAGAATGTTATACCCCAGGGCCTGTTGGGGGGTGGGGGGCTAGGGGAACAGTAGCATTGGGAGAAATACCTAATGTAGATGACAAGTTGATGTGTGTAGCAAACCACCATGGCATGTGTACACCTATGTAACAAACCTGCACGTTCTGCCCATGTATCCCAGAACTTAAAGTATAATAAAACATTTTTTTTAAAAAAAGGGTTTTATTGTTCATATTAATTGATCACCATTAATAGGATATGTTGACATTTTGTAATTCTTGCTGTGCACTGAGGTTGCACCCCATTTTTTTTGTTTTTGTTTTTTTGCTAAAAATAAAAGGTATGAATCTAATCAGTAGAAGACTTCAAACAAATGCAACTTAAGAGATTCTCCAAAATAACTTGCCAGTACACTTCAAAGGTTTCAAAATCATGAAAGACAAAACTAAAAAACTGTCACAATTTGGGAAATATTAAGGACACAATAATTAAATGCAGTGTGGGATTTTGGATTTTTTTTCTGGAACATAAAGAAGGAGATTACTGAAAAAATCAGTGAAATACGAGGGGATTTCAAATTACTTAATTAATAGCATTGCATTTATGTTAATGTTTTGGTATTGATACTTACCCTATAGTTACGCTTGATGTTGACATTACAGAAGAAGCTAGTGGAAGAGTACATGAGAACAATCTTATTATATTATGCAAATTTTAAGTCTAAAAACATTTCAATGTTATTAAAATATATAAATAAAAATAATTAAAACATAACAAAGGACATGGATTCTTATGAAACAATTTCACAAGATTCATCATGTTTTCATATTTGTGTTTCAATCATCTGTTAAAGACAATCCTGGCTCCCATTATGTAGAGAATATTCACTTACTTGGTCAATTCTAGAATATGCATAAGGCATATTTTACAGATTTGTAGTGCATTCCCTGAAAATGTGAAATCTAGTGATTAGAGTTACATATATATTTTTATTTTATTTTATTTTATTTTATTTTATTTTATTTTATTTTATTATTTTATTTTATTTATTTTATTTTACTTTACTTTGACAGAGTCTCACTCTGTTGCCCAGGCTGGAGTGCAGTGGTGCGATCTCGGCTCACTGCAGCCTCCGCCTCCCAGGTTCAGGCGATTTTCCTATCTCAGCCCCCTGAGTAGCTGGGACTACAGGTGTGCGTCACCAAGCCTGGCTAATTTTTTGTATTTTTAGTAGAGATGGGGTTTCACCATGTTGGCCAGGCTGGTCTCAAACTCCTGACCTCAGGTGATCTGCCCACCTCAACCTCCCAAAGTGCTGGCATTACAGTCATGAGCCACCGTCCCCAGCCAAGAGTTAATATTTGTTAAGTGCACGATTTCTCTTCAAACCGTGGGTATTGAGTTCAAATTCTTTACTTCAGAATTACTTATGTTTTAACATATATCTATATCCTTTCAGTGTTGCTGTCATATTCATTAAAATTCATTTTAGAAGGCATCTCTCTTTATTGTGTTACAGAGAGATTGTTAAATCCTCTCAGCAAAAATATATGAGAAAGACAAATTAAGCATAAAGCTAAAAAATATCAAATCGGTTTCAGCGCTCTGAAAATTGGCAAAGTATAAAACATTTAATACTGTATACTATTCATAACATGAAAGAATATGTTTTGAGTAAGGAAGGAAATTATGTCTGTAGCCTTTTGCCTGGGATTTCTCCCTTCCATCTCCGCTCTGTCAGCATGAATTGCAGATCTGGGGTTTTAATGAGGATGTCAGCTTGCAGCTTGCAGTCGAAGGGAGTGGACTTGAGTTGAGGTGGAGAGTCAAGCAAGATCCTTCAGTGTTTCCAGCTAAATGTGATGAATTCTGCAGGAAATGAACAGAGCAAGCTAGTTCAAACTGAGGGCTCTAGCTGGGGCAAGTGGTACACCAGCTGAAAGTTACTAGTGGACTCCTGGAAGTGATGGAATGATAGAATTGCTAAAATAATGTCTGCACAGATTTCTGGTGACTTAAAAGCTGCCGTTATGAATAACAGGGATCAAAGGGGGTGCAGTGAAAAGTAAAACAGAGGGAGATAAGAACTGGCTACATTTTGTATACACTTTTCAGAACACACACAGATGAATAGGTTTATGAGTTTCACACATTTGGGAAAAACCCATTGCTATGATCTTCTTTTCCAGGACCTTAGCCAGCCAGCTATTCAGAAATCTATATGTATACTTGACTCCAGACACTTCTCTATCTACACTAATTTGATGAACATGTGCTCTGCTCAGATGTAAGATAACTCAAGGTAGTATTTGACAGCCATGCATGACCGTTGCCATAGTGTGGACACAGTCCACACTTACTTACACAAACATATGATGCCAAGCCATTCAAGAGGAAGCCCAGCTTGTTCTCATTTTTGCTTTGATTTTCTTTGTTTTTGCTTATTTTCTTTTTTTTCTTTTTCTTTTTTTGTATTATCTCTCTGGCATTAGCTGATCAGGAAAACCCATGATATCATAGAGAGAGCTGATGCAGAGGTGTTAAGTTGAGAGAGAAAAGTGATATAAGGAACTGGAACATCTGTGATGGAAATGAAGCATGCCTTCTGAATCTGCTTGAACCCAGTCACTAAACTACCATCTGCATCCCAATATTGAATGGTGCTGAGCTTCACCTGATCTTAAAATTGGTGAGAGTGACATTCTCAGTTTATGAGGGGCAGCTTAGTCACTTAATTATTTAGTCAAACAGTCAACTACTCATGGACATGCCTACATGGACCCTGTGATATTTTGAGAGCTGCATTTTGAGTAGTGAGTTGTTTGTGTGTTGTTTGTTTGTTTATTTTGGGGGCATTTCAGGATCTTGCTCAAGAACTGTAGAGATTTTTTTCTGTGACTCTTTTTTGGTGCTTGCATGGAGGTTTACAGAGTTTCCTCATCTAATATAGATTATCTAGCACCAGGCAATGTGCTGGATCTCATGGCTGAAGTGACAGAGGCATTTGCATTAAAACTCAAACTTACTACAGAATATTTTCTTTCTCAGAGTTTATTCATAAAAGACAGCCTTCCAAGTTAGCTGATAAATGGGATGGTATAGTAAACCCAAGTGCAAAATGCATTGTCAACACTCTAGGATGGCTTAACCAGTAATGTGCTTCATTGCTAGTGGTTGGAAGTACAAGGTGCAATTATTTTTCCTTACTTTGGAGGGGATAAGCCAGCATGACTCATACCCCTTTTATAAACACTTGACATCTTCTCTAATGTGACAAGCCCTTGATGTTTTGGGGCGTGCATCCCACCCTCTAGAGCACATGTGTTTTCACAAGAAATTCAGAGTTCTTACAATGTCCAGCTCATCACGTCTAATTACCATGATGTCATCAATATAGTGTTGATGCTTTGTGGAACGTTCACAAAGCTTTTTCAGCCTACATTGTGACAGAGAGCAGGAGAGTTAACATAGCCCTGGGACGAGACTGAGGATGTGAGCTGTTATTCACCCCAGATAACTGCAGACTCTCCCAGAGATGGCGATGGACTCTGCCTTCACTCTGCAGCTGTGCCCTGGGGTCTGGTCAAGCCCTGCCAGAGCCTCAGCGGAGCTCGTCTGCAGGTGCCAGCAGAGGGCGCTTCACACCCCTCATGGAAGGGGCCGGGAGGGCGCTCTCCTGGCAACAGTGATTTCTGTTTATTTAAACCAGCAGGACATCCCCATAATTTGCATGTATCGTTCCTCCTATATGTGAAGAGGCCCTGCCTCTCGGTATCTTAAAAGAGGTTCTTTCTCTGGGATGTGGCATGAGCAAAACTGACAAGTCAAGGCAGGAAGATGTCGCCATCACAACTCATTGGGTTTCTGCTGCTCTGGGTTCCAGGTGAGAATATTTCCACAAACCTAGGCGGAGATATTCTTTCAATCTGTAATTTCTTTCATTGGGGACTCTGCAATAGGTGATTTTTGGCTTGATTTTAAAATCCTAATTTTAAAAATGTAATGCATATTCTTTCTTCATGTCTAGCAAGATTAAAGGTGATTTTCATACACAGATATTTATGTTGTACTGATGTTTGCTGTATATTTTCAGCCTCCAGGGGTGAAATTGTGCTGACTCAGTCTCCAGACTTTCAGTCTGTGACTCCAAAGGAGAAAGTCACCATCACCTGCCGGGCCAGTCAGAGCATTGGTAGTAGCTTACACTGGTACCAGCAGAAACCAGATCAGTCTCCAAAGCTCCTCATCAAGTATGCTTCCCAGTCCATCTCAGGGGTCCCCTCGAGGTTCAGTGGCAGTGGATCTGGGACAGATTTCACCCTCACCATCAATAGCCTGGAAGCTGAAGATGCTGCAGCGTATTACTGTCATCAGAGTAGTAGTTTACCTCACACTGTGTTACAACCCAGAACAAAAACTAGTTCAGCCTGGCTGAACGGAGAAACTGGGTGATACCCTAGAATACTTCTGATTGTTGCAGGTGCTTTGGGGGCAATGAGTTAACCAATACAATGAAGTCTGGCTCACCCAGCAGAGAGGAAACTAGAGTCACTGCTGCATACTTTCATCTTTTTAAAAATGATTTATTTCAATAGTTTTTGGGGGTATAGGTGGTTTTTATTTACATGGATAAGTTCTTTAGTGGTGATGTCTGAGATTTTGGTGGACCTGTTACTTGAGCAGTGCATACTGTGCCCAATATGTTGTCTTCTAGCCTTCACCTCCCCTTCTATCCTTCCTCCCCAGTCCCCAAAGTCCATTATATCATTCTTACGCCTTTGCATCCTCATAGCTTAGCTCCCACTTACAGATGAAAACATATAGGTTTTCCATTCCTGAGTTACTTCATTTAGAATAATAGCCTCCAGCTTCATCCATGTTGCTGCAAAGGTCATTATTTTGTTCTGTTCTGTTTTATGGCTGAGAAGTATTTCGTGGTGTATATACACCACATTTTCTTTATCCACCCGTTGCTTGATTGGCACTTATGGTGGTTCCATATTTTTGAAATGGAGAAATGTGCTGGACTAAACATGCATGTGCATGTTTCTTTTTCCTATACTAACTTTTTTTTTCTTTGGGTAGATAAGAAAAATAAGTACTGGAATTGCTGAACTGAATGGTATTTCTACTTTTAGTTCTTTAAGGAATCTCCATACTGTTTTTCATAGTGGTTGTATTAGTTTACATTCCCACCAGCTGTGTAAAAGTGTTCCCTCTTCACCACATCCATGCCAATATCTATTATTTTTTGACATTTTAATTATGGCCATTCTTGCATGAGTAAGGTGGTATTTCAAGGCTATGGTTACCAAAACAGCATGGTTCTAGTATAAAAATAGGCACATAGATCAATGGAACACAATAGAGAACACAGAAATAAACCCAAATGCTTATAACCAACTGATCTTCAACAAAGCATACAATAACAAACAGTGGGGAAAGGACACCCTATTCAATAATTGGTACTGGAAAAACTGGCAAGCCACAGGTAGAAGAATAAAACTGGATCTTCATATCTCACCTTATACGAAAATCAGCTCAAGATGAATCAAAGGCTTAAATCTAAGAACTGAAACCATATAAATTCTAGAAGATAACATTGGAAAAACTCCTCTAGACCTTGGCTTAGTGAAAGAATTCATGACTAAGACCCCAAAAGGAAATGCCACAAAAACAAAAAATAAATAAATGGAACCTAACTAAGCTAAAAAGCTTCTACATAGCAAACAGACAACCCACAAAGTGGGAGAAAATATTCACAAACTGTGCATCTGTTGAAGGAATAACCAGAATCTATGAGGAACTCAAACAAATCAGTAAGAAAAAAACAAATAATCCCACCAAAAAGTGGGCAAAGAATATGAACAGACAATTCTCAAAAGAAGATATACAAACCGCCAACAAATACATAGAAAAATGCTCCACATCACTAATTATCAGGAAAATGCAAATTAAGACCATAATGACATACTTTCGTCTTTACCCATATTTACTTTCAAACTACATGGACAGTTGTTGAAGGTCACCTCTCCCTTTTCTTTCCATAAACTATCTTTTACAAGTTGGTAAAAACTTTAGATTTCTCTTCAGAGCTACAGTTTCTCATTTATAGCAAAAGAGTTTAAAAGGGTAAAGATTAGGAAACAAGCAGGTGATGGCCTAGAGCTATAGTGACAGAAGATCCCATGGATTGAGGTTTCAGTTATTGTGGGTTCACGGGTGTGACAAATTAATTCTATTTCCAAAGCAGCCCCCTGAAGCATGATGTTTGTTAAGTCAGATTAACGTTAAGGTTCACTTTCACCAGTGCGGCATTCAACTGAGAATTCAGGAAATGCTGAATATTTGGGTTGCGATTTCTGAAAACTGGTCCACGGAAAATGTAACTATAGACATTTCTCTTGGGATTTTGAAAAGGAGACTTTTCCAAAAAGAACATTTACCTGGAATAAAAAACCAGAAGGATCCAGAGCCCTTTGTTGCCAGTCTAGGGAGCAGGACAAGATTCCAGGCCCAAGGAAGTTGAAATTAAGAATCCTCGATTCCCTAATAAGAATAACTTCACCAAAAGTTGAGTGTACCAAGGCACTAACATGTCAGAGAAAATAGTCTGGGAGCTCAGATGAGGTGGAAAACTCAATGGGCATTTTATGTTATATCTTGCCCTGACATATGAAATACAGGGGGGCAACCCTCCACCCTGAGAGTAAATATTCTTTTCTGTGTATCAGAGGTATTGTTTATGTCCTCTTTCATCCACCTCCAAAATCCAAACTGCAGTTTGAATTTTCTTTTTTTAAAAAAAAAATTTCACCATTCTTGATTATAGGACCAGTATCCTGCTCCTAGAATTTTTTAATACCAAGAGCAACTCAGCTTATTTGTTTTACTTTGTTTCCTGTGCACATTAAGTCACTCATTCAAAAATAATTTTTGGCATACAATGTAGTCATTGAGAAAACAGACATATCAGATTTGGTGATATTTTTGTGAGTGACTTTCACCGTATTTGGTCACAAAAAGTTATATCGGTTTTCAATACATTTTTTATCACATATATTTTACACCAAAGTGCAATGATCTACTACAAGAAATTGTATTTCTACATTATGGTATCAGGCAGACAGTCACCAGTTCTTTCACAGGGTAGTTTCAAGTTGCAGACCCTCATGTAGAGAAACTCAAATTGTGTGCCATGATTGGTTAAACCCAAATGGCAAGAAAAGGTGAGGAAGAGGTAACATTTTGTGAGATACTTTTGTTTGAATGTCTGTGAGCTGTTTGTATGTGTTTAGAAACATGCTGTTTCCAACCCGTATTCCACTCATGCTATGACTATTCCCAAAGCTTCCCCATCAGGACTTTCCTCTTGCATCAAAACCCATGGAAAAAGGAATTACTCATAGTCATGTCTGGTCCTGATATTGGATGCTTGCCTGAGGTCACTCATCACACCCTCCCCCACCTTCCAGGGACAGACACCCTGACCCTCTCCATCAAGCCCCTCCCACTGTGAGGGCCTTTCTTCTGCCTACTGGACATCTTACATGAAAATCGAGTTTATCTAATTTCAAGATGATGCTTGTTACTCCTATATATGTGTTTCTTTCATGTCCAGTGGATCTTTTTCAACTATAAAAGTAGTTAATTGTCTTTAGCTGAGGGGAAGCCATGATATCTTCTTCAATAAAAAATAAACATATTTTTGCATTTAATGGATTTTAACATAATATCGGAGTTTTCAGGAACAATTCAAAGCCATCATGTGAGGGTTAGGAGCATTTGAGTAAATAAGACAATTTTTGATCCCAAGTACTGATATTCAGTAGGGAAATGAGCCATTCAGAGAACAATACCTACACAGTGAAAGTGAAAAGAATCATTTCAATAGCTGATAAATTGTATAAAATTCAGGCAGTGGCATGTGGTATCTGGAGGCCGAGACCATTTATTTGTGCGGACCAGGGAAGGTCTCGGGGTCATACTGGAGATGCTTCTGAACGGTGAGGAGGCAGCCAAGTGACCATAGGAACAGCAAAGACCATAGGATCATCACGAGAAGGGCAGGGACTGGGAGATTTCAGGTAAACCATTGTGCATTGAAAAAGCCAACCAGTACCATAATAATAAGATGTCTTCTGTGATTTTATTCCTTTAAGGAGAAAATTTATACTAATATCTTTCATCAAACACCTTGACCTGGGTCACACCCATAACATGAAATGTTCCCTGGCTCAGAAGCTGGAAGTTCAGTTTTGCATCCCTGTTGTAAGTCTGCAGGCTCCACAAAGCCCCTCCCTGCCACTCAAGCCCTTATCAGTGGGTTGGTTGCTGCCTTTAGGGTGGGATCACCTGAGGCAGAGGAAGCACTGGACCTGGGGCTCTGGCCCTTGGGTCCTGGCATCAGCTATGGGAGCTCCATGTGACAGGGTTCTTATGTCCCGTGCTGAGATACAGACCATCGCTCAGCAAGCCCAGCATTCATCTCCCGCTTGATCAGCCAACACGAGTCTCTGGGAGGCCTGTAGAGTGAGACATCATTAACACTGGGGAAGAGTTGTGTTTTGTTTCCACCTCAGATTCCAGTGGCAACATTGTGGGCCCCAGATTCCAGCTTCTCCCTCAGTATCTCCAAGACAGAGAGAGAGTTTCCATCACCAGCCTAGAAGCAGATGAATCCAGGGAAGGTTTCAAAGATCCACCCATGTGCTTTGTCTACATTGGCCATGGTCCACCCCTGCTTGGCACGGTGGTCCTGGGGCAGACACTTCCTTAACTTTCAGCAGCTCGGGTACCCTGATGACATTGCTGATTATTATTGTCTGAAACTGTATCCTCTCACCTGGTAAACACTTGCAGTGCCCAGCCACAAATAATGTGAATTAGAATTAAAAATTAAAAACATGTTTTCTCAGTTACACTAGCTACATTTCAAGTGTTCAGTAGCCACATATGACTAATGGCTACCCTATTGTACAGCATAAATGTAGACATTTTTATTGTCTTAGAAAATTATTTTGCTTAAAACCGCTCTAAATGTTGACAAGTGTTCCCTCATTGTGTTATAGCTCAGAGCATAAATCTCACCAGCCGTTAGTCTGGAAAACTGGGAGTCCTCAGAAGCTCTCCAGCTGGTGCAACCACTGTGGTCCTCAGATCTGCTCTGGAAGAGTTTCCAGAATAACGGGAATGAGCCTGGGCTGACAGATCCATAAAAGAGGACCTTGGATTTCCTCTCCAGCCCCTGCCATTATGCCCGGCAGGGTCTCTCACACCCCTTTTTCTCTCTTCCAAAACTACATTTTCAGCATTTCACATGGATTTCAGAACCTAATTCCTAATCGTTTTGTGAGCAACATCTTTTCTGGATATCCCTTGTCCTCAACTTTGGGACTGGTTTATCAAGGAGAGGTGTCATTCTGTGTTCCTTATAGGATCTGGCCTACTGATGGATGTAATAGGATCTGCTTCATCATTACCCATGAAAAGACTCACCGTCAAGATTGACTGGGACTCAGCATCTAAAATCCTATAAGATGCTATGTCACCAACCAGCCATTAGATGGCAGACAAACCCCACAGTAAACACCAGAAATAAGCCTGATCTTAGAAATACTAGGAAAATCAACAGGGATATTTTAGGGCTAAAATGAGGTCTCATTTATGACCTAGATTACATGGGAGGAGCTGCCAGTGCACTGAGTTGTGGGAAACTCCCTCTGTGCTCTGTGCTCTGAGACTGGAAGCCCAGCCTTTTCCTCCCCACCGCGTTGGCTGTATCCCCAAACCCTACCTGATGTGGGCTGAATCCAGGCAGAGGGGAGGCTGCCAATGGTCCCTGGAATGGTTTCTCCCTGTTACCACACAGCCACTGGGCCATGTGTGCTACTCTGTCTCACAAAGGCCACCAGGGGAGGACCTGCCCACCCTGAGCTCTGGGGACAAAAGTCCCTCCAGTTGGGGTCTAGACCCACTGCCCATCTCCCCAGCACCTGCTGCTCTGTGATTCCCCAGACCCCCGTCAGGACAGTCAGTGTCCTTAGCAATGGGCAGGGAGGTACTGCTCAGCCCAGAATGGATGTAGGTTTGGTCCTGAGCTTCCTGACCCTCAGGCTGTGTAGTGATGAAGGGGCCATGGGGTGGTGCAACCATTGCTGGTTTTAAATGTTTGTGCTCAATTTATCAAAGTTTAAAAATCATATCTTACACTGACAATTAAAGTTATATCTATTAACATATAAGTGTGCATATTATACTTATTCCTAATATAGATGCACAGTATATCCAAATGTATAAATATAATTTATATCTAAAATATTATATGTATATTTAATATGTAAGGGTTACATTACAAATATATACCTATGCATGTAATTTTATGTTTGTTAATTACTTATATCTAAAATATTATATGTATATTTAATTTGTAAGGGTTACATTGCAAATATATACCTATGCACGTAATTTTAAGTTTGTTTATTTAGCATGTGTTCTTTTTCTTTCTAACCAGAACAGAGCCTGGCTGAGTAAAGACTCTGGGGACATTTGCTGTTCCTCCTTCTTTGACTCCAGCAGGGCCCCAGCCATGCAGAATCAGTGAGGACAGAGCTGAGAGCAGCCAGCTCCAGGAGCTCAGGCCCAGCCCTAAGGGTCGTGTATCTGAGACTTTCACACTGGCAGTGGACTCTATGCTTGGTGCAGCGCCCATAGAAGTATGAGCAGTTTCCTTCCCTGAAACCCTGCCAGGCAGCTCTGTGGGCAGGACCTTTGGTTCCTCCCAAGTCCTCAGCCCCATGGCTCAAGAGAGCAGCTACTTCCTCCACAGCCCAGGGCCAGAGCCCAGCAGTCTCAAGTTGTGCAAGCTTCACCTTAGTCCTGGGTTGAGGACCCTATTCCAAATCTCTCCTCATTTATTCCCATAACTGAAAGCCTGTCCTGGTCTTAAATGCACAGGCCACATTTACGCAATTCTTAAAGCTAAAGATGTCGTATGAGAAATCAGAAATTTGATTTCATTTTCATCCTCAGAGCCTGGCTTCTTCCAGCTGTATCAGATCGAAGTGTTCATACGTTCTCCTCCCTATACAACTTAACTTAGAAGCACAGCGAAATTTAAAATGTGACAAAGCTCTTGGCAGCTATGCAGCAGTCATCCCCTTCTTCCTTTGGTGTATAGGGCACCAACTATGTCTTGCCGTACATGGTGAGGGTGGTGAGTTTCTCCCAGCTCAGGATGGGAGCAGGGATTAAGGGCACATGTGATCAGCTCCAAAATGATAATGTCAGAGGAGTGGGCAGGGATCATGGGAAAATGGTTATACCTCAGAAAAGGACAGAAAGTGAAGAGCTTTGCTTTGCATTTCTTCCTGTAACAGTTAAGAGAGGATATGATGCTTAGAGCTGCCGCAATCCTCTTGAGACCATGGGGCATTTACAACAAGAATGAAAAGCCAGTGATAATGCAGGTGCAAAGCAAAAATGTAGTAACAATCTGGGGCCTTTCAGCTGTCACCAAGCTGTTGTACCAACCTTAAGTGCTTCAACCTTCAGACTTCTTGTCATTACTTAAACCATTACTATTATTTCTTTGACTTGTTTCTAAAATTATTCCAACTTATCTATAAAAGACACTTAAGAGAAAGATCCTGGCTGGGCCACAGACTGTGCTTCAGAAGAAGAAACATATTATCAGAAGTGTGTGTGTTTGTAAGAGTCTGAGGCATGAAGGGCAGGAAACATGATAAGTGATATTCTCCCTGGCACCTTCGTCCTGCTATGCCCATGGCAAGAGAAACCCAAACAATGCCAAAGAGTTCCTCAATTCTGCTCTTTCATTATCTCCATTTCTCCTTTTATATCCTAAGCATGAAACATCCCTTTGTTCTCCTTAATTCCTCCCTTTTCCAAGGTCATGAATTGTTGTCAAGAAAGAGACAGGAACCGTTTGAAAAGATAAAACCTGGTGATACTGTGCATTTCCTCAACACCAACATGGTTCTGCAAGTTTCCTCCCTTCTCAGTGGTTTTCTTATGGGAAGTTGCTGGCTGCCTCAGCCAGGTCTCTGTCAGAGGTTGCATTTGGAGCGTTTACTAAGCAAAGCTTCCAGGTAGTTAGTGCTGGATTCCCAGGAGAGTAGCAGGATGGTGGGTCTGTATTCCCAGCATGCAGGAGGCCAGAATGAGACCTGGGGGAAGGCTGTGGGTGTGGGAAGAATGGATTTAGAACTCAGACCTGTAGCCACGGCCTTTGGAACCCAATAGTGTACACTAAACAGATGGAGCTCAGGGGAAATCTGGTTTAAAGGTGTTATAGTCATTTGTCATCTTGTTTATGTTTCTAGTGCTACACAGGAATGGATTTATGGAAGTTTTTATTGTGGAAATAATGTACATGAAACCCCATTGCCTATAGTGAGTCACATGTTAGTTGTAGAATAACTATTAAAGAATTTGATTTGAAAATGACATATGGTTAATAATATCTTCCATAGCCTCTTTTTCTAAGATACTCAAGGGTGCATTTAAAGAAAACTGGGTATATAAAATGTGCATATAATGTGTGTGTGTGTATGTTTATGGGCACACATATACACTCTTC
The DNA here is from genome assembly GCF_000001405.40 of Homo sapiens. Lineage (NCBI taxonomy): Eukaryota > Metazoa > Chordata > Mammalia > Primates > Hominidae > Homo > Homo sapiens. Next base: position 90,030,398 of record NC_000002.12, read on the forward strand.
AGGGTGCATCATTTGGTTAAACTCTCACAATACCCCATGACTTCCAAAGTGCTCCATTTCACATATGAGAGAACCAGCTATGAGAGCTCATGACTGGTTTGCCAAAAGTCACATGGTCAGCAAATGCCCAAAGTCACATGGTCAGACTTGGGATTGAAGCCCAGGTCTGTCTGGCTTTAGTATGTTCCTTCTACGTGGCCACTTTCATCCCATGGTTGAGCCCAAAGCCTATAAATAGGAAGAAGGGACCATAAAAACAGTGTGGAATCCACAGCTCCCTGCTGCCTCTGTCTCATGCCAGGCTGGCCCTAATCTTAAACTAGCCCCTTCTGTGGTTTTCTCTTCAAAATATAACCCTCTCGAAGTCTTTAAAACTTGTAAATGACTTTGCTTTATATTTTGGAGTAGGAACACATCTTGCTTTCCCCTGACCCTGTTCACATCTTCTCTTTCCCTTCCAGTCTCTCTAAGTCTTTCCTTCTCAGATTCCAATCTCTCTAAGTTTTTCCTTGTCAGGTTGTGTTCTAACTTTCCTGCCAAACATGAAAACAAACACACAAACAAACAAACCCTCCGCTTTCTATCAGGTGCTATGAGACCTGATCCCTTAACTCTCCAACACACATTGGAAAAGAGCTAATCAAAGGGTTTACTCTAGACATTTTCTACCTAAGAAGAATCCTGGTACAAGTTCTCATAGAAAATGGTTTACATCTCTTGTCAAAACTGGCACCAGATTATAACAACATGGAATGTTTGGGAGAACAGAGGACACCACACACTCAGAGATGTAAAAGACATTTTTCCCCTTGCATTAGTTTCCAATTGCTACTGGTTAAATTGCCACAATATTTCTGGCTTCTAACAAATTTATTATCTTATGGTTCTGGAGATGAGAAGTCTAACTGAGCTAATATCAAGGAGACATAGGGCTCTATTCCTTCTAGAGGCTCTAGGAGAGAGAATCTGATTCTTTCCTTTTTAATCTTCAAGATGCCTAGGCCGGGTGTAGTGGCTCACGCCTGTAACCCCAGCACTTTAGGAGGCCGAGGCGGGCGGATCATGAGGTCAGGAGATCGAGACCATCCTGGCTAACGCGGTGAAACCCCATCTCTACTAAAAATATAAAAAATTAGCCAGGCGTTGTGGTGGGCACCTGTAGTCCCAGCTACTTGGGAGGCTGAGGCAGGAGAATGGTGTAAACCCGGGAGGCGGAGCTTGCAGTGAGCCCAGATTGCGCCACTGCACTCCAGCCTGGGCGACAGAGTGAGACTCTGTCTCAAAAAAAAAAAAAAAAAAAAAAAAAAAAAAAAGATGCCTCAACATTCCTGGCTCCATGACCCATTTTTCCATCACTCCAGTATCCCTCTCCATTGTCCCAGCTCCTATCTAACTGCGACCCTCCTCCCTCCCAATTATAAGGACCTTCGTGATTATATTGATCTCATCTGGATGATCTAGGAGTTTCTCCCAAACTCAAAATCCTTAATCCTTAAGTAAGTTGCATCCACTAAGTTTTGGGATTTTTTTTTTTTTTTTTTTTTTTTTGCTACGTAAGTTAGAATTCATAGGTTCTAGGTACTAGGACATGGACGGGATGTGGGCATTCTTCATTTCGCCCACAATTAATATCTTCCCCACAATTGTCCTTCTCTAAGGTAGAATTAAAAATCAGAGGGCATATTTATGAAGCAAGAGAGCTAGAAAAAATCTTAGATTCAGGGCCCTCAAATCTTTGGGTTTTAAATGCTGGGGGACACTTATTCCACTGCCTCTAATGTGGACTTCACAATGTGTAGCTAGTTTTAGAGGCTCCTTTAATTTACTAACCCAGAAAAAATTCATTGCACAAAGACAATCTAAAATAGATTGGTAAAGGGAAATTAATTGCTTCCTGACCATTCCTGAATTAGGGTTCTCTAGAGGGAAAGGGCTAATAGGATAGATGTATAAATGAGAGGGAGTTTATTAAGGAATGTTGACTCACACAGTCACAAGGTGAAGTCCCACAATAGGCTGTCTGCAAGCTGAGGAGGAAGGAAACCAGTTTGAGTCTCAAAACCTCAAAAGTAGGGAAGCCGACAGTGCAGCCTTTAGTTTGTGGCTGAAGGCTGACAATACCCTGGCAAGCCACCAGCGTAAGTCCAAGAGTCCAAAAGCTGAAGAACTTGGAGTCTGATGTTTGAGGGCAGGAAGCATCCAGCATGGGAGAAAGATGAAGGTCAGAAGACTTAGCCAGCCTAGTCCTTCCACATTCCTCTGCCTGCTTTCTGCTTTTATCCTAGCTGCACTGGCAGCTGATTAGATGGTGCCCACCCAGATTGAGGGTGGGTCTGCCTTTCCCAGACCACTGACTCAAATGTTAATCTCCTTTGGCAACACCTTCACAGACACACCCAGGAACAATACTTTGCCTCTTTCAATCCAATCAACTTGACACTCAATATTAACCATCTCCAGTGAAGACTGATGAAGAGCCAATAAACACAGAAAAAGATGCTCCACATCACTAATTCTTAGGGCAATGAAAACAAAATCCACCTTATACCTCTTAGGATGGTTTCCCTCAACAGAAAATGAAAACTGTTCATGAGAATTTGGAGAAATTGGAAATCTTGTGGACACTGTTTTGGGGATGTAAAATGGTCACCTAGTATAAGAAACTACATTGCAATTCCTCAATAAATTAAAAATAGAAATACTATATAATTCAGCAATTCCACCGTTGGACATATATCCAAATAACTGACAACATTAACTTGAAGAAATATTTATATACCCACATTCAGAGAATTATTGTTCATAATAGCCAAAAGGTGGAATCAACTCAAATGTTCATGCAGGGAAGGGTGGATAAACAAAATGTGGCATATAAATATATATGCAATGGAATGTTATTCAACTTTCCAAAGGAAGGAAATTCTGACACAGGCTCCCACATAGATGAACAGTGAAGGCACTATGCTCAGCAAAATCAGCAAGCCACAGGACTAATGAGGTGTCATCCCACTATAGTATTTGCAGCACAGTCTCCAGTTGGCCTTGGACCAACCCAGTCTCCTCCCTTTTCTCACTCTTAGTTTTCAAGAATCACTGTAGAATATCCTGGGAATGTAACATCCTGAGATAGGGCAGTATTGGCCACCACAGCACAGGCTCTGTTCCAATCCCCTTGTGCCGAGTTCTGGCTGCATGTTCTCATGGCCCAATAACTAGAAGCAGACAAACTAAGAAAGAAGGGAATTTAACTGGATACAGGAAGAAGGTCAGAGATAATATCACCAGACCAACTCCAAGTGTTATAATTTTCCTTCCCTTCCTTCCCTCCCTTCCTTCCTTCCTTCCTTCCTTCCTTCCTTCCTTCCTTCCTTCCTTCCTTCCTTCCGTCTTTCTTTCTTTCTTTCTTTCTTTCTTTCTTTCTTTCTTTCTTTCTTTCTTTCTTTTCTTTCTTTCTTTTCTTTTCTTTCTTTCTTTCTTTCTTTCTTTCTTTCTTTCTTTCTTTCTTTCTTTCTTTCTTTCTCTCTCTCTCTTTCCTTCTCTGATGGAGTCTCACTCTGTTGCCCAGGTTGGAGTGCAGTGGCATGATCTCAGCTCACTGCAACCTCTGCCTCCCAGGTTCAAGCGATTCTCCTACCTCAGTCTCCTGAGTAGCTGGGGCTACAGGCGCCCACCACCACACCTGGCTAATTTTTGTAGTTTTAGTAGAGGCGGGGTTTCAGCATGTTGGCCAGGCTGAAAGTGTTACCATTTTCTTAGTGCTTATATAGGTTGGCATTATGTGCCTATGTGCAATATAACATTTGCCTAAGTCTATAGGCAACTAATTTTGTTTCAACTAGGTCAGAGGCCAAAGAAATGCTAAGTCCGATTAAGCTGTGAGGGTCCCAGTACCTTCAAGACCTGTCTCCTAAATTCTAATCAGTGAGGACTGTGGTACCGGAGTGATTATTTCTATCTTATCTCATTTACAGCTTGGTCCAGAGAGCTGCCTTAGACTCTCCAGTGAATCTATTCAAACAGCTGCCTCTGTTACCTTGACTCATCTCATTTTATTGACCCAAGACGGGTCCTGGCACTAGGAATGTAAGGCTGTCTCCATTATTTTGACTTGCTTGAGGTTAGGGAGAAGCCTGTGCAAGCCTCCCACTGACCTATGTTTTACTTCTAGCTTTGATGCCTGGGAACCGATTCCCCTAGGTTTAATTATTTGCTCAGTGTTAAGGCAGTGCTGTGGAAATTTGTTGGTATAACTGGACTGCTACACAGGCCTGTCTGTGTGACTGTCATGCAGACCTGTCTGTCCAATTGACAGGGAGTATTGTCCTGCCACACCCTCTTGAAACAGGATTTCCTTCAACACTTTAGCTCAGCATGATATGTGACTCCAAGATATAAAACCCAGGGTGGGTCCAATCAAGAGTGCCTCAGCTGCAGTGTATATGAAGCACAGTCTAGACCCCATTAGCCCCAGGCAGCTTTCCTGAGCCTTGGGGGAACAGACCTACAATAAATTCTTGGATTTTGCTATCCCTTGCTGCCTGTCTGTAAATTGTAAATTGCTTCACATAACTAGTTGTGTAAGGGTGTTTTATCTCCCTGGACTCAAATAAGTTGGTAATCACTGCACAGTTAACCTGCTTAACAAAATTGCCCCATTGAGAAGATTCTAGTATGACAGAACCATGGCTTATTGGTGAAGTGGGAAGAATGATACCTCCCATTACTTGGCCAGGGGAGGACCATTAGACTGGAAGGTGCAAGGCCTGGACATGCATCTGGGTGCTTTATGGGGAATGAGGGAGGATCAGTGGGTTATAGATCACTCTCTCCATGAGTTTAGATGAGCTGGCTGCCTGAATTAAGGCAGAGAGAAAGGAGTGTAGAAATGAGAATGAGGCACAAAATCCTCTGGTTCGTAGACACTTACATGATTGCTCATTCCTGGAGCCAGAGAGCTAGGGAAACGGGTACTCAAATGGACCCTAAGATCCCTGAGAGGGAACCAACATATGCTATTTGGGCTTTCACACAAAGGGAGACTCACTCTCTAAATAAGAGATACAGAAAAAGTTCAGGGAAGGCCTATGCAGACTGTTTGGTGTATTTGTTTGATAAAGCAATATTTGCAGTTCCAAATTTCTTGATCTAAATATCACAGTTAGGGATACAGCCAATGCCTTTGGGTGCTCACCAGAAACCAGTGGCCCTAGACCATGTAAAAATAAAAGGAGAAAATAAGGAAATACTTTTCTGGGTTTTTGGGTGCCAGAGCCCATAGGTCTCCATTGGGGAAAATTTAACCAATGACATTGAGAGGTTCAGGGACAAATGCAGTGGCCATGGTGCTTCTCTGCTTGTGGATGGTGCCCTGCGGGCCATGTTGGGGCTGGTGACTGTAGTTCCCACCTCAGAGTGCAGTACAGGCATTGATATTTGCACCACAGAACATCACTGCTGCATAAAAGGTATATTCCCTTGCAGCTAAGAATTCAAGCCTTAACAAAAGGGAATATCCACTGAAGCCTACCACCTAAGCTACGCATGACTCCGTGGGTTATTTGACAAAAACAGTACTGTGTACTAAGTGAAGAATAAGACATTACCTGTTTTTTTCAAGACTTGCTACAAACAGATTAAAATGTTACATAGTCCCCTGTCACCATGGAGCAACTCAGTTTGGCGGGGCAAAAAGACTTTAGGGGAACAGAGACTAACAATGGACTATTTCACGTTGAATGCTAAGGCCACTTGGACAGGAAACCAAGGAAGGATCGCGGATATAGTTAAACATTGTTGGTACTAGCAGCAACCATTAATAAAAAGGACAACAGCTGGTAGGCTTCTTTGAGTATTGGAAACAGCATAAACCTCTCTGGGGTGGGCTTTTAGTCCACTTAGTCAAAATCAAAATCACAAACAAAACCACCAACCTTGAACAGAGCCCTTTGCAACAGCAGCCTTGGAAGAAGTTCAACAGGACATGGTCCAAACACTTCTTTTAGACCTTTAGAGCCTGTTAGCCTGATGGAAGTTCAGGTGTCCACAGTCTCTATGTATGCTGACTGGAGTATGTGGCAACAGAAAATTGTCACTGAGTGAGCCAGCCTCTCAGATACTGAACACATAAACCAGCTGAAGCAGCCACCAGATGTCCCTCTTTGGCAAGGCAACTCCTTGCTTGCTATTGGAAACTGACAGGGACTGGACAGCTTGGGGCTGAGCACCAAGTGTGGCGCTGCTGGGTGAACTGCTCCTTTTCACTTGGGTGCAAAAATCCAACCAGTGAAACTGGACAGGCTCAATAGAGCTGCATTATCAAATGGAAATGGTATATTCAGAATCAGGCCCAGCCAGCAACCCGTGGGATCTGAAGGCTCCATAAACAAATGGCGAGCTTGCTAGAAGGGACTAAATGACCCATGGGGGATGGTTTGGCTCTGCTTTTGGCTACCCGAAGTCCAAGATTCAGAGACATGCCGACATCGGTATGGCATGGTTCACTTAGGGCTCTGCAAAACATGCAGACTGGGGGTGGCTACCATCTAGCCAGTGGATGACTATTTTCTTTCCTGAGACTGATGATGGTCATTCCACCCAATGGTCCAAACTACATGCAGTGGTAATGGTCATGCAGGCCTTTCTGCCACCTCTTGCTATATTTTTACCAACTCATGGGCCACTGCCAACAGTCTAGCTATCTGATCAGGAAAATAGTAACCGAGTGACTGGACTATTAAAGCATCCCCTCTGTGGAGAAAAGGACTATGGCAACAGCTTGCCACCTGTAAGAGACAAATATGTCACTCAGCTGGATGCTGGGACTACCATGACCACCCTTGAGATGAACTTATGCCATGTTTTTGGATGCCCACTGAGACTTTGCTTTGACCAAGGAAAGTTCTTTACTGCCCAAATGATGTCAATGGACACACTCTCATGGGACGTGATGGACTTTCCATACACCTTGTTATCCAAAGGCCAATGGATCTATTTAATGCTAGAACAGCTGACTCACACAGCAACTGAAGAGTGTACATCAGGACAACCTGCTAATAGAGTGGTACCCCATCTGACCACAGCAAATGGACATTAAACACTGCACTGCAGAGCAAGGGAAAGACGGCACGGAGGTGCAGGTTGAAAAACACTGAGTTGAGTGAGGAAGAAGTTGGGCAAGGCCAGTTTCCTGATAGAGCTGCCACTGTGAAATCCCAAACTCAGGGTTTCCAATCATTTTTTTCCTTTTATAGTGATGTTCTTGGGGGTGTTGCAGTTTAGGCCACCATGATAACCCAGACAGGCCTCCTAACTCTAATTGGATGGAATGATTCCCCTGGGTGCCTTCTGTGGGTTCCACAGGATCAAGAAATATCAGGGTGTTAATTTCCTTCTACTGGTACGGGGGTCATCTGATTCCTCCATTAGGGTGGATGACGTTATCAGACATGTCAAGTTTCTACAGTACTTGACCTCCCTTCTAGAACTGGACAACCGAGGGTGAAAGGACTGGGTCAAGCAACAATGGCAATGGGTGCCCAAAGAGGTAGTAGTCTCAGAACAGGGACAGACAGACTGAGTCCCTCCACTAACTCAAACCAACCCCTGTGGATGAGTAGGGGATCCCTGAGATCCTGGGGTGGATGGGAGGTGGGGCACTGATCTGTCAATCTGTTTTTTCTTCAAGGATCAGGCAGCAGAGACCCAGAAGCTTCATGTCTTTGTAAGGCTCTTCCAAGCCACCACAGATAATTTGACAAAACACTGTATCTGCATCCCAGACCTCACCCTGTCACGGACTGAAGTGGTTGTTTCATCCTACTAAGGGTAAACCATACCAGCTATACAGGATAAAAAGACTGGATAGATTAGAGGATCACCCAAGGAATAGTTCTTTGCCTGCATGGACAAAACCATCTTCTGTCTTTAGGGAAATGGTATCACTACCCTGAGGATTTGGAGCCCAGGTATCACTTATCTGTGCAGTTGTGAAAGTCCTCACACTCACAGTGCTGAGGTTAATTGAATGTTACTCTTTTAATTTCTGCAAAGAATGAGACAGCCTCTGGACCCTCAGGAAAGATTGCTAACAAGTAAATACAAGTATATCCGGAAGATAAAGTAGTAATAGACTCTTCCTTTCAACCTGATCCATCATGCATTTAGGGAACTGACTGGGCACAAGTTGGAGCAGAAAGAGAAAAATGAAACCACAGCCTTCTATTTTGTTTCTAACAGACTTGTACCAAACATTCTGTGGCTGAATCTAAGTGATGGTGAGACAAGAGGACACAGGGGTTAAATTCTGTGGCCGCAGGGGAGAAGTTCTACCCTCAGGCTGAGCCAACGGCCTTTTCTGGCCTGATCACCTGGGCATGGGCTGCTGAGTGCAGAGAGGGGAGGCAGATGGTCTCTGAAGCTGGAAGCCCAGCACCCGCCCCCCCAGCTGCTTTGCATGTCCCTCCCAGCCGCCCTGCAGTCCAGAGCCCATATCAATGCCTGGGTCAGAGCTCTGGGGAGGAACTGCTCAGTTAGGACCCAGAGGGAACCATGGAAACCCCAGCGCAGCTTCTCTTCCTCCTGCTACTCTGGCTCCCAGGTGAGGGGAACATGGGATGGTTTTGCATGTCAGTGAAAACCCTCTCAAGTCCTGTTACCTGGCAACTCTGCTGAATCAATACAATAATTAAAGCTCAATATAAAGCAATAATTCTGGCTCTTCTGGGAAGACAGTGGGTTTGATTTAGATTACATGGGTGACTTTTCTATTTTATTTCCAATCTCAGATACCACCGGAGAAATTGTGTTGACGCAGTCTCCAGCCACCCTGTCTTTGTCTCCAGGGGAAAGAGCCACCCTCTCCTGCGGGGCCAGTCAGAGTGTTAGCAGCAGCTACTTAGCCTGGTACCAGCAGAAACCTGGCCTGGCGCCCAGGCTCCTCATCTATGATGCATCCAGCAGGGCCACTGGCATCCCAGACAGGTTCAGTGGCAGTGGGTCTGGGACAGACTTCACTCTCACCATCAGCAGACTGGAGCCTGAAGATTTTGCAGTGTATTACTGTCAGCAGTATGGTAGCTCACCTCCCACAGTGATTCAGCTTGAAACAAAAACCTCTGCAAGACCTTCATTGTTTACTAGATTATACCAGCTGCTTCCTTTACAGATAGCTGCTGCAATGACAACTCAATTTTAGCATCTCTTCTCTGCTTGGGCATTTTGGGGATCTTAAAAAAGTAATCCCTTGATATATTTAGACTCTGATTCCTGCATTATTCCTCAGACCAAGATGGACAGCCAGGTTTAAAGCACAGTTTCACAGTAATGGCCACTGGATCAGATTTACGTCAGTGGATGTCAATAAAGGTCCCAACCAGAGCCATAAGGCAACAACAATAGCAACAAATAATCAAAATTGGAAAAGAAGAATTAAAGCTGTCATAATTCACTGATGAAGGATTGTGTGCAGATAAAATTCAAATTTGTCTACAGAGAAACTATTAAAATTGACATGAGAAATAGAAAATCGTTAGATTCAAGATCAATTTATTAATTCGTAGATTCAAAAATCAATTTCATTTCTGCATAATGAAAAAAATGCTAAAAATTAACATTATAAAACAAACACACCTTTTACAAAAACATCAAAGTATCAATTATTTAAAAAAAATAGACTAAATACACTGACGTCTCCAGAATATTATTTTGAAAAATAAAAGAAAACCTAAGTAAATAGAAATTCAGTTCAAAGACTGAATGTCTCAGTACTATAAAAATGTCAATTCTTCGAAGATTAAAATATTGATTACATATAAGAAAAATCAAAATCCTAAAGTATACTCCAATTTAAATTAAGAAGCTAATCTAAATATTATATGGGAATGTCAAGGATGTAGAATGGCCACAGTGAACCTGAAGAAACACCAAAATGAGAACTTACAGTGCCTGAATACCTGGAATATAGTGTGGGTGACAGTATGGTGATGGTGAGATCAGAAGATTAAAAATTTGCGAACGTGCTTATTTTTGGAAATAATTACTATGCAGATGTAGCCAAACCCTCTTCAACTGTGCCGCCAGAATCTCAGATTTCCAGAATTAGTTTCTCACAGTGTGATTCTTAACATGGCATCAATAATTCTCAGTCTCCCCAGTAAACGCAGCTCAGTGCATGGTGCAGCTATCCATTTGACTTCTACAAATATTTTAAATGGTAGAAAATTATATTTATTTATCCAACTAATTGACTCAGTAACAGCTGTTCATTTGCAGAGAGGTACTCTGTTTTAATAAATAACAAAACTAAGAAAGTTAGTGAATGACCAAGTAGGAAGAGTGATAGGAACAGCTGTCTTAGCTTTGTCAAAGGCTTCCTTCCAAAAGGGATTTCACTGGTCACTTTCATTTATCACCACCAATAATTTATTATAACTTATTGTAATGTGGTTTATTGAATATTATATGAAAGTGAAAAACAGAGTAGTTGTACCAGTACTGGAAGCACTGTTTCTACTGAATACAAATAATTTTCACACTATTGTAAAGTCAAAACATCTTAAGTGCAACCACCATGAATTAGGGACTTACTGTAAGTTCAGGGAAGTAACTATAAAGAAACTCACAAATTTTAAGAAAAATAGAATATATTCCTGATAGAGGTACAGGAATATATTGTCTAAAATATACAGTTTTCCATTAAAAAATCCTGCAAAGAAACAGAAAAGTATGATCAATATTGAGGGAACAAAACAAAACAACTGCAGCAAGAAAGCACAGTCAATGAAAGCTAATTCTGACTCGTCCTGAATATCAGCTTTAGCAAAGACTACAAAGCAATTATTATATAGATTTTTAAATAATTATTCTTAAAACTATGATCATATAGTTTTAAAGATATAAAGAGGAAAATATAAAGACAATGACTCAGCAAATGGAAACTCTTAAAAAATAGAAACTATGGAAAAGAATCAAGTGAGAATTCTAGAAACAAAAAGTACAATAACTCAACTGAAAAATATATTAGATAAGTCCAACATCAGTTTAAGATGGCAAAAGATTCAGTGAACTTAAAAATAGATGTACAGAAATTATTGAATCTAAATAAAGAAAGGAGTTTAAGAAAAAATGCGCAAGACTTGACAGAATTACAGCTCAGGTTGAAAGATACCAACAAGTGTGTAAAGCGAGTCACAAAAAAGCAGAGAGAGAGAAAGTGATCAAAAAATACTTGGAATAGTAATGACAACAGCTTTTCAAAAATAATGAACCACAAAGGTAATTTAATCTATAGATGAAAGAAACTCAATGAAACGCTTTCAGGATATAATACAAGATTAATAACAAAATACATTATACTTAAAAATGTTGAAAGACAAAGAGAAATTTGTGAATGTGTCAGGACTAAAAGCTGACTCTACATATGGAGACACAACAATAATGCCATTGGCTAAGTTTTCATTAGGACCGAGGGAGGCTGGAAGAGATTGGAATGAGATATTTAAATACTAAAAGGAAATGAAAGAGGACAACCAGCAATTTTGTTTCTGGTGAAAATATTCTTCAGAACTAAAAATATTCCTTGATAAACAGAATAAATTCATTAATAGCAGCTCTGCCTTATAAGAAATTCAAGAGGAAATCTTTCAGAATCACAGAAGATTACAGCAGGTGGGATTTTGAGCCCATAGTCTATAATGAAGGACTCGAAAGTAGTAAACAATAAGAATAAAGCTAGAAAAAAACACACAATTCAATTTATATGACATTAAAGACATAAAAACCCAAATTACTGTGTTCGATGTCAGAATGACAATTACCTTGGTTGAGATGGGGAAGCAGTTACTGAAGAGGAAGGTGCATGGAGGAAGCATCAGCAGAAGGTAAATATTCTGTAGTTCCATCTGGCCAATGAATACACAAAAACTTTATTCAGTTACAATTTGAAGATGTGTGCCCTTTGTGCCCTCTGGGTGTTTTATCACTTAAAATAATACGTAAAAATACCAAATAGAATAGAAAATATTTATGAAAACTCAGCCTATTAAAGACCAATGTAAAATATGCCTGGGAAAGGGAAAAATAATTAGAAACCTCTTAGAGAAACAGAAGGACATTAAAAAATATGTCCCTTCGGCCGGGCGCGGTGGCTCACACCTGTAATCAATCCCAGCACTTTGGGAAGCCGAGGCGGGGGGCATCATGAGGCTTAAGATCCAGGTCTGGAAGCTCGTAAAATGCTAAATTATGTAAAACACAATAAGCCAAGGATGCAGGTTGTAGTTCTCTGGGGTACTCAATTATAATAAAATAATACAGAACTAAAAAACAAATTAGGATAAAATAAATCAACACTGTAAACAAAATATGTTGTTCCAAATATGATTGAATTTTTAGATAAAAGATTGTAAGTAAATAAATGAAATCGCATACACAAAAATAAAATCAAAAGACAACTAAAAACAAGGAGAAACTATTCTTAATATATTAAACAAATAAACTGTTACTGTTCTAATATGAAACAACTCTATTAAAAGTTAAGATAATGGATCAAAAATCCAATAGAAAAAAGAAGAAAAGAGAACAGACAATGCATTATAAAAGATATATACATATAGCATTTAAACACAAGTAAAGTGTGTAATCTCAATAATGAGGGAAATGCAAATTGAAACTACTTTGAGGTAGTATTATCTGGTTTAAGAAAATCCAAAAAATATTAACCATATTTTTAGGCAAGGTTATAGGGAAACAGGATTTCTCATTAACAGCTGTGAGGATGGAAACTAATACTACCTTTTTAAGAAGGAGAATATGACAACATCTACAAAACTATCTTAATGTGTAACTTTGACCCATAATCCCATTCCTAGGAATCTCTGAAGATACACCTTCAACACTACAAAAATACATATACACAAGGTTATTCATTGGAACATTAATTGTAATGATTTGTAAAATGTTGACACCACCCAGAATATTCATAAATAAATATTTTGTTGAAATAGCTATGGAACATTCATGCAATGGAGTATGTATCAGCTGTCAAAAGGAAGAAGGTATCTATGAATTGAAAGGAAGTTATTTCTCAGATATACAAAAAAGCAAAGTGCCAACAAATATCTATACCGTGTTACCTTCCAAGTAAGAAAGCAGAGGAGATTTAAAAACAAACAGAACCGTAAACGAAAACAACAAATTTGAGAGGATAGACAGAGTGAGGCTGGCAGGGAGTGATAAGAGGAAGGGGCTGGTAACAGGGTGAAGGGATGAGATGAGAGTGGTACAGAAGGGGTGGAAGGCGAGACGTCTCTGAGCTTACCTTTTTGTTTTTGTGAATTTATGTCTTTGGAGACTCTATTTATACTACAAATATTTGAAAATAATTGAAATCAAGAAAGATGAGAGTATCCAAATGGGCTACAAACAAGAGTAAATGAAACTAAAGGTATTACAAATGAATTAAAAAATAACAAGGTGGTGGATATGGGAAGAAAGGACTAATATAACTATTGTTGGGACCCAGTATTTTGACTATTTCCACTAAAGCTAAAGACAGAAATATCTGTGATTCAATATTTTACTGGACTTCGTAGCTCCAATTTTTACAGGGGTATAGTTATGCATGTGCACACATATTTATCTTTATTTATTCCAGGCAATGGCTACATGAATTTTTAAAAGTTTTATTTTGATTTTAATTGACAAATAGTAATGTATATACATACGGGGTACAATGAGATGCATACATGTATACATTGTCGAATAATCAAATCAGGTTAATTAACATAGTCCTCACCTCCAATATTTATCATTTTTTGTATTGAGAACATTGACTATACTTTGTTATTTTGAAATACAGAATATAGTATTATTAACTACAAAACCACTGTCATAAGGTTAACAAGAACAGTATGCCAGGTTCCAGACTGAAATATAGTTAAGCATTAATCAGACAACATTCTGAGCAACTTCCCTTAGCTTCTCACTAATAAAAGTCAAGTTGCAATAAATACAGACCATTAACGCCCCATTGTTCCCAAATATAACACCTTCACCATTATGAGCATAAAACCTAATCTTTGAGATATTTACCAGATCCTGAATTCCAGTAGAATAGCTGACACCAACTTGTCTAAAGACCACCCCCCTCCCAAAGAACCGAGTCAACATAAGAAAGCAGTTTCTTCACCTCCCAGTCCCATGACTTCATCCTTCATTCTTCAACCAATCTCTCTCTCCATCCAAAACCACTTAAAATCTTTAACCCCAAAGTGCTTGGGGAGGTAGATATGAGGCTTCCTCCTGTCTTCTCATTTAATTGCCTTGGGATTAAATCTCTTTCTCTGCAGCAGCCCCCAGTGTCTTAGTGTATGCTGACTTACCATGTAATAGGCAATCAAGCCTGCCAGAAATACATCTATATAATAATGTCGCCATGCTATGCAACAGATCTCCAAAACTTAGTCCCCCTATCAGACTGACATTTTGTACCCTTTAACAATGCAGTCTCTGGTAACCAGCATTCTACTTGCTATTTCTGTGAATTTCATTTTTTTAGATTTTTCTTCCTAAGCTTAGAACAAGGGATTGCTGTGGCCATGGCAGAAGAAGTTTGCCTCTGTATACAGAGTTTCCCTCCACTGCAAAACTGCAGCCTCTGCCAGTTGCATCCACTGTCCTTATGAATAAACATACCTGGAAGTGTTCGTAGTATTTGCAACGAATTATACAAGATTTTGAAGCCCCCCCTCTCTTTCTCTTCCTTTTTTTTTTCTCTTTTGTGCCATCTTTAAATTTTTCATTTAGCACAATGCATGACTGTTGGGGCTCAATACATATTTGTTGCAAAAAGGGTAAAAAAAGGTGTTTCTTCTTTTCAATAGGAAAAATCGTAGTTTAAATCTCACAAGACCGTCTTCTAGTCAGACTCAAACTCACATCCACAGTCACCTCCTGTGGATGGAGAAAACGTGAACTTTATGTGTATGTCTCCTCATACATTGAATGGTGGTCCAGATTTCCAGCTTCTCGGGATCTGTGCACACAGGCTATTGTGTCCGGAGTTGGTTCCTGCTGGTGAGTCTGGCTGACTTCAAGAATGAAGCCACGGACCTTTGTGGAGAGTGTTACAGCTCTTAAAGATGGCACGGAGCGGCAGCAAGGATTACTGTGAAGAGCTAAAGGACAAAACTTCCATAGCATGGAAAGGGACCCTTGCGGGTTGCCACTGCTGGCTGGGGTGGCCAGCTTTTATTCCCTTATTGTCCCCACCCATGTTCCGCTTCTGTCCTATCAGAGTGCCCTTTTTTCAATCCTCCCCACGATTGGCTACTTTTAGAATCCTGCTGATTGGTGCATTTTACAGAGCACTGACTGGTGCGTTTTACAGAGCGCTGATTGGTGCATTTTACAATCCTCTTGTAAGAAGTCCCCACTCCACCCAGGAAGTCCAGCTGGCCTCACCTCTCACTATCAATGACTGAAATGATCATTAGTAGCAGTGGCTTTGGTTAAATGTATACCAGTAGTTACATACAGGGTAGAAAAATGGTCTGAAGAGGTATATTCAGCATCAAATGAAAAAATTACACCTTGTGACCCCTTTCTCTCCCTGTATGATCCCTTAAGATTGTGCTGAAACCTCGGAGCATCAGGTCAGCCTCATATTGCTCCTTCCTAAATCTTGGTCCCTGCTCAACCTGAGCCTATGTTTGGCCATCCACGGGCATCCATGTATACAACTTTGAAGGCAAAACTCCCTGCTTGGAGTGGCTCATTCGATGACCAGGGTCCAGATAGCATTGCCAAGGAGGCTCACAGATGGCTTCATACTGAGTCTCTCCCCTCAGCCTCCCAGCATCACCGGCCCTGAAGGAATGTCCCTGTTATCCGTGGCACCCAGAGCACAGTCAGCCCTGCCCTGACTTCACTGCCCAATTCACAGCCTCATCGCAGATTCCACTGCAAAATAGACAGTGTCAGATCTCAAAGACAGGCTGATTTGTAGTCCTGAAAAGCAACAACCCATCGTTCCCTCGATCTCTTTGGTGGAATTTCAAAGTTCGTCATAAGCTGAATTTCTGTACAAACATATTCTCTTAACAATGGAAACTATTTGCAATATGAGAAACATAAAACATGGGAAAAGTTTAAATCTCTCAAGAGCATCTTCTAGTCAGATTCATATTCAGCTTCCCTGATTCTGAACTTCCTGTCTTGCGGTCAGCTTCTTTTGGTCCATTTGTTTCACCCTTTCCAGCTCAGATCTTCTCTCCCTGGCTACCCTTAGTCTCAGGTTGTCCTTACGTTTGATAGGCTTCTACCTTATGGATGCTGTAAGGTTATCCTCTCATTTGCTGGATTCTTGTGGGAAAAAAAATCCCTCCAAGTTCACATCCTGAGACTTCACACTCCACTCTTCCTTGGAGAGCCATCCTCCATTTCCTGCAGGTCTGGTCAGAGCCCCTTTCATAGAAATGGAAACACTTACTTGAATTGGTTTCTGCAGAAGCCAGGCCAACCTCTAAAGTGCCTGATTTATGAAGTTTCTAACAGGAAGTCTGGGGTCTCAGGCAGGTTCAGCAGCAGTGGTTCAGGGACAGATTTCATATTGAAAATCAGCAGGGTAGAGGCTGAGGACGTTGGGGTTTATTACTGCCTGCAAGGTACACAAGTGCCTCCCACAGTGGTACAACCCTGAATACAAACCTCCCTGTTTGGAGTGGCCCAGCTGCTGAAATATGTTGTTTATCTGGGGAGTGGCACAACAGAATCTCTGCTGTATAAGATGAAGATGTTGGGCCGAGGTGGGCAGATCATGAGGTCAAAAGTTTGAGACCAGCCCGACCAACATGGTGAAACCCCATCTCTACTAAAAATACAAAAATTAGCTGGACGTGGTGGTGCACGCCTGTAATCCTAGTTACTCAGGAGGCTGAGGCAGGAGAATAGCTTGAACCCGGGAGATGGAGCCTGCAGTGAGCCAAGATCACACCACTGCACTACAGCCTGGATGACAGAGGGAGACTCCATCTCAAAAAAAAAAAAAAAAAAAAAGATGAAGATGTTGGCGAGCTCAGGGTAACAGGTTGCAGCTGAATGACCTGTCCCATGGGGGACTCCGCAGTACATCAGGTAAAACCCATTCATGGTCCTGTCAGCTCCCACAGCCTTGGCATGGCATAAGCCAAAGGAAAACAGAGATAATTCAAGTGCCTTCAGAGTAAGCAGACAGGACTGAGGGAGAGTGGAGGGAAATCTCACACTAATCCTCCCTGCCTTGCCTACATTCGACAATGAGACTTCAAATAGCTTAATAGCCAGACAAGTAACACAGATTCGTGTCAACATGTGTTGACTATCTCTTGAAGTTTAGGTCTTTTGTGTATATTTTTAAGAGGATAGTATTTGGTAGTATTTAGAAACTGGTATTTTTCAACTTTTCCAATTTCCTTCTTCTCCTTTTTACTAGTTCTCTTTCCATTGCAACACATAACAAATAGTGAAAAGAGCATTCTACACAAGCTGTCCTCAGGGAGAGCTGGCTGAGGACAATCATTAAAAAGCTTGAATTTGCACCTCCAAATAGACTTTTGTGACGTCATGGAAGACAGAAGATCCTGATGTTAAAACTCTTTCATTCATTTCAATTACTTCTTGCTAATAAAAAAGGATAATATTTGAAATTCCAAAAGTTGGATTTTAAAAACAAAAACTTAAACTGGAACAAGCAGATTATAGAATTTATCTTATATGCCACTAGAATAACACAGAATAATGTGAGGTTTTTTTTTCTTTACCAAAGGGTGAGAATTTTAAAACTGTGGGCAGACTCCAGGAATGAGAACATAAAAGAGAATATAGTAGAGGCCAACTACGGTCCAATAACCTGAACTTTGTCTTGTATTTGTTGCAGTTGTGGATGGTATTCTGTGATGTATATGTACCACATTTTCTTTATTCTGTCTACCACTGATGGGCATTTAGTTAATTCCATGTCTTTGCTGCAGTGAACATATGTGTGCATGTGTCTTTATGGTAGAACAATTTATATTCCTTTGGGTATACACTCTGTAATAGGATTGCTGAATCAAATGGTAGTTCTGTTTAAAATTCTTTGAGGAATCTCCAAACTGCTTTGCACCATGGCTGAACTAATTTACACTCCCACCAGCCGTGTATAAGCATTCTCCTTTCTCTGCAACCTCATCAACATTTGTTATTTTTTGACTTTTTAATAATAGCCATTCTGACTGGTGTGAGATGATACCTAATTGTGGTTTTAATTTGCGTTTTTCTAATGATTAGTGGTGTTGAGCATTTTTCATATGCTTGTTGACTATGTGCATGTTTTGTTTTAAGAAGAGTCTGTTCATGACATTTGGCCACTTTTTAATGGGGTTGTTTTTGTTTGTTGCTTGTTAATTTACGTTCATTACAGATTCTGGTTATTGGGTCTTTGTCGGGTGCATAGTTTACAAATATTTTCTCTCATTCTGTAGGCTGTCTGTTGACGCTGTTTATAGTTTCTTTAACTTGTGTAGAAGCTCTTTACTTTAATTAGGTCCCATTTATCAATTTTTGTTTTTGTTGCAGTTGCTTTTGGAGTTTTTGTCATGAAATTTTTACTATGGCCTTTGTCTAGAATGGTATTTCTTAGATTTTCTTCTAGTGTTTTTGAAGTTTTAGGTTTTACATTTAAGTCTTTAATCCATATTGAGTAGATTTTTGTATATGGTGAAAGGAAGGGGTCCAGTTTCAATCTTCTATATATGGCTGGCCAGTTATGCTAGCACCATTTATCAAATAGGGAGCCTTTTCTCTATTGCTACCTTTTGTCAACATTGTCAAGATCAGATGGTTATAATGTACAGCTTTAAGTCTGGGTTCTCTAAACTGTTACATTGATTTATGTGCCTATTTTTGTACCAGAACCATGCAATTTTGGTTACCGTAGCCTTGTAGTATATAGTTTGAAGTCAGGTAGTGCAATGCCTCTGGTTTTGTTCATTTTTGCTTAGGACGGCTTTGTCTATTTGGGCTCTTTTGTGGTTCCATATGAATTTTAGAATAGTTTTTCTACTTCTGTGAAAAATTTTGTTGATAGTTTGATATAAATAGCATTGAATCTGTAAATTGCTTTGGGCTATGTGATCATTTTAAGAATATTGATTCTTTCCATCCATGAGCATGAAGTATTTTTCCATTTGTTTTTGTCATCTCTGATTTCTTTCAGCAGTTTATTATAATTCTAGTTGTAGATATCTTTCAGCACCCTGGTTAACTGTATTCCTAAGTACTTTATTTTCTGTGGCTATTGTGAATGGGATTGCGTTCTTGATTTGGCTCTCAGCATAGACATTGTTGGTATATAGAAATGCTACTGATTTTTTACATTGATTTTATATCTTGAAACTTTGCTGAAGTGGTTTATTAGATCCAGGAACATTTGGGCAGTGAAGACAGGGTTTTCTAGGTATAAATTATATCAGATGCAAAGAGAGATAGACTGACTTCCTCTCCTCCTCTGGCTAGGACTTCTAGCCCTATGTTGAATAGGAGTGGTGAGAGTAATAAGCATCCTTGTCTTGTTCTGGTTCTTAGAGGAAGTTCTTCCAGCTTTTCACCATTCAGTATGATGTTGGCTGTGGGTTTGTCATATATAGGTCTTATAATTGTGAGGTATCTTCCTTCAATGTCTAGTTTGTTCAGGGCTTTTAAAATCAAGGGATGATGAATTTTATTTAAAGCCTTTTCTGCATCTGTTGAGATGATCATATGGTCTTTGTTTTTAGTTCCTTTCCTCTCAGATCCTGTCCTGAAAATCTAACGAGTCCTACTAATATAATAAGAAACAAATAACCACACATGCTCCCCCACATTGTGCTGTGAGAGCTGACCCCTAGGATCTCAGACATGCAGATCATATGAGACCTAATAAAGGGATTCTCACAAGAGATTTTCCACCTAAGAATTCTGGTGCTAGCTCTCCTCGCAGTAAAATGTTCTCTGCCTCTGGTCAAAATTGACACCAAATGATAACACAATGGAAATGTTTAGGAGAAGAAGGACAATCACACTTTTAGAAAGATAAAAGATATGCCTTATGCCTGTAACAGTTTCCTATTGCTAGGGCAACTAATTACCACAATTATACCGCATTCAGTATGATTTATTATCTATAATAAATCCTATCAAATTTATTATCTACAATTCTGGATTGAGAAGTCTTACTGAGCTAAAATTAAGGAGTCACTAGGGCTGTATTTCTTCCGGAGGCTCCAGGGGAGAAAATCGGATTTCTTGATTTTAATCTTCAAGATACCCTCATATTCCTGGCTCCATAACTCCTTCCTCCATCATTCCAGCACATCCATGCAGGAAAAAAAAAAAAAAAAAAAAAAAGATGCGAACTTACATTTAAATCTGCGTCTCTCTAGAATTTGATCCTGGCAAGCTGGATGTAAACAAGTTTCTCTAAAAAATCAGGCTCATGAAAGGCCACAGGAGGACGGTGCACAGGCTAGACTGCTGTGATTTGGCCTCTCCTAGTCTTGTGTGCGAATGTTCCCTGGAGTCCTCAGGCTCCAGTCTACTGATGCTGATACAATTTATTCCACTCCTTCTGTTGCTGAACCAGGCTGAGACAATCAGGGCCAAGTTAGATATGTAAAAAATCGGATTTCAAATCTTTGTCCAGTTTCATTAGAATCTAAAATACTTTTCCATATACGTAAGCAGTGGCTTGCCAGGAGATGAAGACTCTCCCTCCTACCAATCCCAACAGAGAAGCTGGAATCTGGGTCAGGATGATGTCCCCATTCATTGCTTAAGCGTAAAAGAGGAAAGTGGCATTGATGGTGCACAGCAGGAACATACACCCAACAGCTCAATGACCTGACCTTTCCCCGGTGCCTCCCCCTCACCTGCTCTCCAGAAAGCCGGGGTCTAGAAGAGCAGTTCCTGAGTTCACAGGAACATGCTAGTAGGGAGTACAGCTCAGAGCATTACTGAGGGAATATGATATTGGTCTCTACTGTCTCTACTAAAAATGCAAAAAATTAACCGGGCGTGGTGGCGGGCGCCTGTGGTCCCCAGCTGCTTGGGAGGCTGAGGCAGGAGAATGGCCTGAACCCGGGAGGCGGAGCTTGCAGTGAGCCGAGATCACGGGCCACTGTACTCCAGCCTGGGCGACACAGCAAGACTCCATCTCAAAAAAAAAAAAAAAATCTATATTCCATAGTTCCACCTTGACAGTGAATATACACAAATTTCATTCAGTTACACGCTTAATATTTGTGCCCTTTACTCTGGGGATTTTATCAACTAAAATCAAACTAATTTAAAAACCTAGATGCTAAAATAAATATGAAAATAATAAATAAGAATAACTGGCCAGGTGTGGTGGCACATGCCTGTAATCCCAGCACTTTGGGAGGTCGAGGCAGGAGGATCACTTGAAGTCAAGAGTTTGAGACCGGCCTGGCCAATATATGAAACCCCATCTCTACTAAAAATACAAAAATTAACCAGGTATGGTGGTGCATGCCAGTAATCCCAGCTAGCTCGGGAGGCTGAGGCAAGAGAATCGCTTTAACCTGGGAGGCAGAGGTTGCAGTGAGCCGAGATCCTGACACTGTACTCCAGTCTGGGTGACAGAGTAAGTGAAACTCTGTCTCAAAATATATACATATATATTTATACACAAAATAATATATATTTTTATATATAGATATATATATCAAAAATATATATATATTTATACATATATACATATGTGTATATATATGTATGTGTGTGTGTATATATATAATAAAATTAAACAAATAAGAATAACCAAATATTTATGGAAACTCAGCCTATTAAAGACAAGTGTAAAATGTGTCTGGGAAAGTGAAAACAATGTAGAAATCTCTTAGAGGAAATAGAAGAACATGATTAAATATGTCCCTTTTTCCACTCAGGCAGCACAAACTTTATTAGGTTCCCTCCAAACACAGAGGACACATTATGTCACTGTGCTCACACTAGATGTCCCCATACTCTCCTTGGCTCTTTCCACCCCACTGCACCCACCAGGGGATTTGCATACTGTCCCCTAGGGAGGACCTTCCATTGTGAGTCTGAGATAAAAGCTCAGCTGTAACCTTGCCTTGACTGATCAGAACTCCTCAGCTCACCTTCTCACAATAAGGTTCCCTGCTCAGCTCCTGGGGCTGCTAATGCTTTGGGTTCCTGGTAAGGACAGAAGGGAGATAAGGGAGGAGAATGGAGTGTGAGGGTGAGCTCTGGGGGCCCCACTGCCTGTCCACATGCACATCTTGACCTGCAAGAAAAGGTGTATAAAGTTTAGAACTGCAAGAGTCAGAAAGAGAAGATTCCTCACTCTTATAGTTCTAAACTTCATATCCTAGAAGGACAAAGGACTTGTGCTCTCATGAAGAGTGTCACACAGGAAGAGGATAATAGTGTAGGTGACTTCTTGAGTCTCTTTTGTGCCTTGTGAATGTTGGTTCTTTTTATGCCTGGATGTTTAGGGGTATGAACCAAAGTCACACAAAAAAATCACTTAGCATAAAGTAGATAACAGAAAGAATATCATTTCAATGGTTCCCAATATTTGTACATAACCTTGCACTTCTCTCACTACTTCAGGATCCAGTGGAGATATTGTGATGACCCAGACTCCACCCTCCCTGCCCGTCAACCCTGGAGAGCCGGCCTCCATCTCCTGCAGGTCTAGTCAAAGCCTCCTGCATAGTAATGGATATACCTATTTGCATTGGTACCCGCAGAAGCCAGGGCAATCTCCACAGCTCCTGATTTATAGGGTTTCCAGTCGTTTTTCTGGGGTCCCAGACAGGTTTAGTGGCAGTGGGTCAGGCAGTGATTTCACACTGAAAATCAGCTGGGTGGAGGCTGAGGATGTTGGGGTTTATTACTGCATGCAAGCTACACAGTTTCCTAACACAGTGGTACAACCCTGAACAGAAACCTCCCTTCTTGCTGTGGTTCAGCTGCCCAAATGTGTTGTTTATCTGGAAAGCAGACACTGTCGATTATCTTGGGAGAGTAAAGAGGAAGATGATGGAGAATTCAGGAGAATACATTACAGCTGAGGGCTCTTGACCATCAATATCTCGGTTACATCTCAGGTACCACAATTTAGTCCCCATCAGTTGCAAGAGTCTTGGCCTGGCAGAACTTGCAGGAGAATGGAGGGAGGTCAAGTGCCTCTGAACAACCAGTCATGTTGCAAGGGAAAGCTGAATCAAAGCTCATCGTAATCCTCTCTGCCTTGCCTAAGTTCATTCACTAACTAAATTCATTCAGCCTGACAGCCACCTAAATGAAACAGATTAGTGGCAATACAAAACTAATATATTTTTGGTTTTGATTTGGTTTAGCAGTTACTAGTGTACATGTACCTTGACAAGATTTGGTGATACTAAAACAGTTTCTCTCCCATCTTCTACCTTCCACTTTACACTTTTCTTAACATACATCTCTCTCTGGGACAGCAGGAAGCACAGCATTTTATCCTATTTTTTTTTCAGGGAGTGCTTGCGTGTATTTACATTCTAGACTTTGTAACTGCTAGATATGTTTTGGTAAGTTTATGCAAAAACAAAGACCTAGTGACAAAAATCTTTGAACAATCTTATTCACAGTATGTTGAAATGAAAAGAAAATTCTATGAAATCCAAAGCTGTGTTTTAAAAATAAATATCCAAGTTTCAAAAGACAAAAGAAAAAAGGACTAAAAATGTAGCCATAGTCAAAAATGTATGCCATATTCAATGGAATCTGGATTAATATAAAATAATATATAAGCTTATGTTTTGCCCCTTGAAAAATAATAATCTATAGACTTTGGGCAGAGGGCAGTAAATGAGAATGTGAGGGCAGCTGTTAACTATGTTAGTGGTGGTGTGTTGGAGTTGATATATGAACCCAAGTGAAAGCTCTGCTGTATTTCTTGGGGAGTTGTGGGAATCCTGCGTGGAGTTCAAAACTGTGCTCTGATGCAATGGCAAACTCCCAGGGAAGTATTGCATCACACAGTCTTTAGTGACTCCAAGTTTAGAGAAGTCCCTGTCCAAATGTACCTCAGGTCATATCACACATTCCTAGTCAATCCAGCAGGATGTAGAAGACCTTGGAAAAGTAGATTCTGCCCCCATCATTTACCTGGGAATGATTTGAGAAAGAAAGGATCATTCAAGAAAGCTTATAGTTAAAATAAAGATGATGCTGACCAGAGCAGTGCAGGGGCTGGGAAGATGAGTAGGAGGTGTAGTGGTGGGAGCCCAAAGCCCATATTTCAGACACACATAAAGGAAAATCAAGGCAGCATGGTAGGGGAGAACTCAGGAGAATGCAGGAGGTTTCATTGTGTCTCTCTAGCCAACCCACCCAGCTACCATTCTCAACCCAGGCCTCAGCAAATGTCCCAAAGAAAAATTCATCCTGGTGTTAAGGGCTCCACTTGTGCCATATAATCCATAATCTGTAAGGCACGTACATGCCTCTGCCAAAGGTGAGATGAATTCCCCACTCTTGTAGAGATCTTCTGCCTGGACCAAACCAGAATCTCCAATCACGCTCGTATTTGGCAAATTTCACTAAGACACAAAGTGACAGGAGGACACAAGGCAATATACAAAGGCATCTTTCCTCTGTGGAATTTTAGGCTATCTGTTCTTTATTTGTTCCACAACTCTCTGATGTTATAACAAACATGATTTTTTAAGTTCATTTTTGCTCTCCTGCATTTATTGCAATTCTTGTGTCCATCTTCTAAGGCCTATTCCTCACTACTTCACTACTGAAAATAAATTGTTCTATTAAATTACAAAGTGGGGATGTCACTTTGAATATTATATTGCAAAACATTCACATCTAGATCAATAAATGCACATGGCACATGGAAATGAAGGAGAAAAACAACTGCAGAAATGATAATGATCATGTCAGTGTTTAAAATATTTGATACTGAATACCAAACATGGAATACTGAATTCAGTATTCCAGTAACATATGCCTAAATTACACACATATATGCTTTAAATATACTACATTTACAATAGTACTTTAATATTATTTTGATCCATAAAAGGGCATATGTATTATTTCATCATGCTATAGTAGAAGTAGATGGTTTGAATTAAATCAAAATGATCCTGCTTTTGATTAAGGACATAAGCTATATGGCAGATGGCTGCCTATTCCAAGAAAATATATCCAATGGCAAGTATACTTAATATATCTATGTATTATCTTTGCTGAGTATGTAGTTGTATGGCAATATTTATATGTAAGAAAAACAACTCAAAAGGAACTCAATCCTTCCAAGGAAAATAAATATCAGTAAGTAATTTAACATCTTTGGGGCCTTTGAAAAGGAAAGAAAAAGATGAGGCAAAATGAATGTGCAAATAAATACTGTTTGTAAAACAACAAAATATTAGGCAGTTATATATCAGTAGTACTCTATAAAAGAAATGCTAAAGACAGTTCTGCAACAGAAGGAATGCAAGACTAAATAGAAACATAAAGATACATAAGAGATGGACACTGGAAAGGATATGTATAGGAATAAATACAAACTAATATTTGCGCACAACTATAGATGTCATGGTTTGTGAATTTTGCAATGCATATATAACTGAATTGCATGAAAAATAACACGAAAAAGTAGTGTAAATGGAATTAAAAAATCTAACTCTATTTTAGGAAGTGGTAAATTAATATTTGGTACTAGGAAGTAATAAGTTGAGGATAGCTGCTGTATAATAAATGATTGTATGTTTAACAAGTTAATGCAAGGAAAAATATAATAAAATGTCTAATCCAAAGGAAAGCAAGAAAGCAGGAAATCTGAAAAAAAAAGGATGGTAGATTTAACTCTAACTACCAATAATTTAGACATCATAAACAGACAAATTTCTCTAAGTAAAATTTTTAAATTATTAAACAAGATTAAAATGAAAGGTTTATGCTGCTTATAAAATACACACTGCAATAATATCATAAAATGACTTTGAAAATTAAAAAACGGAAAGTACATATCATGCAAAAACTGAATTGACGAAACCTGACTTATACTTTAAGGCGAAGGAGAAAAGGGGACATTTCATAATGATAAGTGGGTCAATCTATTAGGAAATCATTAAAATACTAAATCTATATAGACCCAAAATATAACTTAAAAGTATATAAATAAAAAATTGATTAAATAAAGAAAAAGTCAACTCCATGTTATGGTGGGAGACTTTATGCTCAAGAGGTGATAGAAAAGCAGAAAATAACATAATAAGGATTTAAAAGATTTGATCAATATAATTACCACATTTGACATAGTTAAAGAAGAAAAAAGGTATATGGTCGTCTCAATTGGTATAGAAAGAAGCACTGGACAAAATTTAGACCCTGTTTATGTAAAAATGTCCTAGAAAATTAGAAATGGAAAAATACCTTCCTTACCTCTTAGAGAATACACAGGCAGACAGAGAGACAGACAGACACACACACACACACACACACACACAATCACATTAAATGCTGAAAAATTGTTTTTCTTCATTTTGGAATTAGATATTTTTAAAAGATGTAAAGTATCATCATTCCTAGATAATACTGTACTGGACCTCTTACTAGTATAAAGGGCAAGAAAAAGAAATAAAATACATGAGTACTGGAAATAAAGAAAACGAATAGTTATTATTTGTAGATGGTATAATTGTTTGGATAGTAAACCAAAACCACAATCTAGAGGTCTTCTTTAACATTTTAATAATGTTTTGTACAGTATCAAGACTTCACATCTTAGGCCCGCCGCAGTGGCTCACACCAATAATCCCCATACTTTGGGCAGATGAGGCAGGCGAATGACATGAGGCCAGGAGTTTAAGACCCACCTGGCCAACATGGTGAAATCCTGCCTCTACTAAAAATACAAAAATTAGCCAGTCGTGGTGGTGTACACCTGTAATCCCAGCTACTCAGGAGGCTGAGGCACGAGAAGAGCTTGAACCCGAGAGACGGAGGTTGCAGTGAGCTGAGATTGTGCCATTGCACTCCAGCCTGGGCAATAGAGACTGTCTTAAAAAAAAAAAAAAAAAAAAAAATGCCGGGCGCAGTGGCTAAAGTCTGTAATCCCAGCACTTTGGCAGGTGGGCAGATCACATATTTCACAATTCCATCTCCAATTTGTTTGTTGCTGGTATGATCTTTTTGCACATGGTTTTTATATTTATTGACTTTTCTAAATTTATTTATTCATTCAAAAGTATGTATTTGCCTTTACTACAGTTACCTGATTTTTAAATTGTCCTTTGAATCGTGTACTAGCTAATAACATTAAATTGACTTTTAGAAATAAAATTATATATGTTCCTTATAAAAATTCTATGGGCATCCCTACCAGATTTAGATACTTGACTTTCTGAATTTATTTCCGAAAATAAGTTCTCTGTTTATTATTGATTCACCAAGAAAAAATAAGTAAAGAAATATTTTCCTATTAACACCCTCGTCTCTATGAGAAATCATCAGCTCTATGTAACTATTTTTGCCAACTGCAAGCCCATTTGCTGATTGTCTACTGAAGCTCTTGGCATAAAAATACAACAGTGAGTTCTAGAGAAGACCTGATCCTGTGCTGCCTGGATCATAAGAGAAAGACCAATAAAATAATGGAGTATATACCTGAAATTTTGAATAGTCAAGCATTCCAATCGGTGTATTATTTTCTCAGAATGTATTTATTGAAAATTCAAAGCACAAAAAGAATGCAATTTAGCAAGCACTTACTTAATAGGGCAAGGATGATACAGTGTTTAGTAAGGTACCTTCTAGAGCTGTGGTCAAGACAGATTTTGGTGGTCCTCCTCTTTCAGTAAAAAAAGACAATGATTTGTTGATTTCTCCTATGTGCCTAGGAAAGGTGAGTGGCAACATATTCGAGATATAACTAATTCTGTTACAGAGCAAAAACCAGTGATATCTTCTCAGTAGCATTTTTTGTCTAATATGTAAACTCAGAAAATAATTATTAATTAATAAATAATTTTAGCTGCTTTAAAATTACGCATTTTCAAATATGTTCCTAGGTGCCTCTTTTCTTGCAGTTCAAGAAATTAACTTGCAGTTCAAATATGAATTCACCTGATAAGAAAAGAATAGTGTGTCTTAGCAGATATTACAGTACATTGCACAAAACCTTCACATATCTAGGACTCAAAAATATATTTGACACATTTTAAACATGAAAATATTATTAAATTAGTGATTCAGACATTTAATTAATCTTTTAAGGTAATTTGTGCATTGGCTTTTTGTTAGACATATCAACACTTCAATTTTTTATTTCTATGTTTGAATTTAAATATATTTAAATTGGTTTAATACAATTATAAAATCAAATTTCAATAAGCAACAAGGAAGTAAACTCTATAAAATATATCAAATACTTAACCATAAATGTTTGCAATAAACTCTGAAATAAAGATTACAATATTATATTGAAACAGTGGCAAGTTCACAAAGAAGTATGTTAAGGCTCACAATAATGAGCAACAAATTAAAGGCAAAACTGACCTGTATATAATCACATTACTTTATCCAGTCTGTCACTGATGGACATTTAGGTTGACTCCATGTCTGCTACTGCGAATAGTGCTGAAATGAACATTCACGTGCATATGTCTTCATAATAGAACAATTTATATTCCTTTGGGTACATACACGGTAATGAGATTGCTGGGTCTAATGGTAGTTCTGTCTTTAGCTCTTTGAGGAATTGCCACACTGTCTTCCACAATGGTTGAACTAATTTATACTCCCACCAAGAGTATATAAGCATTCGTTTTTCTCCACATCCTCTCCAGCATTTATTTTTTGACATTTTGGTAATACCAGTTCTAACTGGTGTGAGATGATATCTCGTTGTGGTTTTGATTTGCATTTCTCTAACAATCAGTGATATTGAACTTTTTTCCATATAAGTGTTGGCCACTTGTAAGTCTTTTGAAAAGTATCTGTTCATGTCCTCTGCCCACTTTTTAATGGAGCTATTTTTTTCTTGTAAATTTGTTTAAGTTCTTTATAGATGCTGGATATTAAACTGTTGTCAGATGCAGAGTTTGCAAACATTTTCTCCCTTTCTATAGGTTGTCTGTTTATTCTGCTGATAGTATCTTTGGCTGTGCAGAAGATCTTTAGTTTAATTAAATCCCATTTGTCAATCTTTGCTTCTGTTGCAATAGCTTTTGGTGTCTTTGTAATGAAATATTTGCCCATGTCTATGTCCTGAATGGTATTGCCTAGGTTGTCTTCCAGGATTTTTAGAGTTTTTGGGTTTTACATTTAAGTCTGTAATCCATCGTTAGTTAATTTTTGTATATGGTGTAAGGAAGGGGTCCAGTTTCAATCTTCTGCATATGGCTACCCAGTTATCCCAGCACAATTTCTTGAATAGGGAATCCTTTCTCCATTGCTTGCTTTTGTCAAATTTGTCAAAGATCAGATAGTTGTAGGTATGCAGTCTTATTTGCAGGTTCTCTATTCTGTTCCATTGATCTATGTATCTGTTTTTGTACCAGTACCATGCTGTCTTGGTTACTGTAGCCTTGTAGTATAGTCTGAAGTCAGGCAGTGTAATGCCTCCAGCTTTGTGCTTTTTGTTTACAATTGCTTTGACTATTTGGGCTCTTTTTTGGTTCCATATAAATTTTAAAACAGTTTTTTTCTAGTTTGTAGATAATCACAATGGTACTTTAATGATAATAGCATTGAATATATAAATTGCTTTTGGCAATATGGTCATTATAACGAAATTCATTCTTCCTGTCTATGAACATGGAATGTTTTTCCATTTAATTGTGTCATTTCTGATTTCTTTGAGCAATGTTTTATAGTCCTCTTTATAGAGATCTTTCACCTCTTGGGCTAGCTGCATTCCTAGGTATTTTCTTTCTCTTTGTGGCAATTTTGAATGTTATTGCATTACTGATTTGGCTCTCAGCTTGGCTCTTCTTGGAGCACAGAAATATTAGTAATTTTTGTACATTGAGTTTGTATCCTGGAACTTGGCTGAAGTTGTTTGTCAGCTTAAGTAGCTTTTGGGCTGAGACTATGGGGTTCTCTAGAGATATATTCATGTGAGGCCAGGCGCAGTGGCTAGTGCCTGTAATCCCAGCACCTTGGGAGGCCAAGGTGGGTGGATCACTTGAGATCAGGAGTTCGAGACCAGCCTGGTCAACGTGGTGAAACTCCATCTCTAGTAAAACTACAAAAGTTAGCTGAGCATGGTGGTGCATACCTGTAATCCCAGCTACTCAGGAGGCTGAGGATGGAGGATCATTTGACTCCATGAGGTGGAGGTTGCAGTGAGCAGAGATTATACTGCGACACTCCAGCCTGGGTGACAGAGCAAGATTCTGTCTCAAAAAAAAAAGGAAATCATGTCATATGCAGCAAGGATAGTTTGACTTCCTCTCTTCCTGTTTGGGTGCCTTTTATTTCCTTCTTTTGCCTGATTGCTCTGGTCAGTACTTCTAACACCATGCTGTTAGGATTAGTGGAGAGAGGGCATCATTGTCTTGTTACAGTTTTCAAGGGGAAAGCTTCTAACTTTTGCCCACTCAGTGTGATGCTGGCTATGGCTTCGTTCTAAATGTCTCTTATTATTTTGAGGTATGTTCCTTCAATATCTAGTTTGTTGAGAGTTTTTAACATAAAGGGATGTTAAATTTTATCAAATGTCTTTTCCGCATCTATTGAGATGATCAAGCCATTTCTGTGCTTAGTTCTGTTTGTGTGATGAATTATATTTATTTATTTGCATATGTTGAACCAAACTTATATCCTGTGGATAAAGTCTCTTGATCATGGTAGATTAGCTCTTTGATATGTTGCTGGATTTGATTTGCTAGTATTTTGCTGAGGATTTTTACATCGATATTCATCAACCATATTGGCTTGAAGTTGTTGTTGCATCTCTGCCAGGTTTTGGTATGATGCTGGCCTCATAGAATGAGTTAGGGAGGAGTCCCTCCTCATATATATATATATATATATATATATATATATATATATATACATATTTTTTTTTTTTGAGACAGAGTCTTACTCTGTTGCCCAGGCTGGAGTGCAGTGATGTGATCTCGGCTCACTGCAAGCCCCACCTCCCGGGTTCAAGCAATTGTCCAGCCCCAGCCTCCCATGTAGCTGAGATTACAGGCACATGCCACCATGCCAGCCTAATTTTTCTGTTTTTAGTACAGACGGGGTTTTACCATGTTGGCCAGGCTGGTCTCGAACTCCTGACCTCAGGTGATTCACCCACCTCGGACTCCCAAAGTGCTGGAATTACAGGCATGAGTGACCAAACCCAGCCTTTCCTCTTCACTTTTTTGGAATACCTTTAGTAGGAATGGTAACAGCTCTTCTTTGTACATCTGATAGAATTCAGTTGTGAATCCATTTGGACCTGGGATTTTTTTGGTTAGTAGGCTATTTATTACTGATTCAATTACAAGCTCATTTTTGCTCACTTCAGGGACTCAATTTCTTTCTGGTTCAGTCTTGGGAGGGTGTATGCACCCAGGAATTTATCTATTTCTTCTAGATTTTCTAGTTATTGTGCATAGAGGTGTTCATAGTAGTCTCTGATGGTTAGTTGTATTTCTGTGGGGTCAGTGATAATGTCCTTTTGTCACTTCTAATTTTATGTATTTGGATACTCACTCTTTTCTTCTTTATTAGTCTAGCTAGTGGTCTATTTATCTCATTAGCTTTTTCAAAATAAAAACAGGCACTGGCTTCATTGATCTTTTGAATTTTTTTGTGTGTCTTATCTACTTCAGTTCAACTCTGATTTTGGTTATTTCTTGTTTTCTGCTAGATTTGGAATTGGTTTTCCCTTGCTTCTCTAGTTCTTTTAGTTGTGATGTTAGGCTGTTAATCTGAGGTATAACTTTCTGATGTGGGCATTTAGTGCTATAAATTTCCCTCTTAACACTGCCTAACCTGTGTCCCAGAGATTCTGGTATATTGTATCTTTGTTCTCATTCATTTCAAAGAACGTTTTGATTTCTGCCTTAACTTCATTATTTACCCAAGTCATTCAGGAGCATGTTGTTTAATTTCCATGGTTTTGAGTTATTTTCTTAGTCTTGAATTCTACATTCATTTTTCTGTGGTCCAAGAGAGAGGTTGGTATGATTTTGGTTCTTTTGCACTTGCTGAATATTGATGTATGTCCGATTGTGCGGTCAATTTTAGCATATGTGCCATGTGGTGATGAGAATATATATATTCTGTTGTTTTGGGGTGAAGAGTTCTGCAGATTTCTATAAGGTCCATTTGATCCAGGGTTGAGTCCAAGTCCTGAATATCTTTGTTAATTTTCTGCCTCAGAAAATTAATTATACAGATTATAATCTGTATAATACTGTCAGTGGGGTGTTGAAATCTCCCACTATTATTGTGTGGGAATCTAAGTCTCCTTGAAAGTGTCTAAGAACTTTCTTTATGAATCTAGGTGATCTTGAGCTGGCAGCATATAGATTTAGAGTAACTAGATCTTCTTGGTGAATTGAACCCTTTACTGTTATGTAATGCCCTTCTTTGTCTTTTTGATTTTTGTTGACTTAAAGTCTGTTTCATCTGAAATTAGAATTAAAATCCTGTTTTTTTTCTGTTTTCCATTTGCTTGGTAGATTTTTCTCCATCCCTTTATATGAGTCCATGGGCTTCATTGCATGTGAGATGGGTCTCCTTAAGGCAGCATAACATTTGGTCTTGCTTCTTTATCCAGCTTGCCACCCTGTGTCTTTTAAGTGGGGCGTTTAGCCTGTTGACATTCAAGGTTAGTATTGATATGTTAGATTTGATACCACCATCATGCTGTTAGCCTGTTATTTTGCCAACTTGTTTGTGTGGTTGCTTTATAATGTCACTGGTCTGTGTACTTCAGTGTGTTTTTATAGTGGCTGATAACAGTGTTTCATTTCCATATTTAGTGCTTCTTCCAGAAGCTTGTGTTAGGCAGGTCTGGTGGTAACAAATTTCCTGAGCATTTGCTTGTCTGAAAAGGATCTTATTTCTCCTTTGCTTCCGAAGCTTAGTTTGTCCAAATATGAAATTCTTAGTTGGAATTTATTTTCTTTAAGAATGTTAAATATAGGCCCCCAGTCTCTTCTGCTGAGAGGTCTTCTGTTAGTCTGATGGCTTCCCTTTGTAGGTGATCTGTTTTTTCTCTCTAGCTGCCTTTAACATTTTTTTTCTTTCATTTTAACCTTTGAGAATTGAAGATTATGTGTCTTGGGGATGATCTTGTGAAGTATTTTGTTATGGTTCTCTGCATTTCCTGAATTTGAATGTTGGCCTCTCTAGCTAAATTGGGAAAGCTCTCATGGATGATGTCCTGAAATATGTTTTCCAGATTTCTTCCATTCTCCCCTATCCTTTTCAGAAATGCCAATGAGTAATAGATATTTCTTGAAGGTTTTGTTCATTTTTTTATTCTTTTTTTAAAATTTTTGTCTGCCTATCTTATTGCAGAAAGCCAGTCTTCGAGCTCTGAGATTTTGCCTCAGCTTGGCCTATTCTGCTGTTAACACATGTGATTTCATTATGAAACTCTTGTATTGTGTTTTTAGCTCTATCTGGTAAGTTATATTCTTTTCCAAAATACTGACTATTTTGTCTGTCAGTTCCTGTATCAATTTATTGTGATTTTTAGCTTCCTTAGGTAGGTTTCAACAATCTCCTGAATTTCAATGATCTTTGTTCTTATTTATATTCTTAATTCTGTTTCTTTTATTTCAGCAATCTTGGCCCAGTTAAGAACCCCTTGCTGGAGAACTAGTCTGGCACTTGAAGAAAAGAAGGCACTCTGTCTTTTTGAGATTTAAGAGTTCTTGTGCTAGTTCCTTCTCATCTTTGTGGGCTTTCAGTCTTTGAAGTGGCTGTCCTTTGATTTGGTTCTTGTTTTTTTTTTCTTTTATTCTATTTGATAACCTTGAAGGTTTGATTGTGTTATAAGCTGGGTTCAGTCAATTGGCTTCATTTCTGGAAGATTTTATGGAGCCAAGGCACAGCTCAGGACTCTTGGACTGCATGCTCTAACCCTTGGGGACAGGTATTGGTACCCACCTTTGTTCTCTGGCTCCTCAAGGTTAAGAACCTGATGCACTGGAGGGGCCAAGGTGCTCTTGGACCGCTGGTCACAACACTTCTGTGGGTGGTGCCAGCCAAAGCAGTTCATAGGGTGGTGGCAGTGGGATCCATCCTTGTTTGTATGTGTCAGCAGCAATGGCAGCCACAGGTGTGCACTCATCAGCTGTGGCAGGGTGCTAGTGGGTGCTGGGGTGCCAGCTTCCATGCAAGCATTTTCAGCAGTGACAGTGGCAGCATGACTCATAGGGGGAGTGGGGCCTGCCAGTGACTGTACACACGTTTGAGCTGGTGGTGTATTAACACAGGGGTGGGGAATTGGTAGGCACAGGACTGTATGCAGACTCTGTGCATGTTCACGTGGGCAGTGGTGGCCACTCAAGGTGGGGGTGTGTTCACTTTTCACTATGCCTTTTTTTGTGCCAGCTAACAGTGTCAGCACAGACAAAGTGGCACAGGGGAGTCTGTGCACAAGGGATGCTGCAGTGGTGGAATAACACTGGAGGCCTGGTATATGTCCATGGGAGCCACTCTGCTGGAGCATTTTCCCTGTCAGATGCAATCTGCCAGTGCAGGAGCTATGATGTGGGCCCCCAGGATGTACCTAGGGGCTGCAATGCAAGCAGGAATGGTAAGGCTGTGGCCCCGGGAGACAGTAGCAGCCCAAGGGACAGTCAGATCATATTGGCCCTGTTTCATGGACAAGATCACTCTGCAGAGTTTATGTCATACAGTTCCCCTAGGACTAAAGTCTCCTGTGGGAGCAAGTTGAGCCTAGGGGGATGAGTGTCCCTGGCCATATTCCACTACAGACACTCCTGCACCAAACACTCTGGGCTCTGTGCTGGCTGGAATTCTGTCCCTATCATTTCTCTAAGTAGCTCTCCCTGACAAATCAAGTGTCTTTGGTGTTCAAGGGATTCCAGACACCTAAGTTGCTCTTTGTTGGTTCAACTCATCCCTATCACAGGAGTCACTGGGAGCCAGGAATGTGTCCTGGTACATGGTAGCCCCACACAGTGTTCCCAGCTTCCTCCCCCTTCAGCCCAGCATCTTCGTCTTCCCTTCATCTATTCTCAGTGCCTTCCCTCTGAAGATCTGCTAGAAGTGCACCAGTCTTTCTAATGTCCCAGTCCCTTGGTGCAAGCTCTTCCTCCTGGCTGTGACTAGTCAGCCATCTTGGAGCAGCTGTCGTGGAAATAGAATTCTATGTTGGCAGGTCTTTTCTTTCATTACTTGAAATGGTGTTATTTCCTTCTAACCTTCATAGTTTCTGAGAAGGAATTCTCTGCCATTCAAATCATTTTTCCCCTAAAGTTTACAAGTAGTTTTTTAAAAATTCTGCCTTTAAAGATTTTCTTTGTGTTTAGTTTTTAGAAGTTTGACTAGGATATGCCTTACCATAGATTTCTTTTTATCTTGTGTCTACATCCATTTCCTTTTGGCCTATTTTCCCACTGTTGTTTAGATTGGATAATAGTAATTACCCAATTACTAGTAGATAATTATTATCTATTATCTATTATCACTTTCCTGTGTCTACTCTTTTCTGCTATTAGGCCATACACTGAGCTGCTCATACAGTGATTGTATCTTTCAATTCTTAAATTTCCATTTTTCTTTTATAAAATTTCATATTTCATTCTTGATGCCATTATTTCATTTGTCTCAAGCTTTTTTTGCAATTGTTCATTGATGCATTTTTATGATGGCTGCTTTAAAATCCTTTTAAGATAATTTTAACATATCTGTCATATAAGGGCTAAATAGCTACTAGTTTTCCTTTCCCATTCAAGTAGAGATTTTCTTAATTTTTGGTATAAAAACTGCAATTTGATTGATATATGGACCTTTTCGATGTTGTGTTATAGTCCCGGACGTGATATTTTGAATGTTCTAACAAGCTCCCAGTTCATGAAAATGCTGTGGCTGCTGGACTACAGAGGCAAAGAGCCAATTAGATAAAAGGTTTTCTATCCTACTTGCATCTATAAATATTCTGGGAAGATTTTTAAACATGCGGGTGCCTGAACTCCAGTCAAGTATTTCTAGCCAACTAGGCTAGGATAAGAGCAGGCAGCAATACTTTTAAAATATTCCCATTTGATTCTACTATGTGGCTAGAATTACCTTGAAAAGGGTGATTCATAGCTTTCAGGTGTGAATGAACACCTGAAAATGAACACACATGATACATGTTGCTGAGGGAAGTATATTGTAAGACACAAAACTAAAAAATTTCCATGCATTTTTTAAGCCTTGAAGGTTTTTGCTATAGTGGCACTTCTCCTGAAAGAGCTGGAGCAATGGAGCCACTTAGAAATATTTTCCTTTTCCTACCTTATTTTAATTATTTGTAATTTTACTTTACATTAGTTGAGGATTAATTATCATCTAATTATGGTGTGTGTTCTTCAATCCAGACATATTCCCAGATATATTCCTCCTCTAACCAAAAATGTAGCAGAAAACGATCTTTTCATGATAGTTTTACTATTTGCTGAAATAGGTATGTTTGGTTGCCTTCTTGTATACTGGCATGAGGAACCCTGCTTTACCACAGCTTGAGGTTTAGCTTCAGGATTATCTACAGTAGTCCCAAGTAGAAGCACATACTCCCGGATATCCAGGAGTAGATGTCTGTGGCCAACAGGGCCTAAAATTGCATTACTGGACACACATGTCCGCCAGCTGGGTTCCTGTGTAGGATGACTAAAGAGTCTGCTCGTACTCCTGGCCCTTGGCTTCCTGAACCATTACTTCATTCTACTATGGTCATTGATTTAAAGATTCAGAACACCTTGAGGGAGAGCATCTAAAATCTGCAGAATATTATACCCTTGTGGATTTCTTTGCGTGATATATTTGGTAGAACCAATGGATGCTATAATCACGTGGCTATTATTTTGTTTCTTTCCCCACAATGTAGGAACATGGTTCTGAAATATTCCCATATTAATACAAAAAATGCTCTCAGAGCACTGAGATAGCCAATTGTCTATGGGCAGGAAAGGTAAACATACATCTAGAATACAGGAGGATCCTAGTTAGGATGCATCACAGTCACCTCCAGGGGACAGTGATCTGATATCCCAAATAACCACCCACTTGTTGAAGATATTTGTCTCTGCTGCTGAGAAGTTGGATACCCAGAAGTGGCAACAGTGGGATCAACACAAGTGGTGATGGTTGTTGTGAGGCATGGTTCATGTCATTTTACTCATTCATAGCCCTGTTCAGGCTATGATGGCTACTTCATTACAGACTCTATTATGCAAATATTGTGGAAGTTAAGAGAAAAGACTGAGTTCCGTTAATCTGCTTACAAGTGGATGAGCCTTCCAGTATGATTGGTTGTTTGGTGTCTTACTGTGGAAGATATTCTCTGCTTTTTGCAGAGATAAATAAAATTTTGCACATGTAATTTCTTATTCATATGAGTGCATCCACATACCTCTCCTCTAGAGCTTCTTCTCTGTGATCTTCCAATTTTCTTTATCAAAGACTATGGCCAACCAGCTATCACTAATTCATGCATATACTTGACTCAGTACATGTCTCTCTCCACACTAAGTTGAACACTACATGCTGTCCTCAAATATCTGCTAACTCAAGGTAACACCTCACAGCCACCCATGATTGTGGCCAAAATGTGGGAGCAGCCTACTTTTACTTGCACAAATATATGATGCTAACCCATTCAAAAAGCCTAGATTTTCTTAGTGTTGTTTTGGTTTTCTTCTTTTATTTGTTTGCATTTTTTGTTTCCCCCCTTGCTATTAGCTGATTGAGAAAACTCATGAGGTCACTGGAGTGAGCTGATGCAAAGGTGTTAGAGTAAGAGAGAAAAATGGTAGGAGGAACAGGAACACCTGTTCATGTAAATGAAGCACAGCCTCTGAACCTGCTTGAACCAAACCCCAAAAGTACCTAATATTCATCCTAATATTGAATGGTGCTGAGCCTCACCTGACCCTAAAAATTGGTGAGACTGGCCTCCTCCACTTATGAGGGGCAGTTCAGTCACATACTTTTTAAATGCCTCATGGGACTACCTACCATTATGTAGTGATATTCTGCATTTTGAACAAGAAATTTTTTATTTGTTATCTGGTCATTGCTTGGTCTTCTCTAAAATCCCAGGGATTTATGCCGTGAGTTTTATTGGAGTTTGCAAGAGAGTTCATGAAGTATTCCCATCTAATGCAGATGCATCTAGCACCGAACAATGTTCTGGATCACATGGCTCAAGTGACAGAGCTACTTGTGTCAAAGCCCAAAACCTTCCTCAAAATCTTCTCTTTTTCTGAGCCCACTCCAAAAAGCAGCCTTCCAAGTTAGCTTATAAGTGCGGTGGTGGAGTAGACCCAAGTGTGGGATTTGTTATGTCAATACTCTAAGCAGGCCTTGCCAACACTGTGCTGCATTCTCAGTGATTGGAGCTGCAAAGTACAATTATTTGTCCTTACCTTGAAGGGGATGAGCCAACGCTACTCATGTTCCTTCACTAAATCCCTGATACCTTCTCCAATGTGAC
The DNA here is from genome assembly GCF_000001405.40 of Homo sapiens. Taxonomy (NCBI): domain Eukaryota; kingdom Metazoa; phylum Chordata; class Mammalia; order Primates; family Hominidae; genus Homo; species Homo sapiens. The sequence continues at coordinate 90,069,114 of NC_000002.12, forward strand.
AGGTCCTTAACTTTTGTAGGGTTGAATCCCACACTCTGGTCTTCATGTGCTTTCACTGAAAATCCAGAGTCCTTATTATTTTCTGCTTATCCTATCTAGTTACCACGATGACATCAATATCGTGTTGTATGGAGTGATGCTTTGTGAAGCGTCCACAGGATCAAAGTTTCTTCAGCCTCATTGTGAATGTGTTGTCAGGAAAGTTAAGATAGCCCTGTGCCGAGACTGAGGATGTGAGCTGCTGTTCACCCCAGATGACTGCAGAGCCTCCCAGAGACTGCGATGGACTCTTCCTTCACTCTGAGGCTGGGCCCTGGGTCTGGTCAAGCCCTGCCGGGGCCTCAGCGGCGCTCATCTGCAGGTGCCAGCAGAGGGCGCCTCTCACATTCCCCGAAGGGGCGGGGAGGGCGCTCTCCTGACAACAGTGATGTCTGTGTATTTAAAACAACAGGACATTCCCGTAATTTGCATGTAACCTTCCTCCCACATCTGAAGTGGTCCTGCCTCTCAGTATCTTATAAGAGGCTTTTTCTCCTAGATGTGTCTTCAGCAAAACTGAAGTCAAAACACTGAGATGGTGTCCCCGTTGCAATTCCTGCGGCTTCTGCTCCTCTGGGTTCCAGGTGAGAATATTTAGAAAAAGCTAAAACTAATTCTTTGAACCATTAATTTTCTTAATTAGGAACCTGGCACCATATGGAACTTGGCTTGTTTTTAAATGTGATTTTTTTTTAAGTAATGCGTATTCTTTCATCTTGTGCTACTAGATTAGTGGTGATTTCATTAAGCAGATGCTTATATTGTGCTAATGTTTGCTGTATGGTTTCAGCCTCCAGGGGTGATGTTGTGATGACACAGTCTCCAGCTTTCCTCTCTGTGACTCCAGGGGAGAAAGTCACCATCACCTGCCAGGCCAGTGAAGGCATTGGCAACTACTTATACTGGTACCAGCAGAAACCAGATCAAGCCCCAAAGCTCCTCATCAAGTATGCTTCCCAGTCCATCTCAGGGGTCCCCTCGAGGTTCAGTGGCAGTGGATCTGGGACAGATTTCACCTTTACCATCAGTAGCCTGGAAGCTGAAGATGCTGCAACATATTACTGTCAGCAGGGCAATAAGCACCCTCACACTGTGCTACAACCCAAAACAAAAATTAGCTCAGCCTGGCGGAACAGAGAAACTGAACAATACCCCGTTTTTATGATCCTTGCAGGTGCAGTTGGGGAAATAATTTACCAAATACCATCACATATGGCCCATTCAGCAGAGCTGACACCCAAGAGTCAGTGCCTCACACTTTCATCTTTACCCACAGTAACTTTCAAACTAGGAGAAGAGTTGTTGAAGATTACTTCTCCTGTTTCTTTCCATAGGTGTACAGAAACTGTCCTTTACAAGTTGGTAAAAACTGTGGATTATTCTTCAGGGCTACAGTAATTCATTTATGACAAAATCACTTTAAAGGGTAAAGATTAGGAAACAATCAGGTGATGGCCTGGAGCTCTTTTGACAGAAGAGCCATGGACTCAGGTTTCAGTCATTGTGGGTTCAAAGGAATGAGACATTGTTCCTATTTCCAAAGCGGCTCTGTGAAGTCTGACATTTGTTAAATCAGATTAACATTTAAGGTTCACTTTCACTGAATATTTGGGTTTTGAAACATGAAACTGGTCCATCAAGAACAGGGTTATAAATATCTAGCTATAGCTTTGGAAATGGGGACTATCCCAGAAACAATATTTACCTGGAATAAAAAAGGAATCAGCGTCTTTTGTTGCCAGTCTTAGAAGCAGGACAGGGCTACAAGCCAAAGAAGGTTGAAATCAGCAACTCTTAATTCCTCCATAAGAACTGCTTCACCAAAATCTGAGTGTACCAAAGCAAAAACTACAAAGAGAAAGTAGCTTCAGGAACTCAAGTAAGATGTAAAAACAAAATGGACATTTGATTTTATATCTTGTTTGACATATGAAACACAGGGAGATCACCCATGATCCTTGGAATTTTCTTTTCTGCACATCAAAAGCATTGTCTGTCTCCTGTTTTTCCACCTCTATTATCCAAATTGTGTTTGAAAAAATGTATTTTTTAAATTTTCATTATTCTTGATTAAAAGACCAGTATCTTATTGCTAACATCTTTTAATACCAAGAGAAACTAAATTCATTTTTTTGACTTTGTTTCCTGTGTATTTATTCATTTATTTAAAAATAACTTTGGAATACAATGCAGTCGTTGAGAATTCAGACTTAGTGACATTTTTGTTAAAGATTTTCGTCGTATTTGGTCACATAAAGTTACATCAATTTTCTATCAAACTTTTTTAATAACACAGATATTTTATTCCAAAGAAGTGAAAAAATGCATTGTAAGAAATGATGTGTTTCAGACACTGCCACCAACTTTCTCCACAAGATGTTCCAAGTTGAAGAACATCCTCTGGAAAAAAACTTAAATTTTGTGCCGTGGTTGGTTAAAACCAAGGTCAAGAAAGGCTGAGGAAGAGACAACATTCTGTAAGATTCTTTAGTTTTTATGTGTGTGGGCTGTTTGTATGTGTTCTGAAGCATGTTGCATTCAACCTGTATTCCACTTATTCTATGTATATGCAGAAACCTTAAGGAAAATAAAGTTGTAATTAGAAATATCTGGTCCTGGTATTGGACACCTGCCTGAGGTCACTTATTAGACCCTCCCCATGCTTCAAAGAACTGACTCCCCCACCCTCTCTATCAGGCCCCATCCTCCGTGAGGACCTTTCTTCCTTCTGTGTTGTGTACAGTTCATCATACTGGACATTTTACAAGCAAAGCAGATTTTCAAAATGATGCTTGTTACTCCTATAAATGTGTTTTTATAGATTTGTGTCCAATCAATCTTTTCCAACTGTAAAAGTAGCTAAGTCTCTCTAGTTGAGGGGAATGTATCACATATTTTTCCAATAAGAAAGACAGACATATTTTTGAATTTAATGAATTTTCACTTAATATCATATTTTTCAGGAACAAGTAAATGCCATCATTTGAGGGTAAGATGCATGTGAATAATTAAGACAAATTTTGATCCCAAGCACTGATATTCAGTAGGGGAATGAGCCATGCACAGAACAATAACCACATAATGAAACTGAATAGAATACTTTCAGTAGTTGACAAACTACATAAAAGTCAGGTAATGATATGTGGTATCTGGAGTCTGAGGCCATTTATTTGTGCTGATCGGGGAAGGTCTCAGGGTCATACTGAAGATGTATCTGAGTGATGAGAAGACAATGAAGTGACCGTGGTGAACGGATCACCATTAGGAGGGCAGGGACCGGGGGATTTCAGATAAACAACTGTGTATTGAAAAAAGTATGTTTTTAAACCTTTGTAATAGCCAATCAATCCTATAATAATCCAATGCCTTCTGTGATTTTATTCCCTTAAGAATAAAATTTATCCTAATATCTTTCACCAAATACCTTGGCCTGGATCATACCCATGACACAGAATGTTCTCTTGCTCAGAAGCTGGAAGCCCAGATCTCTCCTTTGTTGCTAGTTTGCAGGCTTCCTAAAGCCCCTCCCTGCCACTCAAGCCCTTATTGGTGTGTTGGTCGCTGCCTTTGGGGTGGGACCATCTGAGGCAGGGGGAGCACTGGACACTGGACATAGCACTCTGGCCCTTAGTGTCCTGGTGCCCTGACCTCAGCTGTGGGGGCTCCATGTGACAGGGCTCAAATGTCCCATGGGACTGAGATTGAGTCCATTGCTCAGGGAGCCCAGCATTCACCTCCTGCATTCACCTACTGCTTGGTCAGCCAGCAGGACTCTGCTGGGAAGCCCACAGAGTGAGACATCATTAATACTGGGGAAGATTTGTGTTTTGTTTCCACCTCAGATTCTAGTGGCAACACTGTAGACCCCAGTCTCCAGTCTCTCCCTCAGTGTCTCCAAGAGGAAGAGTTTCTACCACCTGCCTAGAAGCAGTAGAATCCAGAAAAGATTCCAAAGATCCACCCACGTGGTCTACTTTGACCAACATACAGCCCCAGCTTGGTGCAATGGTCCTGGAAAAGACCCTCGCTTGTTAATTAGCAACTTAGTTGTCCTGATGACATTGTTGGTTATTATTGTCTAAAACTGTGCTGTCTCACGTGGTTAACACTAGCAATGCATAGCTGCAAATATGTAAATCAGACTTAATTAAAGTTAAAAATGTAGATTCTTAGTTATACATGCTGTATTTCAAGGGCTCAGTAACCACATATGATTAATGGCTACCCTTGCAGAGCATAAATACAGACATTTTCATCATCTTAGAAAAATTGTTTTGGCTGGTGCTGACCTCAATGATGACATGTGGTCACTCAGTGTTACTGCTTAGAGCACAGGCCTCAGCAGCTTTCATTCAGAGGGCAGTGTGGCCTGGATCCTTCTTGACTGGAGCTGCTGCTGTGGTCCTCAGAGCTTCTCTGGAAGGCTTTCTTGGATGGGAGGAATGAGACTGGGATGACAGTTCCAGAACAGGGCCCTGTGCTTCCCATCCCCACCCCTGCCATTATGTCCTGCAGGATTCCTCGTGGCCCATCATCTCTTTTCCAAAACTTTGGCATCTCACATGGGTCACAGAATCTAGCCCACAATATTTTTTTGACAAATAACTTTTCTGACTATCTTTTGGCCTCAACTATGCAGCTAGTTTGTTGAGAAGAGAAATTGTTTTGTGAATCTGGCCTAGTGATGGATGAATCTGGCCTGAGATCCCCTTCATTAATACCCGTGAAAAGACTCACGGTCAAGACTCACCGGGACTCAGCATCTACAATCCTATATAAGAGGCTAAGCTACAATCTTAAGACTAGGTGGTAGACAAACCCCATAATAACCCTAAGATATAACCCTGATCAGAGAAATACTTGGAGAGGTTAAGAGTGATAGTGTCCTATTATCAACAGGTAGCCCCTAAGGCTGGAATGTGGTCTCTGTGGTACCTAGAGTACCTGGGAGGAGCTGCCAGCATCCTGCACTGTGGGAACCACCTCTGTGCTCTGTGCTCTGAGACTAGAAGCCCAGCCTTGCCTTCACTGCTGCCTTGGCTGTGTCCCCAAAGCCCATCTGCTATGGACTGAATTGTGCTTCAGAAACTCTTCTCTTGAATCTCTAACCTCTAATATAGCTACATTTGAAGATAAAGCATATAAGGTGGTAATTAGAGTTAAAGGAGATAATAAGGATGGGGCCCTGATTCAATAAGACTAGTGTCTTTATAAAAAGAGACCCCACTGAGCTCTCCTCCACCCCCTCCCTCCATGCATGCAGTGAGGAAAGGCCATGTGAGGACATGGACAGAAGGTGGCATCTGAAAATCAGAGGGAGGGTCCTCAGCAGAAAGCAGACCTTTCTGGACCTTGATCTTGGACTTTCCAGCCTTCCAAACTGTTAGAAGTAAATTTCTTTCCTTTAAGCCATCCTGCCCAGGGAATTTTGATGTGGCAGTCCCAGCAGACAATCTACCGTCCCCACCTTCTCTGAGCAGAATCAGCCTCAGGAGGCACCTTGTGGACTTTGGGACCCAGCTTTTCTTCTCTTCCTCCTTCTGTTCTGACTGCCTGGTGAGGAAGGGGAACTGAGGCTTCATCCTCAGATAGTTTGTATCAAACATGAACATTTCTTTGATGATGAAGTTGTTAGCCCACTTTTTTTCTGATCAGAATTGCATCAAATTGAACAAACTACTTGCTTCGTATTAATATTGGGAGATTTGCATGTTTGTTCCGCACTTGGATAATAGTCAGCATGTTGTGCGGATGCCATCTCCAGCCCCCTCCCTGTGTCCCAAGTGAGAGGGTCACTGTCACCTGCAGGGCCTGCTGGAGTATGAAAAACATCCTAGTCTGGCACCAGCGGAAACCAGATCTGGCTCTGAGCTCCTGCTCCTGCTTGATCCTGCTGCCCCACTGGACATGATCCCTGCCTGGGTCAGGGGCGGTGGGCCTGAACATATTTCACTCTGGCCATCACCAACCAAGATGCCTTCAGAGGTAGGTGCTCCCTCCTCCTGTTTCCTATCATGCACAAATCTTCCCTAGCAACAGCTCTGCCCAGGGGCTGCTAAGGGTCTGAAGTCTTCTCAGGGCAACAGGCTGAGGGACACCTCTGAATTCACTTTGTCTCAAACTCCCTTCCCACCTCCTCTATGGTCACCTCCAGTGTATCTTGTGGGCATCACTGCACGGAGCATGTCAGGATGTTTTCTCCCACCTCCTTCTCTGAATTCATGATGCAAATTCATCCTCACTTCAGACATGGGCTGGCCGCGCCTTGTTTCTCTTATATACATGGCCCAGCACATTGCTGAACCCATAGTTCTGACCCCACTCCATGAATCTTTGTGGAAGGGTCATGGTTGGCAAGTCGTGGTTACTGGAGACCAGAAAGTAAAATGTCAAATACTGAGAAGCTTGTGCATGGAGCAGACATAGGCCATTGTCAACAGAGTCCCAGCAGCTGGTGAGTCATGAAACCTGGGCAGTGAGATCCCACATCACCCCAGTCAGAGGGGAAGCTGGGAATGAGCCATGGCGGGTCTTCATCCTGTGACTATGCAGCCTCTGAGCCACATGTGCTGCTTTGTTTGATGGAAATGACCAGAAGAGGACTTGTCTATGCTGAGCTCTGGTGACAAAACTTCCCTCCATTCAGGGCCCAGAGCCACTATCCATCTCCTGGGCATCTGCTGCTCTGTGATTCTGCACACCCACCTCAGGTCACTTATTATCCTCAGCAATGGGCAGCTCTCTGCTCTCAGCCCAGGGGAACGTGGAAGAGGGTCCTGAGCTTTATGACCCTCAGGTCCTGTAGTGAGAAAGGGGCCATGTGGTGGTACACCCAGTGCTCATTTTCAATGTTCATGTTCAACTTATTAAAGTTTAAAACTATACCTTATACTAGCAATCAAAGTTCTCTTTATATATAAACGTGCATCGCATATTTTTTCATAAACAGATACATAGTATATACAAATATATAAATACAACTTACTTCTAAAGTATTATATGTATTCAATATGTAAAGTTTATATTAGAAATTCATATTACATATACACATAATTTTACATTTATTTTTGTAGCGTGTGTTCCTTTTATTTCCAAGCAGAACAGAGTCTGGCTGAGTAAAGACTTTGAGTACATTTGCAGACTCTCCCTCTTTGGCTCCAACAAGGTCCCAGTCATTCAGTACCAGGGAGGGCACAGCTGACAGCACCCATCCCAGGAACCCAGAGCTAGTCCCGAGGTCTGGGTCTTGAGACTTTTACTCTTGCCAGGCTGCAGGATATATGCTTAATGCAGCTCTCGTGAATTTGTGAGCAGTTTCCTTCCCTTAAGCCCCTGCCAGGCAGCCCTGTGGCCAGGGCCTGTGGTTCCTCCCAGGTCCTCAGCTCTGTGGCTCAGGAGAGCAGCTGCTTCCTCCACAGCTTAGGGTCAGCATCGGGCAGCTCTCAGGCACTGCCAGCCTGACTGTAGCCCTGGGTTAAGGACCCTATTCCAAATGTCTCCTCATTTATTGTAGTACTGGAAAGTCTGTCTTGTTCTTAAACTCAAAGTCCACATTTCCATAATTGCTAAAGCTGGCATTTGCCATCTGGAAAAGTAGAAATGTGAATTCATTGTCATTCTCAGAGCCTGGCCTCTTCCAAGCCCACCAGGTAAAGTTGCCCATATGTTCTCTTCTCTCCACACAACTTTACTTAGAGTTATAGCGAAATGTAATGTGTGGCAAAGCTCTTATTGCCTGCACAGAAACCATCTTCTTCTCCTTTGGTGCCTAGGACACCAGCTCTATCCTGCTGGACATGGTGAGGACAGTGAGCCTCTCCCAGCCCGGGACAGGAGCAGGGATTAAGGATACATGTGATTAGCTCCACAATGCAATGTCAGGGGAGTGAAGGAGGGGCAGGGACTCTGGGAAGAATTTGATCCTTCATAAGAAGATGGAAGGTGAAGAGCTTTGCTTCACCTTTGATAATCAATGACTTTATTTTAGATTTTGGAGCTGGGACACATGTTTCATTGCCCTGAATCCTTCCACATCTCCTCTTTCTCTTACAATATCTCTGACTCAGTTTGTCTTTCTCAGATTGTGTGCTGAAAATCAATTTTCCCTCCTAACATGAAAACAAACTAACAGAAGTCTCTTCCTCCTATCATGTGCTGTGAGATCTGACCGCTAAACTCTGTGATACCCAGATCGTATAAGAGATAGTCATGGGATTTTACCCAAGAGATTTTCTAGCTAAAAAGAATTCTTGTCCTAGCTCTTCTCTCAGAAACATTTTCTCTGTCTCTTGTCAAAACTGACACCAGAAAACAAGGTGGAAATATTTCCAAGAACAGAGGACAGTCATGCACTCAGTGAGCTGAAAGACATCTCTTCCCCTTGCATTAGTTTCCAACGCTGCTGTTTAAATCACCACAGTCTTATTGGCTTCACACAACATAAATGTATTACCCTGTAATTCTGGAGGTCAGAAGTCTCACTGAGCTAATGCTAAGGTGTCAGTAGGGCTGCATTCCTTCTGGAGGATCCAGAGGAGAGAACTGGATTCTCTGCTTTTTACGTTCCAGGTGCTCCCATAGTTCTGGTTCCATGGCCCCTTCCTTCCTCAAACCACATCCCTCCCTATTGTCTCAGCTCCTCTCTGACTGTGAGCCTCCTCCTCTATTTTAAGGACTTTGTGATTATATTGGTTTCATTTCGATAACCAGGTTTCTTATTCTCAAAGTCCTTAACTTACATCTGTCAAGTTCTCTTTTTGCTATGTAAGGTAGAATTTTTATGATATGGCTCCAGTGACTGGAGGAACACCAGAGTTCTTGATCTCACGCCAGTTTGGATAAAACGACACAGACACATGTGGAGTGTTTTAAGGAGAGAAAGGTTTAATATGCAAGAAGGAAGGAAGAAGAAAACACCTCCCCCATACAGAGACAGGGGAAGGTGTGATTCAAAGAGAAAACTCTCTGTGCAGCAGAAAAGAGACTCCTATATGAGGAGGCTGGAGGAAGTGGTGTCTGATTTGCATAGGGCTCTCAGGATTGGTTTGACCAGGCATGTCATTCATGTAGCCTACAATATAACTGGCCTTCCCACCATAG